>NC_000008.11:34102526-34405557 GCF_000001405.40 Homo sapiens
CCTGCAGTAGATTCTCTGGAAAGGAAGTAGGTTCTCTGGAGCTTCTATATTCCCTGAGGTTGGTTCTCTGGAAGGGAGATTGGGCCTCTAGACTTTGGTAATCTAATACATGTTTTCTCCTTACAACCTGCCTTAATCTTTGTTTGGGAATACAGTTCTTCAGAAGTCTGGAATTTTGCTGGCATTGCAAAGAAGAGTAATTTAATACTCTTAATACTGTAGTCTCTGTGTAATATTTAAACATAATTTATTAAATGCCACTTAAGTGTCAGCAGCTATAGATGTTGGGTATAGCAGTGAATAAAACATAAAATTCCTGCTGTCATGTAATGAACATTCTCCGAGTGGGAGGAAGCAGACCATCCACATGTAAATGTTTTGAAGTAGTCGATTAGTATTTATAGTTTTACATTTTACATTCAAGGCCATGTTCTATTTTCAATTCATTTTTGTATGTTTCATAAGATCTTGAGATTTATCTTTTTGCTTATGGATGTCAATTGTTCCAACACCATTTGTGGAAAAGGCTGTCTTTCTTCCATGGAATTGCCTTTGTAGTATTTGTCAAAAATCAGTTGGGCATATTTGTGCTGTTCTTGATTACTGTAACTACATAATAAATCTTAATATTGGGTAGAGTGGCTGTTCCACTATATTCTCGATTTTTGCAAAATTGCTTTAGCTCTTCTAGTTAATTTGCTTCTCCATCTAGACTTTAGAATCTTACCTATATCTGTAAAAGTCTTGCTTGAATTTTGATAAGTTTTTTCCTTATTACTGGTTTTAAGCAATTTGATTATGATGTACTTTTATTTAGTTTTGTCCATGGTTTTGTTCTTGGAGTTCATCTAACTTCATGGAATTGTATGTTTATAATTTTCATCAAATTTGGAAAACTTTTAGCCATTCTTTTCCAGATATTTCTTGTTTTCCTCTTCCACAGCCTCTGATCATCCATCTATTAAGCTGCTTGAAGTTGAAGTTGTCCAATAGCACACTGATGCTGTTCTTATTTTCTAAAAAGATTTTTTTCTCTCTGAATCTCATTTTAGTTTCTATTGCTGCATTCTGTAGTCTTTTCTTCTGCAATATCTAATCTGCTGTTAATCCCATCTAGTGTATTTTTCATCTCACATATTGCAGTTTTCACCTTGCAAGTTATATTTGGGTGGTTTTAAAAATATCTCCTATGTCTTTACTTAACATTTGAACATACGGATCACAGTTATAATAGCTTTTTTAATGTCTTTGCCTGCTAATTCTAACATCTGTGTCCATTCTGGTTTCATTCTGATTGATTACTTCTTCTCCTCATTCAGGACTGTTTTTTCCTGCTTCTTTGCATATCCAATATTGTGAATTTTATTTTTTTGGATGCTAGGTATTTTTGTATTCTTACGTGTATTTTTTAAGCTTTGTTTCGAGTTGCAGGTAAATTACTTGGAAACAATCTGTTCCTTTCATCTCTCACTTTTAAGGTTTGTTAGGTGAGCCATGCTTGGCCTAAGACTAATTATTTCCCACTGTCTGGACAAGACTATTCTAAGTACTACAACATCCTGTCAGTCATTATGTTTTTCAGTCTGAATGATGGGAACAGGTGCTATTTTGGACCTGCTCGAGCCCAGGTCCAGTTTCCTTGAATCTTTCTGGAAGGTTCTTTCCTTGACCCTGGAGGACTTTCTCATTACCATTTGTAGGTTTCTGGCATTTTCTTTGCATAGCTTTCTCTCTCCTAGCTGCTTTGATGTCCTAGGACTCTCGGCTCTGGCTCCTCGACCCTGGGACTGTGCCATATTTTGGGTTCCTTCTCCCTGTGTTGTATTTTTTGTTTGTTTGTTTGTTTGTTTTTTTGAGACACAGTCTGGCTCTGTTGCCTGGGCTGAGTGCAGTGGCACAATCTTGGCTCACTGCAACCTCCACCTCCCAGGTTCAAGTGATTCTCCTGCCTCAGCCTCCTGAGTAGCTGGGATTACAGGTATGCACCACTATGCCCAGCTAATTTTTGTATTTTTAATAAAGATGGGGTTTCTCCATGTTGGCCAGGCTGGTCTCAAACTCCCTGTTTTGTATTCTTAAAAAATATTTCAGGCCATTAACTGGGACAGTTGTAAGGTTCACCTTATAGTTTTTCATTTCTCAGAGATTACTATCCTTATTGTCCATATGTAGTATTTAAAAACAATTGTTGCACATCTTTTGTCTGTTTTTTGGTGTTTCAGGTAGGAGGGTAAATGCAGTCCTTGTTACTCCTTTTAGCCATAAGAAGTTGCCTAGGTAAATTTCTTTCTTTCCCATGCAAACCCATGCCCAACCGTTTGTAACTTTGGTAGAAAAGGGCAGAGAAAGTCTGAAAGTGAGAAAACTACTTTTAACAATGATACTATTGTATTTACATTCTTCGTTCTTATGGTTTTCTAGACTAGCTACACAAATTGAACGTCTGAACTGGGTAACTAATAAGCATGATTGTGAGGCTTTTTCTTATCTCATAGTTGAACAAGTTTAAAGATCATGCAACTATCTGAAGCATTAAGATGACAGACAGAATTCCATCTTTTGGGAGTTTTCACCAATTCCACTGATACTTTATAAGGCGTTTTCTTAATTTGACTGCAAAATTTACCCATTAGACATCCATATTTGCATGTCCTACAATACTCGCAGCATATAAAAAAATGTGTTCTCATTCACTACAGACTGTCTTTAGACTTTTCCCATTTCTTTCACAGGGTCAGCTTCAATCTTGAAACATTGACTCATTTATTTTTTGCTTACATTTCAAGATGTATTTATTGATTCACCTTGTCTTGTTTCTTTCTTTAAAATACTCACTGAATTATACTATTACCATGTTTCTGTTATTCCAGATTGAATTCCTTTCTTATAATTCTTAACGAAGACTCCTGTCTAATCTCTCTGCTTTTCAAGTCCTCAGTCAGAATCTACTGTAGAGAGAACTGATGTATCAGACTTCCCCACTTTCCACTTTAATCATGCCACTGCCTTTTCTTAGCATTCAGCTCCCACAAAAATATGACTCTGTCATTAATTATTGTGCCAACTCTCACTTCTTTGTTTTATTAATGTAGTCCTGTATTTATCAAGTCAACAAATATTTATCAAGTGCCTACGTTGAGAAGAGCACTGGGCTTATGGGTATAAATGGTATTCCATACATTCATGGGCTTTTATTCTAATTGGGAAGCCAATATAGTGACATGCATTAAATATCAGTAAAAAAATGTGTAACAAGTCACTGTGTGTTTAAATTGAAAGGCTAGTATAGAAAACAAATACAAATGACCCAGTCATCTGTTGGGAGGGCTCACTTTAGACTAGAGTGGGCATGGAAACCTCATTAAAGATGTCAGTGACAAGACAAGTGTCTTGAAGAATAAACAATATTTGTTCTAGTTGAAAGAAATGTGAGGGGAAACATCTCACTTATGGTAAAAAACATATAAGCAGAAATATGAAGGTAGACCTTCTTGGTTTAGGTACTGAAGCATTAGCCTAAGAATTAGTTTATTGCTTTCCTGTGTGTTCATGGGCTCCAATAGTGACAATATAATCTCTCCCTCTTTTGAAGTGCTGCAGGATAATTATCTGTTCTAAACAAGTGAACACTTGATTATATTCTGCTTTACATTGTTCTCTAATGCAGACATGCAGATTGAAGGTACCTCATGGAGGGTTTTGAGTACCTTACTACATCCTCTAGTAATAATTATTATTGTAAAGATTGTTAGTTAGGCTCTTCTTTTGTGTTGGACTTTTATACATTATCTCATTTAAATATTCATAGTATTGCTAGATATATAGTACTATTCCAAGCTTAAAGATGAGAATAAATCTCAGAGATTTTACAGGGCAAATAAAGAAGTTGGGGTGAGATGCGAATGCGTCTTTACCTGGCTTCAGGGTCAAGGCATGTCCTTTTTCAGTCCCAGCTCGTTGCCTGCCTTGGTGCACATCACAGGTGATAAATTTCTGGAGACAGATGGAGGGGTTGGGAAAACGAGGGTGGGAGAGGTAGAAATCAGATGTAGGGAGACTAAAGAGTATATTTTAGTGATCAATGTCTTAGTAAGGATTGTAGACAAAATAATAGGAGGAAGATGAAATGTATGAAAAACATGGATAGAAGTTGTATGGATGGGACTAAAAAATACCTCAGATTGCCTGGCTGATAGAAATATCAATGTGAGGAAGGAGGGCTTCTTGTGTGGAGAAAGACATCATGATCGATTTTGCACTTGTTAATTTATATATAATTGTTGAAAGTGTGAATGATAATGTTCAGAAACACAACTAGAACTTGAGAAAGAGGTTAGATTGACAATATGGAAGCAAAGATTTGGCATAAAATTCATGGGCTTATATCGGAATAGTTCCCTAAGAGAGAAAGGAGGGTACAAATCAATGGAGTTCTGGAAGCTAAGCCTCGAGAATTACTGTAGTTTGAAGCTATGAGGAGGAAGAGACATCTATGGGAAAAACAAACACAACCACAACAGCATTTGCTATGCCTAGGGATTCCGAATAGTTTTATATCAAATAGGCCTTCTCTAGGAAGCATTAGCCTAAGAATTAGTTTATTGCTTTCCCATGTGTTCATGGGCTCCAATAGTGACAATATAATCTCTTCCTCTTTTGAAGTGCTACAGGATAATTATCTGTTCTAAACAAGTGAGAATTTGATTATATTCTGCCTTGCATTGTTCTCTAATTTTTTTCTCTCTGTATAACTCCTCTCTCTCTGGTCGTAAGAACAGGGACCATGTCTTCTGCTTTTCATATTTGCTGCAGTATTTGACAATGCTGATCACAGAGTATTCTATTAGTAAATACTCAGATTTATGTGAAGCATGCAACTGAGTAAAAATATCTGTACTGATGTAGTCCTCATAAGTCTTCTTAGGTAGGTCCTGAAAGTCAACAATAGATATAAATCATATTGTTCTTCATTGATAAGTGATGTAATTAAGGTAAATAATCAGCAGCAAAGCCAGTACTGTTATTTGTTGTTATTTAATCAAACCATGTATCTATTCAGCTCCTTAATGCCAAGTAGCAGGGAACCATACAAGACAAACTCCACAAACTATGCTTGCAGGGAGGAAGTTGCTAAGATTGGCTTAGGCATGAAATAATTCTTGGAAAGGTGAATAAAAATGTCCAGAATTCACTTGGGAAAAAATGAGTGAGCTTGAGAAAGAGGTTACATTGGCAGTGAAGCAAGTCTGAAGGTGAAACCATAATACCCATGACAGATAAAAGATAATTCTTTGTACTACAGTTATTTTTTATGTGCTTATGATATTACAGTGACGCATATAATTGTTTCAAGATCTTGCTTTACTAAGTGAGAGCTTATGGTAACGTTGAGACTTTAAAGAATTTATTTTGAAGCATTTAGGAATGCTTTTTAGAATATCTGCAGCTAGAAATCCCATACTACTTAATTTATAGGCCTAAGAACTTGATTTAAAATGCCACTATAAAATGGTGCATTATTATAGGGAATCATGTTACTGTGTATTAAATATAATACTCAGAAGAAAATGGCCCTGTGTTTGATATAATTTATTCAACTGACAAACATTAATTGAGCATCTTCTATGTTACAGTTATTGTGCTGGGTACAGATTGAGTATCCTTCATCCGAAAATCTGAAATGCTCCAAAATTTGAAACTTTTTGAGTGCTGGTGAAGTGGCATCATTGGGGTGATACCTGAGGTTTATTGTCCCACGGGCATGGAAAACTAGGACGCAGATACACCAGGATGAGATTCAGAGAGGAAGTCTAATAGGTGAAAGAAAGAAAAGCTCTCTCTGCTGCAGAGAGGGGGGTCCCAGCGAAAATGGGTTGCCGCTTCCACAGTGAACAGTAAGAGGTTTTGTAGATAAGCTTGAGGAGGCGGCGTTTGATTTACATAGGGCACAGAAGATTGATCAGACCAGTTGTGCTATTTGCATAGTGCACGAAAATCTGGCCACCTCCACTTTAATCTTTTATTATGCAGATGGGTTCTCTACCTGACCAGCACCATGTTGCCTGTTCCTTACTGTACACGTGGTGACAAAGAAAAGGGAAGGTGGAACCGCCATGTCGAGCCTCCAGGTGGCCCTTTTCTATTGGCACAGCTGCGGGCATTCACCCGAGCAAGCTTCTAGCTTGCTTGTCTATGTCTGCAGCTCAGTTTTTCAGGCTGCTCTTTGTTAGAAAACAAATAATGGAGGGGCTGCTTTTTATTAAAAGGGAAGCTTTGCTGAGGACTTTACCCTATCTGCCTAAATAATTTCTATCTAGCTCCTGTATCACTGGCATGTTGCTCAAAGAAAGTGATCATCGGAGCATTTCGGATTTTGAATTTTTTAATTAGGGATACTGAACCGGTAAGTATAACGCAAATATTCCAGAATCTGAAAAAATTTAAAATCCAAAACGCTTCTGGTCCCAAGCATTTCAGACCAGAGATAGTAACATTTACTAGAAACATAAAAACGAACAAATATTCTCAACCACCAAAGAGTTTACAACCTAGAAGGGAGGTTTTTTTTTTTTTTTTTTTTTTTGAGACGGAGTCTCGCTCTGTCTCCCAGGCTGGAGTGCAGTGGCGCAATCTCGGCTCACTGCAAGCTCCGCCTCCAAATTATTACAGTACAAACATTCTTGGTAGACTAGAAGTCATGAGACATTATGATTTAGTAAGAAAAAAGGTCTTTGCAGTTAGATTTGAGTGTGATGTTTGGTTTTACCTCTTTCTGAGTTGTGCGAATTTGAACAATGTATTTAACCTCTGAGGCTCATTTTCTTAATCTGTGAAATAAGGAGAATTAAGCCAGCCATTCAGAGTTCTTATGAGCATCAATGATAATGCATTGGCTCTTACAACAGCACCTAGTATAGAGTGGACAGATTCCCAGGAATGATTGTTGTTGTCCAAATGGTAATGGTGATGATGGTGAGACTGCTGATGAAGCAGCTCAAAGAGCTATAGGAAAATCAAGGAGGAAGCCCTGAGCTAGGATTAGAGAGATTAAAGAAAGCTTCACAGAAGAGGTGGGTGACGTAGTTGCTACAAGCCAGATAGGCCCAAAGAAATGTACCCAGATGACTGAAAGTAGATTCAAAATGGCTGGAATGAAGTTAACTCCAACATAAGAATTACTGTGTTATTGTTTTAGAACCAGGCTTCAAAAGTGGCTTCCCTATATACATAAAAGATATATATATATATTCCATATATTTTATATATAAATATGCATATTTTTATAATCCATATGTATATATAAAAGATATATATCTTTTTTCTTCCCCAAATATATATATATATGTAAAATTTGTCTTCCTGAAATAATTGAAAAATTGTGTTGGAAAAAGTGTCAACAAGAAATTCTATTTAGAACTCAAAAGGACCTCACCAATTTTCTCGTTCCACCTTTTCACTTTACTAATGAGAACATCACGGTTGGGAATGGGTGAGAGACTTGCCTACGGTCACCTTGTTAGGTAGTGGCAGAGCTGGAATCTGAACATGACAAGGCTGACTCGATCTAGTGTGATTTCTACCCCAGTCTGTCTCGATAATGAGAAAGCAATGCCTATTAGCACACTTAGGTTGTTATCATTCCAACAGCATGTCAAATAACTTTTTATTTCCATAACATTTTGAACTTTTCAAAATACTTTCACATCTGCTAACTAATTTGATTCTCACAATAGCCTGTGAGGTATTTATAGAGTAATTTCATTTGAAAAATGCAACAGAGATAACACTTCAAATTACGGTAGGCCCCAAAATGCAAAAGAGAATATTTCTAATCAGACAGGTGGAGAAAGCGTTCATTATTCTCCAATATTGAGTTCTAGGTCAGAAATGGGGGAAATATGATAGGGAACTTCGTGGATGAGGTCTTTAAACATATTAGACTTCTTGAATTAGTATAAATTTTAGTGATGCTTCTATGAGGTTTCACAAATTTACATTTGTGTGACTCTGATGTGCAGGGCCATTGTGCCTTCTTTATTTTGCCTATTCAGGTGTTATTCTGATACCACACTGCTGCTTAATGGAGATAAAAATTAGTCTGGCACCTGAGGTGTGTCGGGGCAAGATGGGGATGGGAGATTACCTCTGGTTTTGTGAATATGGTATCAAGTGATGAACCCAACGTGTCTGTTTTTCTATGCTGTTGTTAATTTTTCACTAGACTTGCTGAAATTTGTCACATCTCTCTATCAGGTTCTCTACCTGAGAACCCCCCTTCCTTTCCTAGCTATAGGAAAAAATAATATCTCTCATATTATTATATCTTTGTCAATATTTAGCTCAAATAAACCTAGAATGGGGCAGTGTACTATAGCCGTTACAATGTGTAGTGCAGCCTCTGAAGTCGAGCTGCCTGGACTTCGTTCATGGCCGGTCTCCACCAAAAAAGAGGGCATGGAAAATTTATCAAAATCTACCTTTTGTATTCATTTCACACAAGTGATCCACCAGAAGCCCTTAGAACAACGTCTGATTTCTTGTTAATAAAAAGAATATAGCTACTTAGAGCAGTGCCTGCCGTATAATTATATGATATAGCTATTTAATATGGCTTTTATTAATATCTTTACTTATAAACTAAGACATTAGTTTTATTAGGCCAAAATATATATTCCCTGCATCTGTCCTGAGCTAAATATCCCTTGCCCAAAGCCTTCTTTCTAGGGGAGAGAATTAAGGATGAATGGGTCCTTTCTTTCCATTTTCTAGAATATTGTTTTCTGTAGTGCCTTCAGCCTCTATAATGTACTTGTATGTGATTTATGCCCAATAACTGAATGAATGTTGAGTGAATAGTTTTTTCCAGTTATCAACTTCTCCCTTTATTCAAGAGCTTAGAACTATTTACTTTGTAAAATATTGCATGCAACTGCCATTTCAACACTTACAATATCATTAGAGAACAAACTCCTGTAAAGCAGTGGCAGAAAGGTGGCTGGTAACAGGTTTATTAGACAAGCCCTGTCCTTTGCAGAGCATATGAGAAATGTCAAGTGGATTTGAATTTACTTAAACTACAAAGTTTATTTGTCCATCCTGTTCATCTATTTTTCCCTTTTCGCTGTCTGAAAATATTAGGTATTTCTTCCTATTCAGACATAGCAGAGAGACTTAGTGACAGATATTGTTTTTACATCTGACTGAGACTTAAGCTAATTCCTCATCATTTCATAAAAAGTCAAAGAGTGTGTCAGGAAGGTAAAATCATGCAGGCGGCCAGAAACAATGGGAGACAGGAAGGCCTGGGTAGCCCAGAGCTGTCTCATTGCACCTGGAGTGGGAGGGACCAGGAGGAACTCAGCTCTGTTTCTTTCTCTCAGTGGCTGTTCTGTCTTTGTTGTTACAGAACAAAGCACATTTTAAAAAAGAATTCTCTGATGTCCCCGGCTTGGCATAAGTAAGGAAGAATAATACAGAGATAAAAAGAAGGGGAGATTTCTAGTTTGATTTAGAAAGCAGAGCATCCTAAGCTATCCTCTTAATTATACTGTAACAGCATTCAGAGCCTGAATGAACACCATCCTGGGCTCAAGGGAGATATAAATGAAGGAGTCTATCTACAGCTGACCTCCTCTCCCAGGCCCCAGTGTCCCTTTAGGCAGTGTGGACAGGCACTAATGCTTTTTAAATGGAGGCAGAGCTCAGCAGAATCCAACAACACAGGGAAGGCAGGGGACATCTGTGTAGTGGCAAAGCTGCTTTGAGGATCTGTGTGGTTTCCTAGGTTGGAAGCCTCATGGGAGAAGTGAAAGTGGGCAGCAGCCATGCCTTTTCTGTATGCTGGGATCACAGTGCCACCTGTGGAAACATGAGGTCTGAAGTAAGCTAGAGCAGTGTTCTCTGCAACAGTGTGCTCATGCTCACTGGCCGGCAGGGAGAATACACTAGAGCTTCGGTTTATAGTTAGTTTTTAACTCATTTGAAAGACAAATATACATGTACTGGTGGTACTTAAAGTTATAGGGCTTGGGATTTTTAAAAATAAAATAGTTTTAGGGTTGAAAAGACATTTTAGTTGTTCATCCTGTTCAATGCTGTCTAGCCTAGCCCAGGGTCTGGCTGGGAAGCTGTTTGCTATATATGAAAACTCCCCAGAAATCAGTGGCTTAAACAAGTATTTATTATTGTATAAAAGTCTGTGGGTCTAGGCCGGGCACCGT
The DNA here is from genome assembly GCF_000001405.40 of Homo sapiens. NCBI lineage: Eukaryota > Metazoa > Chordata > Mammalia > Primates > Hominidae > Homo > Homo sapiens. The sequence continues at coordinate 34,112,747 of NC_000008.11, forward strand.
GGCTCACGCCTGTAATCCCAGCACTTTGGGAGGCCGAGGCGGGCGGATCACTTGAGGTCAGGAGTTTGAGACCGAACGACAGGGTGAAACCCTGTCTCTACTGAAAATACAAAAATTAGCCAGGCATGGTGGCACGCTCCTGTAATCCCAGCTACTGGGGAGGCTGAGGTAGGATAATCGCTTGAACCCAGGAGGTGGAGGTTGCAGTGAGCCGAGATCATGCCACTGCACTCCAGCCTGGGCAACAGAGTGAGACTCTGCTTCAAAAAAAATAAAAAATATAAAAAGAAAAAAGCTGTGGGTCTGTTAGTTCTGCTGATCTAGGTAAGCCTCTGCTGATCTCAGCAGGGCTTGATAATCTATCTGTGGTCAGCTGTTAGGTCAATAGGGGACTGCCTGGCTGGTCTAGGATGGCCTCACTCACGTGTCTTGTGGTCAGATGACTATTAGCTGCTGTGATGTGGGTGATTATTACTTGTCATCCAGCGGGCTGGTCCAGACTTTTTCTCATGGCAGCTGGTCAGGGTCATAAGAGAGTGAGGCCTCTTAAAGGCTAGGGTCAGAATGGGCACAATGTTGTCCATCAGTCAAGATTCAGGGGCACGGGAAGGGGGAAGGCTTTGCTGTGTTGAGAAGAGATGCACAGTCAGGTGGCAAAGGACGTGACTACAGAAAAGGGAATAACTGGCCATCTTTCCAATTGGCATAGGATAGTACTAAATACATTTTTGCCAGATAAATCAGTCATAGTAAATGGCACCGAGTTCCCTAGCATTGCATATATCGAAGCTCTCTACAATTTCTTAACCAAGTGGTCACCCACTCTTGGCTTGAACATCGCATGCAATAGGAAACGCCACCTTCAATTGTAGCCTACTTCCTCTGGACCCAATAGACTGAATTAGATTTCAAAACTTCCTTTACCTCCTCAGAGCTCTGTTTTTCATAAAATATTGAAAAGATACTCAAATCCATAATACAGTTAACAAGAATTTTTTTTCTGAGGTTATACACAAGGTTTCTGAAATAGGGATCACCTCTTCCCATTTTTCTACTCTTTTTTTTTAGCATAAAGGAATCATGTATTTTTTTTTTTTAGGATAGAGCACTATGAAAACATCTACCTAGGTTTTGCCAAGGACCCAGAGGTGAGAATTTGATAAGATATAGACAGTATATTTTCTTTTCACTTTTATGATGGTGCCCGCTATAGAACATTTTTGTTGCATTGAAAGAAGTACTTCGAAAGGGGTCATTTGGCATTTCCAAAGGGCTTGCAGACATTCTGAGTTTTCCCTGTGGCAATTCTGTGAGATCAGTGAGGGTTTTCATTCTTCTCAATTTATAGATAAAGGTTTACATACAGGTGGTATGCCTTAGTCCACAGGATATGTCAGCGATTAAGCTTGCATGAAACCTCATGGTCCAGAGCTCCATCAGTTTGTTGACCTGTATTTTTATTGGTAAGTGAAGGCAGACTGAGTCCATGGACTTGGATTCTACCCTGCAGCTGTCATCCAGGTCAAAGTCAGAACCTTACACTGTACAGAAAAAAAGGATTTCAGAAGTGTTCTAATCTGGGGTCAAATTCTAAGTGGTTTTGAAATGAATTTAGTGGATTGTAGATAAGCATTTTAAAAAATGGGATAGAATAGGATAAAAAAAGAATAATAGGAAATAGATCATATTCATATAGTAAATGTTAATAAAAAGGTTTTCATTTTCTCCATATAATTGCGTATTTTTACATATGCATGTGATATAATTTTGGCTGTGTCCCCACCCAAATCTCATCTTGAGTTGTAATCCCCGTAATCTTCACCTGTCTTAAGAGGGACCCAGTGGGAGGTAATTGAATCATGGGCACAGTTCCTCCATGCTGTTCTTGTGATAGTGAGTGAGTTTTCACAAGGTCTGATGGTTTTATAAGCACCTGGCATTTCCCCTGCTGGCACTCATTCTCTCTCCTGCCACCTTTGAAGAGGTGCCTTCTGCCATAATTGTAAGTTTCCATGATTGTAAGTTTCACATTTCCTCTCCAGCCATGCAGAACTGTGAGTCAATTAAGCCTCTTTTCCTTATAAATCACCCAGTCTCAGGTATTTCTTCATAGCAGCATGAGAATGGGCTAATATAGTGTGTATATGTACATATATGCATATTTATAGGTATTTATATATAGAGAGAGAATTGAAATTTAATGTACAATTTCTTACTGTGGGTCATAATAAAATATATATATTTTAAAGCTGTTGATGTAGTCTAGCCTCTATTATTTTAGAATTCAGGATTCGGAAGCTCAAGGACATGACCCAGAAGGTTGGTGGCCAAAGGTAAGTTTAGAATTTAAGTTTCCTAATTCTCACAGGCAGTGGCATAGTATGGTGTACAGAGCAGGGACTTTGGGTCAGACAAAAGTTGGTTCAGATCTTTGCTCTGTTGTATACTGGTTGTGTAATGATAAAATTCTTATCTTTATTTTATAGGTGAGGGAACGGAATCTTGGAGAGATTAAGACTTGTGTTTTAGGCTTTAGAGTGGGGGTTAAATTAGATAATACTATATATAGACAAAACAATTAAGAACTGGCTCATTTGATAGTTTTTCAGGCCAGACTTTTTTGGGAAGGAGGAGAATTTTTTTTCCCCTCTCATTCCCAAAGACCACTATTATTGCATGATACAGTTTGGGTCTGTGTCCCATACAGTTTGGGTCTGTGTCCCACACAAATCTCATGTCAAATTATAGTCCCCAGTATTGGAGGTGGGTTCTAGCGGGAGGTGATTAGATCATGGGGGTGGATTTCCCCTTCGTTGCCGTTCTCATGACAGTGAGTGAGTTATTGCAAGATCTGGTTTTTTAGAAGCGTGTGCCCACCTACCCCACCTCTGCTTTCTCCTGTTCCGGCTATGTAAGATGTGCCTGCTTCCCCTTCTGCCATAATTGAAAGTTTCCTGAAGCCTCTCCAGCCATGCTTCCTATACAGCCTGCAGAAATGTGAGCCAATTAAACCTCTTTTCTTCATAAATTACGCAGTCTCTGGTAGTTCTTTATAGTAGTGAGAGAATGGAGTAATAAATTGCACTTTTAGATATGTCTTATTGACGTGTGTATGTGTGTGTGTGTGTGTGTGTATGTTTGTATGGCATATATAAAATGATTAAACTTTGGCATAAAAATAATAAACATCTGAATAATTCTAAATTGAATCCTATGCAACAAATATGTGCTACAACTTCTAGAGATTATAAGGAAACATATCATATAGTAAATCTAGTGGACACAAATGAAACTCATATCCATAAAAAGGTATTTTGCAAAACCAAGCAGAACTTGACCATTTTATCATAGGAATGGTCCAAAAAATTAAATGTAACAAATCTTAAGCAGAGAGAGAGAGAGAGAGACACCACTGTGAGATAAAAGAATCATGGGGGGCTGCCAGGAGGACATTTGACTTGGTGATGTTTGGAGAATTGGGAGACTTTAGAAAGTTATGGGAAGATGATGGCACCATGAGAAGGAGGAAGGGCACAAATCAAGGCACAACAGCGGCAGGTCTAATGTGATCAGACATATTTAGTTTGGGCAATGTGGAGGGTGCTGATGAAGGGGCAGAAGAGTCGCAGAGTGCCTGAATTGCCAGCTCAGGCTTTGGGATGTCATTCTGCAGGTGTAATGGCCTCATGAGAGGCTTTGTCTGAATAGTGATATGAGAAGAAAGTATTTAAAGAAAACCAGTTCTTTATAATAGGCTTATATTCTTTTGGGTATATTATAAAGCCACATGCATATGTATGTTGATTGTAGCACTATACACAATAGCAAAGACATAGAATTAATCTAAATGTTCATCAATGATAGACTAAAGAAAATATGGTATATATACACCATGAAATATTATAAAGCCATAAAAAAGAATGAAATCATGTCCTTTGCAGTGACATCGATGGAGCTGGAGCCCATTATCCTTAGGAAACTAACATAAGAAAAGGAAACCAAATACTGCATGTTCTCACTTATAAGTGGGAGTTAAAGGATGAGAACACATGGACACACAGAAAGGAATAACACAAACTGGGATCTTTCGGAGGCTGGAGGGTGGGAGGAGAAAGAGAATCAGGGAGGACAACTAATGGGTACTAGGCTTAACACCTGGGTAATGAAATAATCTGTACAACAAACCCTCGTGACACAAGTTTACCTAGGTAACAACGTGCACTTGTACCCCTGAACCTAAAATATAGGTTAAAATAAAACCAGTTCTCAGCCGAGTAGGAGCACATAGTTTATTGGAGGTGATATGTCTTGCAAAATTTAAATCGTGGTGGATGATATGGTTTGGATCTCTGTGCCCACCCAAATATCATGTTGACATGTAATCCCCAGTGCTGGAGCTGGGGCCTGGTGGGAGGTAACTGGATCATGGGGATGATTTCTCATGGTTTAACATCATCTCCTCTTGGTGCTGTTGTGGCAACAGTTAGTTCTCATGAAATCTGGATGTTTAAAAGTGTGTGGCACCTCTCCACTCTCTTTCTCCCTCCTGCTCTGGCAATGTGAATTGTTGTTCCCCCTTCACCTTCTGCCATGATTATAAGTTTCCTGAGGCCTCCCTAGAAGCCAAGCAGATGCCAGCATCACGCTTCCTGTATAGCCCACAGAATCATGAGCCAATTAAGCCTCTTTTCTTTATAAATTACCCAGTCTCAGGCTTTTCTTTACAGCAGTGTGAGAATGGACTAATACAGTAGGTTAATTGCTTTCCAGTCATATATCACTAAAAATGTCATATACCACTAAAAAAAGGCAACAGCAGCAAAGACAATAGGTTCAGTTTGAATATTCAAATTTGAGATCAGGCAAGCTAACATTACATCTAATGGATTCTGGGTAAAACAGATTTGGAGAAATTTCTCCCAAAGCATTAGACAAGAGGCAGATAAGAGATGCTAAGCTTTGGAGATAGTCAAGGAAAGAGGAATATAATCCAATCTTGATGGGGCTCAGATAAATGGTCAGGATGGAGAGGTGATCAGTACTTGAATGAAACTGCATGAAAATACTCAAGGAAGTTTGCAGAAATTGTCCCATCAGAAATGACTGATGTCTCTTAGAAGCCTAGGAAAATGACTAGTTGGAGTTCAGCATGGGTATTACAGTTGACAGCCTGAGAGGGTAATATAGGAAATAGATGATTTGACACTCTCACATTTAACCCAGGAACAAAGACATTGCTGCCTGTAAGATTAACACAAAACCAATAATTACTGTAGTTTTCTCGTTCCTAAGGCTGCAGTCATTTTTACAATCCCCGTATTCCAGAATCATTCTTCCTCTGTTATATCACTCCAAGTTTCATCTCTTCTGCTTAAGACAGGATTGTTGTTAAAAAACAAAAGATAAAGGGCATCAATATTCTTTGTACCTCTGGTATACTGTATGTGTGCAAAACAATCACCTTATTTCATGATTTTTGTTGTTATTATTAGTATTTTGTTATTATTTTACTATTTTTATGTTCTTTCTGGAAATAGCATTATATATTGTCAGAGGTAACTGATGCCCAGTAAAGGAAAGCAATGATAAAAATGTTATTAGCTTCTCTGAATAAGAAACACATCCTGTTGATCCTGCTTGCATTTAATTAGCCAGGCTTCAAATTCTTTAATTCCATACATCACAGTTGAATATCTGAATAACCTCGTAATATAATAGCTAATAGAGAATTTAAAGACTATTAACAATTTTTCCTTTTTCTCTTTTTTCTTCCTCTTCTCTTCCTCCTCCCTTCTTTTTCTCTCTCCTCTTCCTCCCTTATTTTTCTCTCTCTTCCTCCTCTTCCTCTTATTCTCCTTGACACAGACTCACAGTGCCTTCAACATTTACCCAAATAGTGTGTTTTTGACTTTCCCTTATTATGGCTGTCACTTGCTTTTTATGTCTTTTTTGTGTTTATTTTTTCTTATATTAGGACAACTGGAAGTGAACCCAATGCTCCATCTATGGTTTGACTTTAGAGAGTCACAAGAGGCTGATTATGAGATTTGTCCAGGATATAATTTCTACTGTTGCAGTTAAATATGTCAGATTTGTGATATCAAAATAATAACACAAATTATATCAGACCCAAGTTATGTACCTCTCCAGTTTTGCTTGGTTCCACCTGCCTTCAGGTTTCTCTGCCACTTGCTCTGTAGAGTCTTGATGCAGCTGACACCTCTCATGACTTCTCCAGCCATCCCTCCCTCCCCTCTCTTAGGCTGCTCTCTAGCACTGCCCTTGTTGTTTCCCCTGTGGCAGAAGTCTCAGCTCCTCAAATACTCAGACTCAACCCATCTACAGCAAGAGAAGCTCTGGTTCAACTCATGGCTTTAGGACCCAGATGAAGTACCCTGGGGCATGAGATCTGGCTTCTCCAGTGGACACTTGAAGGGCCAGGTGATACAGATAGATGTGTGAGAACATTAATGCCCCCCCAGGACAAAATTTGACCAATGACAGACGAAAGAAGAGAGCCAGTATATTTCTTTGTCCTTCCTTCTTCTGATGAGATGTTTTAATGTGTTTAATCAGTTCAAAGTGCATGGAGACATTCTGCATGAAGGAACAATCAGCTAAGTTTTCTTGTGCAGATATGGGTGACATTATTACTTACAGGCTTTTATTTGCTTTTCTCCTTCCCCGCCTCATGTCCCTATCTCCAATCTTGCTGCCCTAGTATTTCTATGAAAGCAAAGCATCTAAGCTTTGTCTTGGGCTTTGTCTTCTAGGAAGCTTGGGCTAAGCCACATACTGAGTCTGTAATCATTTATGCGACAAACACTTAACTAAGTGCTTTTCATGAAGTCTAGATAATGTGTCAAAAAGCTGTGGCACTTACTTGGAAACTTGCTTACAGTCTAGTAGCAGGAATAAATTATTCATCTTTTACATAGAAAATTTTGTTAAATCACAGCTTTGCTAAATGATATCGGTAGAGATGATTTTTAATAGAGATTAATGAAAATTTGGCACTAGGATTTAAATAACCCTTAATCATAGTAGTTTCTCATGTAATTTAACATACTGAAAAGCATTGGGTTTATGGTCATCTATAAAGTTCCATTTAATGAATGTCTTATAATTAATTAACCATACTCTTAAGTTTGGACATGTTGTTTTACTTCTTTTCATCCTCTCACCTGTTCTTCTTTCTTCCTGCTTTTCTCTCTCCCACACCCTTCTCCTTCTCTTCTTTCTCTTTGCTTGCATGTATGATGCTGGAGGTGGGCATTTTGACATGTAAATCTTGGCCTGGTTTTATAGATCTTTAGGAAAGATTCCTAGAAGTGAAAAAATGTGTCAAAGGATTAGAGTGCTGTGCCAAATGTATACTGACCGGGATTGTTAAATTTCTCTATCATAAGTTCATCAAATCTATCTTTACTAAAATGAAACATCATAAGTTCCTAATTATTGATATTTTAATGGGAGAATATAGGATATTACTATTTTTACTATTTAATTGGTATAGTTCAACATATTTCCTGAACAGCTTAGTATATAATCTTTTTTCTTTTATGAATTATGTATTTATATCTATTGGAGTTTTAGTATTTTTCTTATTAGCTTGTGGGAAAACTTTACATATTATGAATATTGTCTCTTTTCCTGTGCATTTCTTACAAATATGTTTCTTAGCTTAGTGTTATTTGATGGTACTTAGCCTTGCTGAACTTCAGTTTTTTAATTCATGATTTTACTTTACAAATATGGCAGTCCTTTTTGCATCCTGTTTCTCAATACTTTATTATTTGATTTTCAACTTTGCCTTACTTTGCAAATTAGACAAAAGATACCTTTTCAAAAGACTTTTTAAAAAATGCAAAACAAGAAACATAGACCCCAATAAGGCAAAAGTCAGAGTCTTGGTATTTGAGGTTCTACTGCTAGTCAATTCAAAGTTTGCTAATAAATGTAACTTAGTGATTTATCTTTCATGAATGTCTTTCTCTTCTTTTTTTTTTTTCACAAAAACACTTGGAGAGACTTCTTGTCTCCAGATCTCGGCAAGATGTTTGATGGTGTCCACACACAGCATTCCTCTCACTGGCTCCATCACAGCCACACAAAAGGGAATGACCGGACTTGGATAGAAGTTTCTGAAAAAGTGTAATAATTATTGAAAAGCAGTATAGGGTCCCTCTGTTCCCACACTTGTTCATTAATACATCTCCCATTATTTCTGGAAATGACATTATAAAGTAATATTTTTAGATTCTATATTTGTATATTAAGATTTGGGACAAAATTTGTCTGAATAAGTATGCAACTTTGGAGAGATGCCAGAGTTCACTGTCAACAAGGTTAACCAAAAATGTTCCTGTGACCTCATCTAAACCTAGGAGTTTCCTCTGGGATTGGAGATCAGTTTACATTATGTTATGAGGCTTTATTCTAGCTAGGGGTATGTATTAGCCCATTTTCACGCTGCCGATAAAGACATACCCAAGACTAGGTAATTTATAAGGAAAAAGAGGTTTAATGGACTCACAGTTCCATGTGGCTGGGGAGGCCTCACAATCATGGTGGGAGTCGAAAGGCACATCTTACATGGTGGTAGACGAGAGAGAATGAGAAGCAAAATGGGAAACCCCTTATAAAACCATGAGATCTTGTGAGACTTATTCACTACCACGAGAACAGTATGGGGGAAACTGCACCCGTGATTCAATTATCTCCCATCAGGTCCCTCTCACAAGACATGGGAATTCTGGGAGCTACAATTCAAGATGAGCTTTGGGTGGGGACACAGCCAAACCATATCAGGCTGTAATTCCTTCTCAGTCTTGTTTTCTGTTCCCATACTTTATGTATTTTTAAAAACTAACCTTGATAGAGAAAAATGAAACCAATGAGGAATAGTTCTGTCTTCTCTCTGCCATTCTTAGGGTGTATAATATTGTGTGGAATGCACCAGTAATTATGATTTCTGTTGTTCTAGTTATATGGTTTCTTCTTCATTCTTGTCCTCTCTTTAGGCCCATAAGAATAAAATCAACCAGCATGAAATCAGTATTCACATGTGGGAGTGAATGTGGGCTGGAGCTGCCTGAGGTTTATGGGCTGACCATCATTGGTACTGAGCACACACATAGAACTCTGCTTCTGTAACTCACTCTTGACTCTGACGAAGGCCTCTTTCAGACCCTGCAATCAATCACCTGGCACTGTGAGCTGTGGACTAACATTTCCATCCTGCAGGGAAGGGCCAGGACCACCAGACCTGTGTTCGTTTATGCAACATAAATCTGATTATATCTGATGTCTATCAATAAATTAGTTTCACCTTGTTTCTCAGTTTCTTCTATCAGGAAGGGAAAGGGACTACCAAAACTGTATGATTGTGCTTCTGTCTAGGCATCCTTTTTTTTTCCTTCCCAGAGAAGATCCCTGGAAAAGTACCTTTACTTTGCTTGGGGCACGGTTTCCTTGAATGTCACCACAAGTCTGACTGAAGAAGACAAAAGAGTCTGGTTTGGATGAGAATGTCTCCTGTGCTATTTAACTTTTAGGCCAATAAATGTCCCTGGATCCCAGCTGTGGAGATGGATAACACATACGTTTAGCTTTAACCTGCAAGCTGTTGGGGGCAAAGAGCACAGGAAATTCAATTCCAAGCTTCAGTTGTTGCTGATCAGACTTGACATGTATGCCTGGACAATAAGATTTGTGACCTAAGCAGAATAAATGTAAGCCTAATCCCAATTAGCATGTATAAACAGTTGTGCTCCAAGCACTGGGGCTCAACTTTGTACTCCCTAAATACAGGGAAGAGACTGGAGCCTAGGAGATGTTCTAGTTCCATCCTCCCTCTAGGCGTGTTACTCAACCTTGCTAAACTTCAGTTTTATTACCTACAAACTGAAGATAAAAGTAGTATCTGTCTCATGACTTTGTTGAGAGTATTAAATGAGAACATAGCATGCAATGTATCAGCACAGGGCCTGGTACATAGTTTTTAATAATAGAATAATAATAGTAATAATAACATATTAACAATTAATAATAAATATGCAATGATATCTTTTATCTATATCCCTGGATACCAATAATAAGAATATCAATAATAAACATTTTTATCATTATCATCATTATCAAGGGCCAAGAAGTGAGACAAAATGTATCATTACACACACACACAACTGTTTTTCCAAAGACCTAAAAGAAAGTCACAGACGTGAAGTCTTTCTGACTCTCACAGAGATATTTTTTTCTCTTTCTTTTTCTCAAAACAAAGGCAGTTTGTTTAATCTTTTCTTTGTATGATAACATTAAATTTATTTTTCCCTCATGTATGCACCTAAACTAGATTATAAGCCACTCTAGGACAGAGGGTGCCAATTAGATGGTTATGCATGAGGGTAGGTATGGACAGACACAAACAAGTTAGAAGTCAGGGTGGGTACCACCATTGCCATTTTGAAAAGGAGCTCAGGAACTTCCTAGGGGATGAGACCATTTGAAGAATGAAAGAACTTTTTTTTAATGTCCGGAAATAAATCCTAAAGTCTTCACTTAAAACTCGCATTTCTCGGTCCTTTCCCTCAACATTCTCTCCTGTAGCAGTGACACAGCCAGACCATCATTTATTCTGATGGAGGAAGAAGCCATAGATTTTTTTCCACATTTATGGACCTGTGTGTATTAGGGGTTAATTGAAGGTTATAAATCTTCCAACTGAGTCTCAATTTAATGTAAAATCTATAGTCACTTGTGAACAATCAATAATGGAAATATTAGCTAGTAATAGTAGTGATCATAGTAATGAAAATGTAACGAGTGGTAATATATAACTTCCTAAATCTTTTACATGCTAAAAAACATTGTATACAACACTTTCCATTTTTTAGCACATTTAAATTTTACAATAAGCCTATGGTACAGGTAATTATTTCACTATATATGAAAACAGATTCAGAGGTTAGGTAAATACCCAAGGTCTTTTTCATTCTTAGAAAATATTTATGGAGTACCTACCATGTGCCCTAGAAATTGGGGACATAGCAGTCAATATAGCAGTGAAAAATCTCTGCCTCTTGGAGCTTACATTATAGCAGGAGAGGCAAAGGATAAACAAAATAAATAAAACATATAATAGATGCAATATGTGCTAAGGAGAAAAATAATGCAGGCAGGAGAGTTCGGAAGTGTCAGAGGGAGGTTGCAGTTTTGGATGAGTGGCCAGGGAGGGCCTAAGAAAATGACATTTGAGTAGAGACCTAAAGAAACTGAGGGAGCCACCCATGCATGCATTTGGTGGAAGAGCATTTCAGGAAGTGGATAAAGTAAATGCAAAGTCCCTATATTAGGAATATTCCAGGAGTGTTTGAAGAACATACAAGAAGCCAATGTGACAGGACTGAGCAGATGAAATCAGAGATGTTACCGAGGGCTAGATTATGTAGTAAGACAGGATGCCTTTGAGAATTCGAGTGGGGGAATGAGACAAACTTTTCTATATAATTTTAATTTTTAAAAAAAGTTGGGTTAATTTTAAAGTTAGGGAAAAGTTGCAAAGATAGCACAATGTTCCCATAATTTGCTTAGTTTCCCCTAATGTTGACATCTTATATGACCATGATACATTTGCCAAAACCAAGATATTAACATTGTTACGTTACTGTAACCCAAATTGCAAACTTTATCTGGACTTCACCCATGTTTCCACGGTTTATCTGTTCGAAGATAACATGCTGCGTGTATTTATCGTGTCTCCTTAGTCTTTTTGGGTCTTTCTTCAATATTTTCTTTTACTTCAAGACTGAGATTTTTGAAGAGTACTGGTTATGATGTAGAATATACCTCAATTTGGGTTTGTCTAATGTTTTCTCATGATTAGTCTGGGTTTATGATTTTGGAGAAGAATGTCACAGAGGTAAGCTGCTCTTTTCATCACAACATATCACAAGATACATAATATCCAGACGATGTGTCACTGGTTATGTGAACCTTGATCATTTGGTTACGGTGGTATTTGCCTGATTTCTCTACTGTAAGGTTACTATTTGTCTCTTTACCTTCTCTATTCTTTGGATTTGGGTCACTAAATCTAGCCCACACTTAAAGGGAAGTGAATTAATTTATACCTCCCTGACCTACTTTTTAACAGATTGTTCTGGCTGTGGTGCTGAGAAAAGTCTAGGAAACCATTGCACAAATCTAGCAAGAGATTGTGGTGGCTTTGACTGGGGTAGCACAGTGGAGGCAGGGGGACATAGTTGGGTTCTGGATATATGTAAAAATACAACCTAATAGGATTTACTGACAGATCGGTTGTGGGATGCAAAGAGGCGTCAAGGATGATTCTAAATCCCTGGAAATATGGAGGTATTTGCTGAAATGAGGAGCAGTGCAAGATGAGGTCACATTGCTAGTAAGTGTGGGGTAGTGAGAGTGTAAACCTGGTTTACCTGATCCCACAGCCCAAACTCTCAGCTCCTGTGCTCCTCCATTTATGTGATTCACTCACATCATCTGGGGAGTATGTTCTGGCAGAAAGCATAACAAAAGTTCAAAGTATGCTTACTTTGAGTTTATTCCTCCCCATTTTGTAGCTGATCTTCGCCAGCAAGACCTTTCTCCAGGTGTTTGGCCAGGGTGTGTTTACTCTTGCTCAGCAGGTACATGACAGCTTTCCAGTAACAATACCTAGGATGGGGAACATTTGGGGACAGCCATCTCCTATTATGATCATCATGGACTTTTATTGGATTCCTTTATTATCTTGCTGCAAATGCTGGCCTTTTCCCTGCATTAAACAGGGAAACATTTTATTATCATTGACAAAATTATCCAATAACACATGCCCTAAAGCAGTCCAAATTAGTCAAGGTTAAGGGATGTTCTGTGATTTTCAGCACTAAAAACTGATGTTGTTTTAGAGATGTTTGGCCACATTGGATGAGCTCATTTTACAGGCTAAAGGAAAATGATGTGGAGACAGATGTTCATTTATACATCTTACAACCCCTCTTCTTTTTCATTTAGTTTTTGTCAATTTCAGTGGGAGCTCTGCTGTAAGATGTTGGCTCCCCTGCACTTGGTTACAGGCATGTGTATTTGAGATACTTTCAGCTAACCGTGGGCGTGTGCTGGTGGTTATATAGCTGCTAAAATATTTTCTCATAATATTTAGAATAACATCTAACCTCCTCATTATGGTAAGCAAAGTCCTGCAAGATCTACTGCCTACTTCTCCATTCTCACAATATTTCAGCCAGAGAAGCCTACTTTTTGCCCTAAAACTGTCAATCTTCCCTACCTCAGTGCCTTTGCACTTTCTTTTTCCTTCCAACTTAGTTTAGGTTCGGGGGTACATGTGTGGGTTTTTACATGTGTAAATCGTGTGCAATGGGGGATTGGCATACAGATTATTTCATCATACAGCTAATGAGCATAGTACCAGATACGTAGTTTTTTGATCCTCAATCCTCACCTTCCCACACTGCTTCCTCATGTAGGCCCTGGTGTCTATTTTTCCCTTCTAAGTGTCCATGTGTACTCAATGTTTAGCTCCTACTGATAAGTGAGAACAGGTGGTATTTGGTTTTCTGTTCCTGTGTTAGTTTGCTTTGGGTAATGGCTCCATCCGTGTTCCTGCAAAGGACATGATCTCATTCTTTTCTTTTTTTTTTTTTTTTTTGAGACACAGTCTCGCTCTGTCACCAGGCTGGAGTGCAGTGGTGTGATCTTGGCTAACTGCAATCTCTGCTTCCTGGGTTCAAGAAATTATCCTGCCTCAGCCTCCCAAGTAGCTGAGACTACAGGTGCATGCCACCATGCCCAGCTAATTTTTGTATTTTTACTAGAGATGGGGTTTCACCATGTTGGCCAGGATGGTCTTGATCTCTTGACCTCGTTATCTGCCTGCCTCAGCCTCCCAAAGTGCTGGGATTACAGGCATTAGCCACCGCGCCTGGCTGATCTCATTCTTTTTTATGGCTGCATAGTATTCCATGGTACATAGTATTCCATGGTACATGGTACATCTTCTTTATCCAGTCCACCATCAATGGGCATTTACATTGATTCTGTGCTTTTACTATTGTGAATAGTGCTGTGCTGAGCATACTCATGCATGTGTCTTTGTGGTAGAACAATTTATATTCCTTTGGGTATATACCCAGTAATGGGATTGCTGGGTCAAACGGAAGTTCTCTTTTAAGTTCTTTGAGAAATCTCCAAACTGCTTTCTACAGCAGCTGAACTAATTTACATTTCCACCAGCAATGTGTAAGTATTCCCTTTTCTCTGCAACCTTGCCAGCATCTGTTATTTTTTGACTTTTTAATAATAGCTGTTCTGACTGGTATCTTTTGCTCTATTGTAACATTTGCCTACAGTCCTTGTCCCCGGTGCTTTGAAGAGCTCATTGATTTAAATTTTTCATATTTTAGTTAAAATATTACCTTTGCAGAGGGGCCATTTTTTTTTTCCTACCAGATCTAAAATTGAAATGTTCTGGTATTGTCTCATACAGCAAACACTTCTTTTCAACATCACTTCCTAGTATAAGACCCTGTTCATTTTAGTTCTAGCACTTTGAATAATCTGAAATTATTATTGCTTATTTCCTTGATCTCTTGATTATTTTCTGACCACTTCTTCTAGAATACAAGCTTGTTAATGGCAGGAGCATCACTTGCTTTTTCACTGCTGTATCTTCAACAATCGGAGAAAATGCCTCAAAATAATTAATCAACAAATATGTGTTAAGTGAATGAGTTGTGTGTCCTAAGAGTTTCCTGAAAAAAGATTGTAAACAGTTCACTTCATCACGTTAAACAGGAACAAATGGAAAATGTATCCTATGGTAAATAAACTGCAGGAAAGCCTTTTGATTTGAGAATTCAAAATATGTGTTTTGAACTGTCAGAACAAGTGGCTAGTGTGGACTGGAGCAAGATGTGGATAAGAAGAATCTAGCAGAAGCAGATCAGAATCAGGCATCTGAACAGAGCTAGTGCATTTCCACCAGCATGCAGTAGCCAAGTCGCAGACTACACTAATTCCCAAGAGATTAGTTTCTGTGGACTGGCTCTCTTTCACACATCATACACCCAAAGATTCCCAGGTTGCTTTATCATGCAGTTCCCGGAGGGGTTGTCAAAAAACAGAGAAGGAGAGGCATGAGGATATTTTAGAAGCCAATTATCTTTAAAAGTTTATTTATTCATTTCCATTCCAGTCTCTGTGGAGCAATGGCAGAATTCTCCAATGGGTACTTGATTTTTAAAGATGAAAAATGAATAGGAATCTGGGCATCTCAAATTAGGTTTCAGAAGCATCTGATGCATAAAATAATAGTGGAAAAGTATATAAAAAGACCTGCGTCTTCTGGCCAAGTGTGTTTACTGTATAAAATGAGCAACCAAAACCAATATCATTTTGTCCATTTACAGGCTGCAGCATTTGGTATTAAGGCTCTGACAGTGCCCTTTTCCTTGGAGTCCTCAGCCTTTGGATTTGTATCAAATCAGATAAATGTGAGCCACAGAGTTAGTGTCCAGTTATAATTCTCAAATATATTATCTGGATCTAAAATCTATTTAACCTTGGAAGGAGGCAAAGCCACTCAAAATTCAGAGGCAGGGGGGCACTGGAGGAGTTCTCTGTGAGTCAGGCTGCACCTCCAGCTAGATGCCGGTAGGAACAGGGAGGTATGGGAAAGGAAGGAGGACCTGTGGCCCCTCGGCCTAATTTAGGTTTTCTAAAAGACTAAGATAAAATTTGAGTATGAATAAGCCAAAATGTGAGACTATTTTAGCAAGAAAATTTGTATCAAGGAGCAGAAACAAATAATAAAAGGGGCCCTGCGCTATATTCGTCTAGCAGAGGCATCTCAGGTTGATTTTACCCTCATTAGTTTTTGTTTATTTTGCTCATTTTCTTTTTCTTTAATTCTGTTTGACATTCAGTCTCTCCTTGAGGAGGAACCCTTTTTTTTGGGAAAAAAAAAAAAAAAAGGTGTTATGCCCCTTTCCTCCATTTCAGTGCCTGATGCAGAGTAAATAACAACAAATTGATTCTTTCTTTTCACTTTCTTTGGCAAAATAAAATAAAAAAGTACTTTTGCTTTTCTATATTCCATATTCTGATTTCCTTCCAACCCAAAGGAAATTTTTATGACATTTCACTAATGTGTTAATGACTGCCCAAACCACAATTGTTCTTAAGGAGCCAAGTGACAAGAATGAAGAATGGAAAGGGACTTTGGGAATGATGCTGTGGAGTACAGTCACTATCGTATTTGCTTGTAAAACACTTTGGCCAGTAGAGTCTATGATGAAGGAGTCAGGAATAAGACAAAAAAATGTAACATTTAGTGGAAGTTTTATGTGCCTCTTCTAGCACATTCTGCCTCCCAGAGATATCCCACTGCCTTCTTCCCTGTGTTTTCTTCAAGGATGTGCCGTACTTGTTATGACTGATGCTGAGCCAGCTGACAAGCCAGCAGGGAGGGCCTGACCTGACTCTGGGAAACTCTGTCTCCCCACTCATGGAGCCAATAAAATCCTCCCAGTTCTGCAGAAGATAGTAGGTTACCTGTGGCCTGCTGGGTTCCGTGTCAAGGGTTGGGACACATGCAGAAAAATAAATCTAATTGTCAGCCACAGTTCTTTCCTCAATCTTCCACATCTACCAGGGAAATCAGATCTGGCAGCTCAAGTGTCCGAGACTGGTACAACGTGTACTTTCTGCCTCATCATAAATTAGACTCTGGGAGATGTAGACAGAGGAGTCAAAGAAGAAACAGAAGGAAACAGTAGAAAAGGAGAAAGTCAAGGAGGAGTGGTCTGGGATGAGTGATCAGACAGAATCTGAGTCTCCCTTTTTTCCCCTCTTTTGGATGTCTGTACAACCAATTAAGTAGTTTAGGTGCATTAATGATACTGTATCAACAGCAGAACTGAGCTGGGAGTCACCTTTGGAGGAAACCCGAAGTGTTGCAGCCTGCCTCCTTGCTTCTAAAATGAGGGAATTAACATAGGGAGAGATGTGGCTATGCATGTTTTATCAGATCCCCTCCTTCTAGCAGGGATTAGAAGAGATTCAAGTTCATTAATGTGTGTATTTTATGAAATAAGGTGCATCTTTCACCTTTTTAACTCTCTGTTAGCTGCTCTGTGCCGTGAGAAGAGAGAAGCAGCAATATTGCATGCTAATTTCTGTCATAGAGTGAACCTGAGAACTGGGCCACCACTCTTGGGCATGGCTGTGGGTGGAGGTAAGGAACCAGCAGGAGCAAGGGGAACTAAAGTCGTGAATATACATGGGCTCTGGCTAGGAATTAGTTGGCTCAGGAATTACTCAAAGTCAAAACTATCTGAGTAGATTCACAGAGGCCTTGAGGCAAAATTTCAAGCAGAAGGGCTTGGTCTTCAGGTGATGGCGAGCACCACTTTTTTGACAGAGAAGTTGCTCTGCCAGTTCCAGAAATCAGGTTGAAACTGTCCTTGTGAAATTAATAAAAGTTGGACTGGAAGCATAGCTAAGCATTAACCAGCTTGCTCTATAGCCCACTTCCTTATAGCTGCTTACTGTTTAGAAGTCACATAGCCCCTGTCATAGAGTCCTACCTTCTATAGATAACATCGTTAACATTAAGAAACCCCAAATTTTCCTTTTGATATATTTTTTCAGATCCTGCATTCCAATGGGTCCACTGACGCCAGCCAGTCTGAAGACCCCCGCTGAAGAACACACTCAGCACGGGAATGCAGTTTCTGTTTTATTATGATTTCATGCCTCATGCTCAAGCCAATCAGCAACACCCAGACCCTCAGCCCACTACCCACCAGAATTCCCTTTTAAACCCCATGCCAAAACTCCTTGGGGAAGCATATTTGAAATTTCTCCCACCTCTTTTTTTTTGGCTGCCATTCAATTATTAAACTGTTTCTCTACTGCAACTCCTGCTGTTTTGATGTATTGGTATGTTGCTGTGCAACATGCAATTGAACCTAGTGGTCCTATAACAAGGCATGGTGTTGGCCCTGGTCTGAGGCTTTTCACCTGGCCATGAGTCTGGCTAGACATTGTGGGCATTTAGCCTCTTGCCCTCCCTTAGAGCTGGTGGCATTCTTATCAAAAGGCAGACTTCACATTTCGGCCTGTCTTGGCCCTTTGAAGAGGTGCTTCTGTCACCTCTGAATCTGGAAGGCGATTTTTTTTTAATTGGAGACAGGGTCTGGGTCTGTTGCCTGGGCTGGAGTGTAGTGGTATGATCTCAGCCCACTGTAACCTCCACCTCCTGGGCTCAAGCCATCCTCCCACCTCAACCTCTTGAGTAGCTGTTACCACAGGTGCCCACCACCACACCAGGCTAATTTTCGTATTTTTTGCAGAGACAGAGTTTTGCCATGTTGTCCAGGCTAGTCTTGAACTCCAGAACTCAAGTGATCTGCCCATCTAAGCCACCCAAAGTGCTGAGATTACAGGCGTGAGCCCCAAAATCCAGCCTGGAAGATGATTTAAAAATGTTTTCCTATTTTATTTTGTTTTGTTTTATTTATAATGTCAAGTTTTATTTTAAATTCAGGGAGTACGGACAGGTTTATTAAAAGGGTATATTGCGTGATGCTGAGGTTTGGGGCATGATTGATCCCATCACCCAAGTAGTAAGCATAATACCCAGTAGTTACTTTTTCAGCCCTTGCCCCTCTCCCTCTCTCCTGCCTCTAGTAGTCTCCCATGTCTGTTGTCCCCATCTTCATGTCCATGAGAACCCAATGTTTACCTCCCACATGTAAGTGAGAACATGTGGTATTTGGTTTTCTGTTCCTGCATTAGTTCATTTAGGATAATGGCCTCCAGCTGCAGGCAGGTTGCTGCAAATGACATAATTTCACTCTTTTTTTGTGGCTGTGTAGTAGTTCTATTTTTGTGGCTGGTGTATATGTACATTTTACTTATCTAGTCCACTACTGATGGGTATCTTGGTTGGTTTCATGTCTTTCCTATTGCAAATGTTGCTGCGATGAACATGCAAGTGCATGTGTCTTTTTGGTAGAACCATTTATTTTATTTTAGTTGCTGTGTGAAATGGTAATTCTGTTTTAAGTTCTTTAAGAAATCTCAAAACTGCTTTCTAGAGTTGTTGAACTAATTTACATTCCCACCAGCAGTATGTAAGCATTCTGGTTTCTCCACAGCTTCACCAACATCTGTTGTTTCTTGACTTTTTATTAATAGCCATTCTGACTGGTGTGAGATGGTATCTCACTGTGGTTTTGATTTGCATTTCTCTGATGATTAGTGATGACGAGCATTTTCTCATGTTTGTTGGCCATATGTATGCCTTGGTTTGAGAAGTATCTGTTTATGTCCTTTCCCCATTTTTTAATGACATTATTTGTTTTTTGCTTGCGGAATTGCTAAAGTTACAGATTCTGGATATTAGAACTTTGTTGGTTGCAGTTTCCAAATATTTTCTCTCATTCTGCAGGCTGTCTGTTTACTCTGTTGATAGTTTCTTTTGCTGTGCAGGAGCGCTTTAATTTAATTAGGTCCCACTTGTCAATTTTTGTTTTTGTTGCAATGGCTTTTGAGGACATAGTCATTAATGCTTTCCCAAGGCCGATGTTCAGAATGTTGTTTTTTGGAAGGTGATTGAGCTGCAGTGGCAAGTGCCAGCCCTGTGTTCTTCTCTGAAAGCGTACATTTTCTCCTCTGAGGATGGAGACCCTGAGTTGGGGCTGTGACCAGGGTGAGCCAAGTAAGGCATTCACAGGGCTGCCCCAAAACCCAATTATCAAGACATACAGGATTTTAATACAGTCATTTTAAAAATCAAAATTAATGACGAAAAAGTCCATGTGAATAAATTATCAAAATTCTCAATAAGGATAGGCTCAATGTTCCTAATTTTTCTTTTGCCTTTGGCTTCACTGTACAACTCAACTGGGCACTTACTCTGACTACACCATTCTGAGGACAGAGACTTTCTTTCTTCTATATCCTCTCCTGGGACAGAGGAGAACATAATCAATCATGTACTAGCTGAGCCAAGGCTGGAGGTGAGAGCTTATGCCCCCAAAGATCCGTTGTACTAACTAAGCCTGTTGCTGAGAGCAACTTTTTAATTAGTTGATCATGCCCTACTCTACCTCACAACTGTATGGTTCCTAACTGTGTATAAAAGGGACTAGCTAAGCAGGAATGTACTGATGCAGCTAAAAATAGTATTAAGTCATTATTGGAGGAGTTTTCTCAGCTGTCTCAGGTGGCAGCATCACCTCTTTTGGTAGGACTTTGAGTGTGACACAAACAAGATTACTGTGTCTATCAGGTTTTCACTATTGAGGCTACTCTCTGTGACAAAGGTTTGAGTCCCCAAGAAAGACATTTAATGGGGTCTGGTGGATTCTTTCTTTGCATTGTACCTTAGACGGGGCTCTGGCCCTTGATACCCAACCTTTTTTTCTGGTACAGGATCTGAAGCTCTTTTAAGTTAAAGTGTAAATGATTAGTAATCTACAAGTACTTCTGGGTAACAGCATTAGCTTAAGGCTTTAATTTCTGCCAACAGTAATGGTAAAATTATAGGTATTGCCCAAGGAATATGAAGCAAAACCGTTGTTCTTTCCATTGGTATAAAAAATAGACATGGTATTTTGATGAACTGATTTTATTTTATTTTTTGAGGAGGGTTACACTGTCATTTGTTGAACTTGTTGTCTCTCCTCAATGCTCTGTATCAAGAAATACCTTTGGCAGTAAAAAAACTATATACAGTTAATTCTTGAATAATATGAATTTGAACTGCATGGATTCCATTTTACATTTTTTTCAGTAGAAGTTACACGGAATATGTCTGCCTCTCCTGTCTCACCTCCTTCACCTCTTCCACCTCTGCCACCCTGAGACAGCAAGAAAAACTCCACCCTTTTTTCCTCTTCCTGAGCCTATCAACATGAGGACAATGGGAATGAAGATTTTATGATGATCCACACCCACTAAGTGAATAGTAAGTATTCTTTTCCTAGTAATTTTCTCTTTTTTTTCTTTTTTTTAAATTATACTTTAAGTTTTAGGGTACATGTGCACAACGTGCAGGTTTATTACATATGTATACATATGCCATGTTGGTGTGCTGCACCCATTAACTCGTCATTTAACATTAGGTATATCTCCTAATGCTATCCCTACCCCCTTCCCCACCCCACAACAGTCCCCAGTGTGTGATGTTCCCCTTCCTGTGTCCATGTGTTCTAATTGTTCAATTCCCACCTACGAGTGAGAACATGTGGTGTTTGGGTTTTTGTCCTTGTGATAGTTTGCTGAGAATGATGGTTTCCAGCTTCATCCATGTCCCTACAAAGGACATGAACTCATCATTTTTTATGGCTGCATAGTATTCCATGGTGTATATGTGCCACATTTTCTTAATCCAGTCTATCATTGTTGGACATTTGGCTTGGTTCCAAGTCTTTGCTATTGTAAATAGTGCCTCAGTAAACATACGTATGCATGTGTCTTTATAGCAGCATGATTTATAATCCTCTGGGTATATACCCAGTAATGGGATGGCTGGGTCAAATGGTATTTCTAGTTCTAGATCCCTGAGGAATCACCACACTGACTTCCACAATGGTTGAACTAGTTTACAGTCCCACCAACAGTGAAAAAGTGTTCGTATTTCTCCACATCCTCTCCAGCACCTGTTGTTTCCTGACTTTTTAATGATCGCCATTCTAACTGGTGTGAGATGATATCTCATTGTGGTTTTGATTTGCATTTCTCTGATGGCCGGTGATGATGAGCATTTTTTCATGTGTCTGTTGGCTGCATAAATGTCTTCTTTTGAGAAGTGTCTGTTCATGTCCTTCGCCCACTTTTTGATGGGGTTGTTTGTTTTTTTCTTGTAAATTTGTTTAAGTTCATTGTAGATTCTGGATATTAGCCCTTTGTCAGATGAGTAGATTGCAAAAATTTTCTCCCATTCTGTAGGTTGCCTGTTCACTCTGATGGTAGTTTCTTTTGCTGTGCAGAAGCTCTTTAGTTTAATTAGATCCCATTGGTCAATTTTGGCTTTTGTTGCCATTGCTTTTGGTGTTTTAGACATGAAGTCCTTGCCCATGCCTATGTCCTGAATGGTATTGCCTAGGTTTTCTTCTAGGGTTTTTATGGTTTTAGGTCTAACATGTAAGTCTTTAATCCATCTTGAATTAATTTTTGTATAAGGTGTAAGGAAGGGATCCAGTTTTAGCTTTCTCCATATGGCTAGCCAGTTTTCCCAGCACCATTTATTAAATAGAGAATCCTTTCGCCATTGCTTGTTTTTTGTCAGGTTTGTCAAACATCATATGGTTGTAGATATGCGGCATTATTTCTGAGGGCTCTGTTCTGTTCCATTGGTCTATATCTCTGTTTTGGTACCAGTACCATGCTGTTTTGGTTACGGGACCCTTATAATGTAGTTTGAAGTCAGGTAGCATGATGCCTCCAGCTTTGTTCTTTTGGCTTAGGATTGACTTGGCAATGAGGGCTCTTTTTTTGTTCTATATGAACTTGAAAGTAGTTTTTTCCAATTCTGTGAAGAAAGTCATTGGTAGCTTGATGGGGATGGCATTGAATCTATAAATTACCTTGGGCAGTATGGCCATTTTCATGATATTGATTCTTCCTACCCATGAGCATGGAATGTTCTTCCATTTGTTTGTATCCTCTTTCATTTCATTGAGCAGTGGTTTGTAGTTCTCCTTGAAGAGGTTCTTCACATCCCTTGTAAGTTGGATTCCTAGGTATTTTATTCTCTTTGAAGCAATTGTGAATGGGAGTTCACTCGTGATTTGGCTCTCTGTCTGTTATTGGTGTATAGGAATGCTTGTGTTTTTTGCACATTGTATTTGTATCCTGAGACTTTGCTGAGGTTGCTTATCAGCTTAAGGAGATTTTGGGCTTTTCCCCAGCTTCCTTGTAAGAATGCAGTATATAACACATATAACATATCAAATATGTGTCAATGATTGTTTATGTTATTGGTTAGGTTTCCAGTCTACACTAGGCTACTAGTAGTTAAGTTTTTGGGGAGTCAATAGTTATACAAAGAGTTTTGACTGCATGGGAGGCTAGTGCTCCTAACCCCTGTATTGTTCGAGGGTCTGTTGTAGTAGGTGGTCTCAAATTTTCTTACTGTAACAATAAGAAAATGAAAAGTGCATCAGAAATTGTGGATTATTTCACATGTTTCTCTCAGACCTTGAAATAACTCTGTGAGGTAGGAAACACCATTCCTACTCTATGGATGAGAAAACTGAGGTTGAGAAAGGATAAGCTATTTATTCAAGATCATACAGCTAATATTCAAGTGATAGCATTGGGACTTAAATCCAGGTAAGCTAACTCCACACTCAGGGCTTTTTCAAAAACTTGGACTTCTTAAAAGTCACTCTGATATCTTCTGAGTTCACTTATCCCCACAATGCCCCATCTCCATCCAGAAAGCTATTAGATATGACTCCTTCTGTAAATGGTAGCCCATTGAGACAGGAATGGCTAAATAATACCCTGCATCAAATGTGGTTTGCCCCTGAGCCTTCAGCTTTATTCAGCATATTGGAAATATTTGCATAGATTTTCTTCCTCTAGCAGTACTGGAGAGTGGTATTTCTGTCACAAAAATGGCATGTCATACTCAGGAGAATGAGTCTGATGAGAATCTGCCCTTGAGGTACTTTTCTGTATTCAATTTCTGAGTCTGGTGAGGCTGACCCTTGGGACCCTTGTGAATTCCCATAAAGCTGGAGTCATACTGCATTCTTGCCTGGACAGCAGCAAATGCGTTGTGTGCATGCAGCAAAAGTCAGAGCTATAAGAAAAATAAACCTTATAGACTCTGGCTAGTATATAAATTAACTATCATATTTTTGGAAGCATCATTTGCCCTGAAGCATTTCTCTAACTATGCATTAACAAGCTGGGTCACAACAGAAGTACACCACAGTAATTAGTGGGTCCAACTCATAGCTGACCGAACATACCTTATTGGGGAGATTATTTGCTAAATTTGGTTTTCTTGCACTCAAAAGGAAACTTGTCTCTTCTACTGTCCTCCTCTTTGAAGAAATTGAATGCTAAACCCAGAATTAGACACCAAACCAAGGATTCTTGGCTTCAGTATGTTCTGATATTAACCAGAGTAGCAAACCTAGGTCCAAATTACAAGTTTCTGAAAGGTAAAAACAGAAGAATTAAAAAGGTGAAAATGTAAAAGAAACAGAGAGATGAGACAGAGAGGAAATTGTAGAAGAAACAGAAGAAAAAGAGAGGGAGGTAACTTAGAAATCAACTAGCTGGGGGAGGAAAAAGGAAGGAATTACCTCATGCTTTATTGTTGGTGTCCATTAACAAATAAAGGATAAGGGTGTGGCATTCCTGCAATGTACACAAGGGCGTCTTCCTCTGAAGGACACACTCAGAGAGAGGAAGAAAATTCACAGGAAAAAGACCAAACACCAAGACACTGAAGATTTGAATCCTCCTACTCTACAGTAGGTGGAGACACTGTGCCTTTAACACGCTTGATAAATAAATTCTTCATCTCTTTAGAATTATATTGTGCATTTCTCCCTCATAACAGTCCCTTTCGTAGCTATAGATTTTGCCATTATTCTCTGCATGTATATGGGGTTAGTTATTGACTGAATTATTTTCTAAGACTTCAAAAGAAAACAGTTTTATAAAAGCAGAGGAACATTCTTGGAGCTATACTGCAGGGTAATTAGTGGTAACAGCAAACTGTGCTACCATATTTCCCCCCCATATTTCTTAGTTGTGTGGAGTTCTACTTAAATCCTAGTGATGCATGAACAACTTGAATTGTTTTCTCTTTTCATTATTTAAAGAAGTGAAGAAAGTCTCCTCCTTGTATTATCTAAAGGAAAAGTGCATTAATTGATCACTACCGATTGATGATCTCAACTGTTACATTTTGAGCATGTATGTGTGCGCATATGCGCATGTAGTTACACACACACCACATTAAGAACAGTCACCCTCCCCTATTTCCAGAGCATGATTTTCTCTTGTTTCTAAAACTTTGTGGATCTCCTGTTTCTTGCTCTTTTCTACCGTTACCTGTCTTTCAGATTTGTCTAACCTTCAGACTTGGTTGTATACATTTTCTGTTAAAAATAAAAGTGACTGCTCGCACCAGTCTTCAGAGTCCTCCATCTGCATTTCAGCTGGCTGGATCAAGTGGCTCTACCAGGCTGACTTAGTTTGAGATATTTCGGTTCCCATCAACTTAAGGCTTTGTTTTTTCAAGACTTGGGAAAGTATCTGGATGGTTGGAAACAGAAGCAAATTGACAGCAACACTCAACACATACTCTGTTATTACAAAAACTTGCTTACGACATCTGTCATAGAGTTTGTCTTTTTTCTTGAAGTGCTTAGTGCATTTGTTAAAAAACATAAAATTGTAATGTTACTCTTGAGCCTCTGCCTGCCCAAAGAAAGATCTTTTCAGTATTAATAGTAGAAGGATGAAAGGAATCTCTTAAATTTACTAAAAGTCTTTCCACTGTTTCCTATCTTTGGATCTTTGTTATTGCTCATTTTTAAATACAGACAGAAAGGCATTGTTTGGGTAAAAGGTAGCAATTTGGCTTAGAGGAATTTTCCTGGAAGCCTGATTTCTATAACAGGTTCCTCTGTTTAATAAGCTAGGTTAGACTTTAGCCTCAGGATAGGCAGTAAATGAAACGTCTCTCCTTGTCTCTCTCCTCTTCCTCTTTCCACTTCTCACCCCCTTTGCCTATCAACTTCTTATTTATCCTTTCTTGTTACCAATTATTTGTCTAGTCCATTTCTTACATTGTTCTTTTTCACGTGATAACAGGTTTCTTCAATCTACCTGACTGAGAAAGGGGATTCTAGAAGCCTTTCCAGACACAATAGACAAAACAAACAAACAAACAAACAAAAACACAGTCACAAACAGTGATGTCTTACCTGTCTTTAACTATC
Organism: Homo sapiens; assembly: GCF_000001405.40. Lineage (NCBI taxonomy): Eukaryota > Metazoa > Chordata > Mammalia > Primates > Hominidae > Homo > Homo sapiens. Next base: position 34,138,765 of record NC_000008.11, read on the forward strand.
CAGGCCACAGAACTGCCAGCTCCTTTACATCCTTTTTTGGTTCCACATGAGGCCTGAGAGACATGCATTGGGTGAGTAAAAGGGGCACGGATGTGGACCATCTTGATTTATTCCTCCCCTAGACTATCTTCTTGCTGTTGATGCCATCACAGTTACATATTCCAGTCACTGCTGCAGCTGTTGAAGTTTGTATTAACATTATCTGATAAGATGGCAAGCATTTAGACTTAACTATACTAACAAGGCAATTGACATCTGAGTAGCATAAATTTTTACCAGAATTACTGGTAAGGTTATTTGAGATTGTTACATTTGAAAGATATGAAGTAATCAGTTTAAATATGGTTTAAGATTTAAATATAAAATGTAACATGATAATTCTCAAAAGAGGCTTTTAAGCAAATAAAATCAGTGAAGTGCTGCAACAGGGTCATACCAGCTAGCAAGAGTTGATTGTCACATTTTTCAGGAATTTTGAGAGCTGGTTGTAAAATACAGACATTATTCAAAATTAAATTGTGGAAACAAATATATTAAAATGGTAGTAAAAAAACTTATTAATTCATAGTTATTTTGCTATATTTACTAATATCTGTGCTTCTGAGGTTATTTAAAGCTATTGTTTTTGTATAGTGAAAACATTATACAATGTACTAGAGCAAATCTCTTCCCAACTCTGTGTTCAGTTATGTCACATTATGGTTTCAAATTGGCCATTGTGGGTCTATTTATAATACACCACAGAAATAGGAAAGTGTTACAATCAAGCCTTTTTTATTCCTCGTAGAGTTGGTTGTTAAAACATTTACCAGCACGCCACTGTGTATAATTATACTTGTCCTATAGATGAGAAATCAGAGGCTCAGAAAGTGAAGAAATCTTGCAAGATGTAGAGGGTTTCAGTGTTCTGCCATTATTGGTCCTGGGACACCTAAAGCAGGATGAACATTTGGGGAAGAGGAATTCCTTTAGTAACTCGAATCTCTTCTTTCTTCTCCCCACGAAAACCTATAAACATGTCATTTCCACTTTCACCATCTTTAGTCCAGTTCAATCCCCAGCTAGTGCAGTGTATTTTGGGATCTTCTGCTCACAAATGTCACACCCCAACAAAGAGCCTCAATGTCTTAAGTTACATCAGCCCCAGATAATCACATACTAATTTCAAGGGTGACTCTGGCTTTCAGATAGATGAGCCTCAGAACATCGTGAGAAATTTGGGCACATTCGAGTTTGTGTGGGTATAGAATGAGTATGGAGGGAAAAAAAAAGGTAAATAGGGAAAAACATGAAATACATTTGTTAAGCCTGGGTATATGCAAGTCCATATGTGTTGAGGGTTGCTTATAATGACAAACTTTACGTCTGTATTCTTGCTCAGGATGGATCCTGGCTTGGACATTTTAATTTTGTAACAATAATATGTAAGGGCATCCTTCAAAAGGACATTTAAGGTATGCTTGCTGAGAATCCTGTAGAAGACTCTCAAATAGTTACCAAGTAAATGCCATTATTATAAAGTTTTTACAATTATGATCATAATCACCATTAACCTCCTTCCCATTTGTAGTATACCTTATATTTTTTAAAAGTGCTGTACATATTTTTACATTTAAACTAGATAATGCTTTTTTTTTAAAAAAATTGTTCAACAGTGGATACACTAAGGTCCAGAGTGAATAATTTACCCAGAATTGCACAGATAACCAGCTTGATAAGAAACTTGGCATTGGTTTTAAATGTCAGCTCTGAAACAAGCATTTAGTGAACAATTACTCTGTGCTAAACACTGTACTAGCTGCTTTACATACACAATATTATTTGGGTCCCTCCAGATAAGTATTATGTCTTATATTTTATAGATGGGGAAACTGGAGCATAAAATAAGTAAATGATTTTTCCAAAATCTTGTAGCACGTTAGTGTTAGAGCCAAGTGCTAAACCCCAACTCTGCCCGAATTCAGCATAGATGTGCTGCACTATCTACTTTAAGCTAATAGGTCCAAACCTAGATGACATGCCCTTTCCTAAAGTTACTTCCATTAGTGAGCAAATTCACAAGAGCATTGCCTGCCATGAAGAATATATCTGTCTTTCTAGTAAAGTGCTTTTGGAATTTTTTTTCCCTAGTGAGAGATTTGGAAACTTAGCATCACAAGAAAAAATAAATAAATAAAAAGCAAGGGAAATATCAAATGACCTTAGTTCTCTGCCCTCAAATGCTGATGTTTGGTCACCAGTATTTCTCGGTCATGAAAAAGTGACCTATAGACATACACTTTATTCAATTGGATGAAGTTTAAAATGCAAACACCAGTGTGTCTCTGTATGACATTTAGTGTTTCATTTTCTACTCCATGGATCCTTGCTTCCCAAGAGAACTCTTCAGGCAGGTTTCTATGGAAATACAAGCCAAATGCTTTGAGGGTATAATAAAAAAATATTTCCACTTTAGCCCATGGGACCCAAATGTGTTTGTTGCTGTAAAATATAGAACTTTAAAGACAAGCACAAATCAGAGTACAATATGGACCCAGTTCTATATGACTACAAGTTCTTCAGCTCCAAGTTACCTTGGGGAAGAGTGTTCATAATCCTAAATCTTGATTGTTTTCAAAAGAAGAAAGTACCTTCTGCTGTTCAAAGTAGCTTTCTTAGAATTAAGCAGTAGGAACTGTCAGGGAATGGTGAGCTCGTGGGTAATGGACCAGGTAATTTTCCGGCTTCATGTATTGTTGATAAACCTGCATTTATTTCTAAGTCTTTTGAGGGATCATTTTGGTTTTTGAATTTTCTAATGGGAAATCACATCCTCCAAACACCACTTGATTTTTCTAATATGAATCAGTCACACCATAGTGATGTTCTGGTTCCTGTTGCTGTATGAATTCTTACTCCAAAATTTAGCAGCTTAAAGCAATCATTTAATTTTGCTGACAGATTTCTGGGTCAGGAATTCTAGAAGGACTTGACTGATAATTTTTACTTGGCATCTCCTGTGAAGTTGTAGTCAGATGTCAGTTGGGGCTGGTGTCATCTGAAGTCTTTTTTTGTTTTGTTTTTTGAGTCAGGGTCTTGTTCTGTCACCCAGGCTGGAGCACAGTGGTACAAACAGCGCTCACTGCAACCTTGACTTCCTGGACTAAAATGATTCTCTCACCTCTGCTGCCCCTGTAGCTGGGACCACAGGCATTAGCCACCACATCTGGCTAAGTTTTTATTTTCTGTAGAGACAGGGTCTCACCATCTTGCCCAGGCTGGTCTCAAACTCCTGAACACAAACAATCCTTCCACCTCAGCCTCCCAAAGTGCTGGGATTACAGGTGTGAGCCACCATGCCTGGCCTGGATGTCTTGACTGGGCTGGTTGTATGAGATGGCTTAATCACATGGTTGGAAGTCAATGCTGACTATCAGCTGGGAGCTCAGCTGGGGCCATTGAACAGAACACTTATATGCAGCCTCTCCAGTACAACAGCCTTAGTATAGTGAGGCAGCTTATTTGATGCCTGACTTCCCCTAGAGTTCATGTTCCAAGAGAATTGGGGGGCTACTTGCCTGGTCTTTTTTTGACCTGGCAGTCATACAGCATCACTAATTGTGTGTTCTCTTAGTCACAAGCCCACCCAGATTCAAAAGGAAGGGGCCCAGATATCCCTTCTTGATTGGAGAAATATTAAAGGAGTGTCTTCCCCCTTCTTCGTGATGAGAAAAGAATAAAATAATTTTTGATAACATTAAAATGTATTTTAGAGTAGTAACAGTTATATCAGTTTGCTATTGTGGCACAATTAACCATGATAAAATTAAAAATAAGAGGGGCCACGAGTGATGGCTTATGCCTGTAAGCTAAACACTTTGAGAGCCTGAGGTTGGAAGACTGCTTGAAGCGAGGAACTCAAGACCAGCCTTGGTAACAATACAAAATAAAAAAAAAAAGGAAAAAAATTATCTGAGCATGGTGGTGCACCCCTATCATCCAAGCTACTTGAGAGACAGAGGCAGGAGGATCACCTGAGCCCATCCAGAGGTTCCACACTGCAGTGAGCTATGATGGCATTAACGCACTCCAAGCAGGGCAATGGAGCCAGACCCTGTCTCTAAAAAATAAAATAAAATATGAATAAGAACCATTTGTTTAGCTCACCATTCTGTGGTTAGTAATTTAGGCTGGGCTCAGCTAGGTGACTGTTGCTCCCTCGTGCGTCTGTAGTCAGTTTTATGTCAGTTTTGCTGATCTTGTCTGGTCTTTCTCCCTAGCCTGTTTCTATGGTGAAAAATTCTGAGAGAGTGTGGAAGCATGGACAGCCACTTGAAGGGTAGGCTCAAAGTTGGCAAGTTATTACTTCTGCTAGCCAAAGCAAGTGGCAAGGCCAGGCCGGGTTTCAGAGCCAGGGATAGAGTTTACCTCTCATGGGTGTTGCTGTACAGTCACTTTGTAAGGGGCATTGGGGATAGGGAAGGGAATAATTGCAGCCAATTAAAAAATAATATTTTATGATAGCTAACCTTTATGTAGTATGTGTTTCGTTCCAGAAATTCTTCTAAGCATTCTACCTGTATAGTTGATGTGATCTTCAAAACAACCCTACACATGGTTACTATCACTATTCAGATTTTATAGATGAGGAAACAAGCACAGAGCATAACTGACTTGCTCAAAGTCACAGAAATATTAAAGGAGTAAAATAGTATTCATACCCAGGCAATCTGGCTTCAGAGTCTGTGTTTATAACTACTAAATTATACTGTTAATTTTTTTGATATAAATTGCATCATGGTAGGTAATTAAGGAGTACTTATTATGAGATATGAACCAAGGGTTAAATGTTCCCAGCATACCAATATTTGGTTATTGCTGGGTCTTTGGACCATTGAACACAATCTTTTAAGCTGTTTTTTTCACATAAGTGATGTTCAAGTGAATTCAGCTTGTATTCTTAAAGCTATAAGCAGATTTTATTACATCTAAAGGTAGTATGGAGGATTGGCATGATCACAGAGTTTCAAAGTAGAACTTGGTACTTGCTTTTGTAGTTTTATTTCCTCATTTATCAAATAAGGGGGTTAGACTGAATAATCCCTGGTTACATAACATTCTAAAAGCTAAATCTTATCAGCATCATAGTTGTGTATTGATCTAAAGCTATTAATGATGATCTGTAATAAGGATAACAAATGTACTGTGAATTGACAATATTTCTCTTTTCTGATTTTCTGTAAGTTCTTCATATGTCTTAAACCATGGACTTTTCTGGTTTTTAGGTCAGATACATTTCTTGCTGATAATGGATAATCTATTTCCTTACAGTAAGCAGCAGTTGGAAAACAGCATATTCAGAAAGCATGTTAATGGATGTTTGGATAGGCATTTCAATGATGATTGCTTTAGTAAAGCAATAATAATGGGGCAATGTAATGAAGAGAGGTACAAAGACAAAGCAATAAAAAGAAAGGCAAGGATAAAGATAGAGAATGAGAAAAAATAAAACAGGCTCAATGTGACATCTGTTTGGCTCTGGAAAGGCTTAATGAATCTGACGTCTGGGGTCTCTCATTGGCCTGGGGGCTGTTTGACAAATGGTGTCCTGTGGGGAAACATGAAATGAAATCTGTGTTTCAGGGGTAGTTTTTTGATTGATCCAGCCAGGGGCCCTCAAGGGAGATACCAGTGCCTGGATAGCAATTGGTGGTGCCTTCCAACACCATGTCACCTGGAACCAAGAGGCTCGGCATCTAGATCCTTTTATTGGAGCTCTTTTAGAAGAAAAATGGGGAAATAATCTTTCAGCAAAACAAGCATAGGCAGGACACAGGATGAAACAGAGCAGTTCTGCCATAAGGAGTGGGGAAAGCCCTCACATGGTCTCTTGCCATTTGATCTCAGTGAGCCTTAGTTATCTCATCTCTTAAATGGGGTTGGGGATGGGGTAGGTGGGTGGGTGGAAGGGTATTGCTCTGAATGAAAAGTAAAATCATTTTCTAAGTAATTTCTGGTTTTGTTAAATCAATGACAAAATTCTAATTTCACCATCATGACATTCTGAACTAACACAGAACCTCCAACATGAAAAACATTTATATATCCATGTTTTAATCAGCATGTTCATAGTAGCTCATAAATTTCTGAACATTTAACCATTAACTCTTGCCAGCCTATACAAGCTGGCTTCAGCACACATTACTGCAATTCTGAGGTACCAGAAATAATTTATACCCAGATTAATAAGAGATATCAAGTTGGACCTGAAGGCATGCAAATAGATATAGGTCTTAGCGAATAGTGGCTGAGATTTTAATGTCCACTCAGAGTAAGATATATGGCTATGGAGGAGGGGGATATAGAGGAGAGTGGGCACTGCTGTGAGGCTGCTTGCTGAAACCAGACACCAGCAAAAAGCTGAGACCCTGTAAGAGCTGCCCAGTTTGTCAAAGAGGTAAGAAAACACCGTAAATACTAAGAATTAACAAGGAAGCATGTCTTTCCTTTATGCTTTGGGAAAAAAAAATCCAATTAAGAACTGAAACTGAAAGCTTATGCCATGCCTAGGTATGGAATACCAATTCACATTCTGTATACAGGCATGAATTCTAAGCTGATAAATTAGAAATGTAAATGCTGATCCTGGACAAGTGAATTTTCAGAGGTGCCCAATAAAAGCAAAACAAAACAGCTCTTTAGGGCTTCCACAATACAGAAGGCAAGGGACACACACAGGAAAAAATACATTCAAGTTGAAGATAAAAACTCATTCAAAAATTACAAGTCATAGGAGGAAATGAACTATAATGGAAGGACATCAGCAGATACAAAGTGCAGGTTAAAAAAAGGTATAAAGATAAGACAGATAAACAGATGCAACAATGGAATAGATATTAACAATTAGAGAAAATGAATAAAAATTGTTGGAGGAGAAAAATAAAAATAACTGAAATTAAAAACTCAACAGAGACTTCTACTTCTGAAAAGGTGGAGTAGATGTATGATATGGTTTAGCTGTATCCCCACCCAAATCTCATCTTGAATTGTAGCTCCCATAATTCCCACATGTTGTAGGAGGGACCCGGTGGGAGATAATTGAATCATAGGGGCAGTTTCCCTCATAGTGTTCTCATGGTAGTGAATCAGTCTCACGAGATCTGAGGGTTTTATAAGGGGAAACCCCTTTCACTTGGCTCTCATTTCTCTCTTGCCTGCTGCCATGTAAGACATGCCTTTCGCCTTCCACCATGATGGTGAGGTCTTCTCAGCCATGTGGAACTGTGAGTCTTGTAAACCTCTTTTTCCTTATAAATTACCCAGTCTCGGGTATGTCTTTATCAGCAGCATGAAAACAAACTAATACAACGTACTTTCCTTCTTCTACCTAAGTATGGACTAAACACTCTGGATTGTGTCATAGTACAATTCTGAAAGGTAAAGAGAAGAAAGCAGATGAGCTAGGGTCCTTTGGAACTTGAGGAATTACTTGGTGGTAAATTCCCTAGGATTCCTTTCTTTTCACCTTCTGTATCCCAGACTTAAGTCTGAAGAAATCAGCAACCTGCAAATATCAATGATTACAGACAAATAAAAGCTCCAACAAAAGCTTGCTTTATACAGTCAAAGGATGAAGAAAGGGGGAGACTAGTAATATAGAAAACTTTTGGACAATAGCAACTCTACTCTAACAAACACCACATAGTAAAACTGTCTATACCCCTACCCCACCTGTAAAGGGCTCATGAGGATCTAGACTTCCATCCTCACCAGGGTAAACTGAGGTCTCACCAGGGTAAACTGAGGTGCCCCAATCACTCATCTGGGTTGTATTAGAGAAGTCTGAGTTGGGGCTTTTATCCTCAGTGGATGTTAATAAGCCCTCATCTTTTTATAACGTCAGTGGAGCCCAAATGGGGAAACTAAATTCCCCCCACTGCCAGCAGTAATGAGGTATCCCTCCCAGTCACTGTTGGGATTATGTCAGAAAGAACTACTGGAGAATCTGGGTTTTTAACACCACAAAATAGTATTAAGGTCATCCTCCTCACTATCATGCAGTGGAAGCCTCCTGAGGAACTAGAACTCCCACTCTATCAAGCAGTAACCCTGAACAAAGTGCTCACCTCTGTCCCATGTCAATGGAAGCTGAGTAGGAAATCCGGACTTCTGCAAGCACCTGACAGTAGTGAGGCAGTGCCTACCACTTATTTATCAGAGCCATGTCAGAGAAAGCAAGATAAAACAGAAGGTTTGTAAGACTCACAGTTTCATTACATAGTACCCCAAAGTTCCAGATTTCAATTTAAAAAAATCAGTTGTTATATCAAAAACAGAAAGATTTCAAACTGACCAAACCAAAAACAAAGAATGCCAACACAGAGATGAAAAATATGTTAGAATTATCTGGCAAAGATTTTAAAGTAGCCATCATAAAAGATGCATTACAAGCAAATACAGATACACTTGAAATAAGTGAAAAATATGAAAGCCTCAGCAAACAAAGGAAATATAAAAAATAACCTAATGACAATTTTAGTACTAAAAATATAATACCTAAAAAGAAAAAACCAGTGGACGTGCTCAGCAGCAGAATGGAGGAAAGAACTAGTGAACTGGAAGATGGAACAACAGAAATAATCTCATCTGAACAACAGAGAGAAAATAGACTGGAAAAAAAACACACCACAACACAGCCTCAGGTACCTATGGGAGTATAACAAAAGATCTAACATTTTTTTCTGTCAGACCCCTGAAATGAGAGGAGAAACAGTTGGGGTTGAAAAGTACTCAAAGAAATGATGTCTAAAAACTTCTCAAATGTGGCAAAAGATATTAATCTACAGAGTCAAAAAACTAAGCAAATCCCTAACAGGATAAACCCAAATAAATTTACATCATAGTCAAACTTCAGAAAACTAAATACAAAGAAAAAAAATCTTAAAAACAATGGTTAGAGAGAAAATACACCTTACTTATCTGGGGGGAAAACATTCAAGTGACAACCTATCCTATTTCTCTTAGAAACCACAGAGGCCAGAAAGTAGTAGTGTGACACTTTTCAAGTGCTGAAAGTAAAGGACTGTCAACCCAGAATCCTATATCCAGTGAAAATATCCTTCAGAAATGACAGAAAAATAAAGCCATTCTCATGTGAAGGGAAACTAAGAAATTTTGTCACCAGCAGACCTCACCTAAAAAGAATGGCTAAGAGAAATTCTCTGAAAAGGAAGGAAAGTAGTAAAAGAAAGAAGATAGGAAGATCAAGATGAGAAAAGAACAATAGAAACAGTAAATATATGAATAAATACATTTTCCTTCTCCTCTTGAATTTTCTTGGTGATTGATGCTTGAAGTGAAAATTATAACACTGGTTGATGTGGTTATAAATGTATGTGGAGAAACATTTAGGTAGAGTAAAGGAGTGTAAATCAGGGACAGCTTTTTATACTTCACTCAAACTGGTGAAATTGTGACACCAATAGAGTGTGATAAGTTATGTATGCATAAGGTAATACCCAGAGTAATCATCAAAAAGCTATACAAAGAGCATCTCTCAAATACCATGATACATTTTCAAGTAGCCTATAGGAAAGCAGGAAAAATTAAAGAGAGAAACAAAAACTAGACAGAACAAACAGAAAACAAAATTAAAATTTCAGATGTAAGCCCTAACAAGTCAACAATTACATTAAATTTAAATAGTCTATACCAATTAAAAAACATAGTGCATTATAAAATATGACCCAACTATACGCTGACTGTGGGAAACTCACCTCAAATATAATGGTATACACAGGTTGAAAGAAAAAAATGAAAAAAGAATTATGCAAACAAAAAGTAGGAATGATATTAATCTATATTAATATCAGACAGAGCAGTCTTCAGCACAAAGAAAATGACTGGAGACATAGAGGGACATTATATAATGTTTAAAGGGTCAACCCACCGTGAAGACATAACAATCCTGCAACAACAGAGCTACAAAATATGTGAAGAAAAAATTGATAGACCTGAAAAAAAAAGAGAAGTCTATAATTACACTCCCTCAATTGATAGAATGGTTACACAGAAAATCCCTAATGACATGGATCAATTCAATAATACCATCAACCAACAGTATACAATGGTCAAATATTTGTCCCCACCAATAGAGGTCCAATTGCTGCAGCACCATTTACTGAAAAGACTATCTTTCCTAAATTGAATTGCTATTTTACTTTTGTCAAAAATTCAGTTCAGCAATTGTGTGGATCTATTCCTGCATTCAATTGATCTATGTGTCTACTCCCCTGCCAATGCCACAGTCTGATCACTGTAGCTATACAATATAAGTCTTGAAATTAAGTAGACAGATTCCTCACATTTTATTTTTATTTTTCGATCTTGTTTCAGATATTCTAGTTTTTTTTGGCCTTTCATACATGTAAATTTATAATAATGTCTATGTAGACAAAAAATGTTGCTTTGATCTTGGTCAACTCCAGGAAATTTGACATCTTTACTGTGTTGAGTCTTCCAATTGATGAAAATGGCATGTATCTCCATTTATTTAGATTTTACTTTATTTTATAAGTATTTTGTGGTTTTAAGCATGTAAACCCTGTAAATGTTATCTTAGATTTACACCCAAATCAATTTTTTGAGAGATTTTAAATAGTATTGTATATTTAATATCAGAGTTTATGTGTTCTCTGATAGTATACAGGAATAAAGTTGATTTTTCTGTCTTATGTATTTGGTTACTGATAGTATATAGGAATAAAGTTGATTTTTCTGTCATATATTTTGTTACCTTGTGGAACTCACTTATTAGTCGTGGAATATTTTCATAGATTCCTTAAAATTTTCTACATAAACAAACATGTCATGTAGAAGACAAACCATTTTACTTCTTGCTTTCTTATATATATGATTTTATTCTCTATGTTTCTTTATTGTACTGGCTATAACTTCTTACCACTGTTAAGAGTGATGAGAGTGGACATCCTTGCCTTGTTTCAAGACTTAGAGGGAAAGCATTTAGTCTTTATCCATTACATATAATTTTAGTTGCAAGTTTTTTTCTAGACATATTTTATCAAGTTGAGGTAAATCCATCTATTCTTGAGTTTCTATTATTTTCCAATATGTGTACATGATAATTTTTTCAAAGCAGTGATAATATTTATTTTTGAGTTTAATATGTGCTTTTACCGTCAGATTATTTCAGCAAATATTTACAGAACACTTGTTCTTAAGAGCTCTTTTTTTCTTCTGATTTTTTTTTCTTTTCTGTAAAGCACCCGTTCTTACGTAAATAGGGTATCTTCTCTTTGAATATATTTTTTTAATTTTCTAATATTGGCATTTTATTTCCTTTGAGTTCCTTTTTTTCTTATTTGTGTTTGTTTTTTTAAAAAGTGTGTTAGACTTCAGTGTCTGATGATTCTTGGTTGTCTGCTGATATTTCAGGATGAGACACTAAAAAGTAGATTGGTGATAGATGCTGGCATGGATATGGAGAAAAGAACTTTATATACTTTTATTGAGAAGGTAAATTACCACAGACATTGTGGAAATTGGTATTGAGATTTTTCAAATAATTAAAAATTGAACTACCGTATGAGTTGGCAATGCCAACTCAATTTTCTTTCCAAAGGAAAGAAAATCAGTATATCAAAGGAATATCTGCACCTCTATGTTTGTTGCAGCATGATTCACAATAGCAAAGCTATGAAATCAACCTAAGTGTCCATTAATGAATGAATACATCAATGAAATATGGTATATATACCCAATGAAATACTATTCTGTCATAAAAAAGAATGAAAGCCTGTCATTTGCAGCAACGTGAATAGAACTGAAGGTCATTATGTTAAGTGAAATAGACAAAGCACAGGAAGATAAACATCACTTGTTCTCACTCCTGTATGGGAACTAAAAAAGTTGGTCTGTGGGAGGCAGAGAGTAGAATGTTAGTTACCAGAGGCTCGAAAGGGAGTGTGTGTTGTGGAGATAAAGAGTTTGGCTAATGGGTACAAAGATACAGTTAGATATAAGAAATAAGTTCTAATGTTCAATAACAGAGTAGGGTGACTATAGTTAACAACGTTTCACATATTTCAAAATAGAATAGAGAACTTGAAATGTTCCCGACAAGTAGAAATGATAAATGCTCAAGATGATGGATATCTTAAGTACCCTGACATGATCATTACATGTTCTATGAATGTAACAAATATCACATGCACCCTGTAAGTATGCACAAATATTATGCCTCCATTTTTTTTAAAGTAGATTGAAAGCACTATGCTCACTGTCCAGGCTAATCAGAATTGTTAATAAACAAAAATAAAAAGGAAAATTTCAGAAATGAAAATAAGCATAAGTAAAGGTAGATTCAAAAACGTTTTTAAAAGAGTTATTGTTTCCAGTGATTCTCCAATTAATCCTGTAAAAATTCCAGTGTTTACAGGATTTTATATTTTCACCCATTGCATGTGACTGTCCTGCTTATTTGTGTTCACTAGCCTCTGCCCCCGTGACTTTCAGCATGTGACATACCTGTGTGACATTTGCCACATCTGAACAGAAGATTAACTGTGTTTGTGTTATTTCACTCTGTCTTCCTTCTAACCTTGCCTTTTTAAGATTATGGATTCTTCTTTACTCTGGGTGCTAAAATGAGAAAATACACTGGGGGCTGGGCGTAGTGGCTCACGCCTGTAATCCCAGCACTTTGGGAGGCCAAGGCGAGCAGATCACCTGAGGTCAGGAGTTGATGACCAGCCTAGCTAACATGGTAAAATTCCACCTCTACTAAAAATACAAAAATTAGCCGGGCACAGTGGTGGGCGCCTATAATCCCAGCTACTTGGGAGGCTGAGGCAAGAGAATTGCTTGAGCCCGAGAGGCGGAGGTTGCAGTGAGCTGAGATTGTGCCACTGCACTCCAGCCTGGGCAACGGAGTGAGACTCTGTCTCAAAAAAATAAACAAACAAACAAAAAACAAAACAAAACCCAAAAAACGTGGGGCCCAACCAAGACCAGCCCAGCCCAGTAATAACCAACAGAGCTCAGGTCAACCACAGGCTTCATTACAAAATGAGTAAACAAGAAATAAGTGCCTTTTTCTGTGAGGTACAGGTATCTTAGAGTTATTTGTTACAACAGGAAAAGTTGCCTAATAAACTAATAATCTAACCTGGGGTTATTTTTCTTCTCTTTCTACACACTGATCTTGAGCAACCTTATCCATACTCTTGCCTCTAGAACACTGAGGACTTCAAGTACATATTTCAAACTTCTACCTTTCTTCTGAGCTTTAGATGCTTATTTCCATCTTCCAACCCTAACTCAAAAGTCATTCCATCTCAGGAAGCTTTTCTAAATCTTCCCCTCTGCACTTGACCAAAGTTACATGCTCTATGTGTTTCAATATCACTGTTTCATACTTTTATTTATAATGTTCACCTCATTGCAATGCAACTGTTGATCTACGTATCCTTTTTACCACTGGACCAGAATCTAGTTAAGAACAGGGACCTTATAGTCTCCAGGTTGTGAAAGAGCTTGGGCCCTACAGTCATGTTTTTTCAGTATGTGCTGAAATAATGCAAGGTAAAAATACATAGAGAATTCAATTTTTTTAATTAATTTATTTTTTTGCTTATAAACAACAGATTTTTGTTTTTCATAGTCCTAGAGCTGGGAAGTCCAAGATCATAGTGCAAACAAATTTAGTGTCTGGTGAGGGCCTATTCACTAGTTCATGGACAACCATCTTTTCATTGTGACCTCAATTGGCTGAAGGGCCAAAAATAAATATTATCACAGTTTTGGAAAAAATTCCCATTTATACTCATTGGAAATGTACTATAAGAAAAAAATGTAGCAAAAAGTGAGAAAAGGCTGGGCATGGTGGCTCATGCCTGTAATCCTAGCACTTTGGGAGGCCGAGGCAGGTGGATCACCTGAGATAAGGAGTTTGAGACAAGCCTGGCCAACATGGCGAAACCTCATCACTACTACAAATACAAAATTAGCCAGGCTTTGTGGCACATGCCTGTAATCCCAGCTACTCGGGAGGTTGAGGCAAGAGAATCACTTGAACCCAGGAGGCGGAGGTTGCAGTGAGCCAAGATCACACCACTGTACTCCAGCTTGGGCGACTGTTTCAATCAATCAATCAATAAATGCATGCATGCTGGGTACAGTGGCTCATGCCTGTAATCCCAGCACTTTGGAGACTGAGGCGGGTAGATCACCTGAAGGCAGGAGTTCAAGACCACCGTGACCAACATGGTGAAACCCTGTCTCTGCTAAAACTACAAAAATTAGCCTGGCATGGAGGCGGGCGCCTGTGGTCCCAGCTACTCGGGAGGCTGAGGCAGGAGAATCGCTTTAACTGAGGAGCGGAGATTGCAGTGAGCCGAGATGGTGCCATTGCACTCCAGCCTGGGCAATAGAGTGAGACTGCCTCAAAAACAAACAAAAAAGTAAGAAAAAATAACTATAGTTTTAAAATATGACATTTATTTTTTACTTAGGTAAAAGCAGGTAATTGAATTATAAGAAGTATAGCCCTAACTGTTCAACACCAATTTCTAAAATTCTATTGGTTTTCCACATATTGTTTTAAATCCCCAATTTTACATTAATTCCATAGAATCTATTTTGCTTTTGAAGAAGAAATGGAAAGAAGAAAGGGGGAAAAACAGAAAGGAGCCTCTTGTTGACAATATATTTACTAGACTGTATGTTAGGTAGTTTACTTTTATTTTATTCTCTTTAGAACTCTTCATAATATATATCTGCAGAAACAAGCTAGTTTTAGCGCAGTTAGATCACTTGCTCTGGGCCACTCATCTAATCATTAGTAGAGCCAAATTTGAACCTGTGTCTCCCAATTTCACATCTAGCACTCTGTTGGTGATTTACTCTGCCATCTATTTGAGTCCTTATTCATGTGTGTACCAAGAGGTCATCATCAATACATAGACACACATATGAGAGGAAGGAAGATAGAATGCTGTGTTATTTAAAACTAACCATCCCCATTGCAGAGAGAAATCATCAGGGACCCACTGAGAATATTGTGGTGGCTTCTTCAATGGACTGCTTGTTGATGTGATGTTTCCTAATGTTTTCAGCAATCACTCCATGGTTTATCACCCTGATGTGAAGATGGGTTTGAGTGTTTGAAGTGTGAGAGAAGTTTCTCAAGCAGATAGAGTGAACTAATTTTCAGCCATTAATAACGTGTCTATTTCTATTTTCTTTCTGGCATCTCCAGGACTACATTAAAGGCTCACTGACCTGTTACATTTAATTTGAGAAAAAACAAATCCACTTTTGAAATCATGGAAACCAGAAACATTAGAAAGAACAGAACTCTATTTTCACCCCTAGAACTGAAAATAGTGGTTATGGTTTGAAATGCTTTACAATGGGAACATAATATGATTGTTATTAGAATAGAAATGTCTCCAGAGTTTTGAAATACATATTGTTTTTATTTACTCTTAAAGCAATGCCATTCTGACATATTTTAAAATTAAGTTTTAATATCTTAAAAATATTTTAAAATATTTTAAAAATAAGTTTTGTAATTCAGGTGTTGCATTTTCATTCTCACAAATGCCTTTGGTTATGAGCTTTCCAAAAGGGAGTGCAAAAAAGGTGAAAAGGGAAGGGAGCCCCTTGGCCCAGCACTACCGTGGCTGCTTTAGCTTCCTCCATCAGGATCTGTGTTTGTGTACCTAGCAGTTCACTTCTTCTCAAACATATCATTATCCTGTGCTTATCCATTTCCATTTATTGGAAATAATGTTTGTTTAAAGGGAATATTAAAATTTGTTACTGGGTGCATTGACTTAATTTGATATTTATTGAATGCCCACTATCTGCCTATTGCTGTTATTAAAAAGAAAGACAGGTTTTTGCTTTTGTATAGCTTACATTCATGTGAGAGTGTGTGTGTGTGTTTGTGTGTGAGTGTGAGTGTAAGAGAGAGACAGACCAGTGCCATTAGTGACATGAAATATGAAAAAAGAGATGGAGACCAACTAGGGGCTGAGGACAAAAATGGTTTTAGACAGGGTCATCAAAGAAAGATCAAATTAAATTTGATCTGAGTCCTGAGTTGTAAGAAAAATTACAGAAGGGCAAGGAGCAGGTGCTGGAAGCAGAGGGAACAGCAAATGCCCTAGAATATTCAAGCAAAAGAAAGAAAACCAGCGTTGCTGTGATATAGAAAACAGGAAGAAGAGCTCAAAATGAAGTCAACCATTTAGAGAAATGCAGTCACAGTGAGGATTTTGCATTTTATTCTAATTCCAGTGGGAAATTATTGAAGAGTTTTAACCAGGGGAATAATGTAATCTGATAAAAATGAAGAGTTAACGTCTAAAAATGGAGGATTTAAGCTTTGTATTTTAGCATCGTTTTAAAGGTAAAAGATCAACAGTAATTATGAAGAAGGCAGCACAACAATTTTGCACATCTTCTTTCCCGCTTGCCCTTTTCCCTCTAGAAAGCCCATGATTTGACTTTATGTTTTTGTAATGGCAAAAATCAAGCTTGCGTGGAGCCCCTCTGGCTTGGTGGTTTTCCCGCATATGTCAGTTGAGTCTGATGCCAGGTGGCAATTGAAATAAACACAGACTATTAGTTCAATCATTGGAGCATTTTCTATCTTACTAGGAGGAGGTGAATATCAAGTGAATTTGATGAATTGTGAATTCACTAACCGGCAGCTGTGGCTAGAATGGAAACTGAGACATAGACCAAAAAGGTGACAGCTCTTTGAGCAGGAGTCGCTGGAAACACAGCACATGAACTTCCCCTGCAGCCTGTGTTCCTTGGCAATAACATGTGCTCTCGGGTGTGCTGGCAGAGACCATGTGGCCATCTGTCCTAGAGCAATGGGTTTCCGTGGTATCCTGTCATTCAGTTAAAACTGTTCACAGATTAAAAAAAAAAGATGAAATGTTTCTATATTCCTCACCGCTTCTAAGGAAAGAATGATATCTGGCTAACCTACGGACAGAATACAAGGTACCGTCCTTTGGAGATTGCCTGGAAGCAGCAATCTGGAAAGTTAAGTGCAGATTTTAAGTGCAGAACATCTGATGTGTAGTTGCTACATTTCTGTGGTTATTCAGCAAACTGTTGGGATACTGATAATGTCTATTTGAGGATATTTGCATATCTATCTTATCTGAATGTAATTTTCTGGTTAGTGTTGTACAACACTGGGAGACAGAGAAATGTTATCACTCTAAGTATGCTATATTAAAAGTTTAAATCTAAAGGACAAGCCTTTCCTTTTTAGTCTCTGTGTATGATTTTGGAAATTCTGATACTTTAACAGTACAAGGTCCTACATATTTTAGCCAATATTCTCCTCCTACGATGGGTATGAGGCAGGTGTGCTTAATAACTCCTTTCTGCAGTTATAGAACTTAATGCTTAGGTAGATTTTTCTGAGAGTCTCACTAGAAGGCATTGGATGAGCTGTTTACAAAAAAACTAACTTTACTTCAACAAAGTGTCTTTTAATACCTACTGATATGGTTTGCCTCTGTGTTTCCACCCACATGTTATAACTCCCATAATTCCCAGGTGTTGTGGGAGGGACCCGGTGGGAGATGATTAAATCATGGGGACGGATCTTTCCTGTGCTGTTCTCATGATAGTGAATGGGTCTCACAAGATCTGATGGTTTTAAAGATAGGAGTTGCCCTGCCCAAGCTCTGTTTTTTGCCTGCTGCCAAGTCACATAAACTGTGACTTGCTCTCCATTGCCTTCTGCCATGATCGTGAGGCTTCCCCAGCCATATGGAGCTGTAAGTTCAATAAACTTCTTTCTTTAGTAAGTTACCTAGTCTTGGGTATGTCTTTGTCAGGAACATGAAAATGGACTAGTACAATAAGTTGGTAACGGGAGTGGAGACCTGCTGAAAAGATACCTGAAAATGTGGAAGTGACTTTGGAACTGGGTAACAGGCAGGCGTTGGAACAATTTGGAGGGCTCAGAAGAAGAAAGGAGAATGTGGGAAAGTTTGGAACTTCCTAGAGACTTGTTAAATGGCTTTGACCAAGATGCTGATAATGATATGGACAATGAAATCCAGGCTCAGGTGGTCTCAGATGGAGATGAGGAACTTGTTGGGAACTGGAGCAAAGGTGACTCTTGTTATGTTTTAGCAAAGAGACTGATGGCATTTTGCCCTGCCCTAGAGATTTGTGGAACTTTGAACTTGAGAGAGATGATTTAGGATATCTGGTGGGAGAAATTTCTAAGCAGCAAAACATTCAAGAGGTGACTTGGGTGCTGTTAAAGACATTCAGTTTTAAAAAGGAAACAGAACATAATAGCTTGGAAAATTTGCCTCCTGGCAATGCAATAGGAAAGAAAATCCCATTTTCTGAGGAGAAATTCAAGCTAACTGCAGAAATTTGCATGAGGAGGAGCCTAATGTTAATCCCCAGTACAATGGGGAAAATGTCTCCAAGGCATTTCAGAGGTCTTCATGGCAGTCCCTCCCATCACAGGCCTGGAGGCCTAGGAGGAAAAAGTGGTTTCATGGGCTTGGTCCTGGATCCCTGTGCTGTGTGTGGCCTAGGCACTTGGTGCCCTGTGTCCCAGCCACTCCAGCCATGGCTGAAAGTGGCCAACATAGAGCTTGGGCCATCAGTTCAGAGAGTGCAAGCCTTAAGCCTTGGTGGCTTCCATGTCATGTTGAGCCTGCCAGTGCATGGAAGTCAAGATTTGGGGTTTGGGAACCTCTGCCTGGATTTCAGAGGATGTAGGGAAACACCTGGATTTCCAGGCAGAAGTTTGCTACAGGGGCAGGGCTCTCATGGAGAACCCCTGCTAGGACAGTGCAGAAGGGAAATGTGGAGTGGGCACCCCCACACAGACTCCTCACTGAGGCACTGCCTAGTGGAGCTGTGAGAAGAGGGCCACCATTCTCCAGACTCCAGAATGGTAGATCCACCAACAGCTTGCACTGTGCACCTGGTAATGCTGCAGATGCTCAATACCAGCCCATGAAGGCAGCTGGAAGGGAGGCTGTACCCTGCAAAGCCACAGGGATGGATCTGCCCAAGACTACGGGGACCTACCTGTTGTATCAGCATGACCTGGATGTGAGACATGGAGTCAAAGAAGATCATTTTGTATCTGTAAAATTTGACTGCCCTGCTGGCTTTTGGACTTAAATGGGGCCTGTAGCCCCTCTGCTTTGGCCAGTTTCTCCCATATCAAATGGCTGTATTTACCCAATGCCTGTACTCTCATTGTGTCTAGGAAGTAACTAACTTGCTTTTGATTTTACAGGCTCATGGGCAGGAGGGACTTGCCTTGTCTCAGATGAGACTTTAGACTATGGACTTCTGAGTTAATGCTGAAATGAGTCGAAACTTTGGGGGACTGTTGGGAAGGCATGATTGGTTTTGAAATGTGAAGATATGAGATATGGGAGGGGCCAGAGGCTGAATGATATGGTTTTGTGCTGTGTCCCCACCCAAATCTCACCCTGTAGCTCCCATAATTACCAGGTATTGTGAGAGGGACCCAGTAGGAGATGACTGAATTTTGGGGGTAGGTCTTTCCTTTGCTGTTCTCGTGACAGTGAATGGGTCTCACGAGCTCTAATGGTTTTAAAAACAGGAGTTGCCTGTCCAAGCTCTCTTTTTCTGCCTGCTGCCATCCACATAAGATGTGACTTGCTCCCCCTTACCTTCTACCATGATTGTGAGGCTGCTCCAGCCACGTGGAACCGTAAGTCCAATAAACCTATTTCTTTTGTAAATTGCCTAGTCTCAGGTATGTCTTTATCAGCAGCATGAAAATGGACTAACGTATATACAAACCTGCGAGGTGAGGCTTCTGTCCTTTCTCTCATGGAGCATATATTCTTCCTGGAACAATATGGTAAATAGTTCAGTTTGATAAAATTTAAACTGAAAAATGCAGTATTGGGGGATAATCTAACAAGTGTCTAGAACATTTGTATAAGAAGGAGAATACTATATTAAGAATCTAGACTTTGTGTTGTGGAGCTGTTGACAAATTTTAAATAGAAACATAATCCTATTTGTGTTTTAGAAAGATCAATTTGGCAATGTGTGTAAAATATATATACAGTCATCCCTCCATATCAGCAGGGAATTTATTCCAGAACCTCCCCTTCCAAACCAAAATCTGTGGATGTTCAAGTCCCTTATATAAAAGTATGCAAGTATGCACACCCTCCCATATATTTTAAATCATCTCTAGATTGCCTTCGGGTTTTTTTCTTCTTTTTTTTTTTTTTTTTTTTTTTTTGACAGTCTCACTCTGTTGGCCAGACTGGAGTGTAGTGGTGCAATCTTGGCTCACTGCAACCTCTACCTCCCAGGCTCAAGTGATTCTCTTGCCTCAACCTCCCAAGTAGCTGGGATCACAGGGGTGCACCACCACACTCAGCTAATTTTTGTATTTTTAGTAGAGACAAGGTTTCACCATGTTGGCCAGGCTGGTCCTGAACTCCTACCCTCAAATGATCCATGTGTCTCGGCCTCCCAAAGTGCTGGGATTACAAGCATGAGCCACTGTGCCTGGCCTATACTGCTTAATACCTAATGCCATTTAAAATGCTATGTAAATAATTGTTATATTGTATTATTTTGAATTTGTGTTTTTAATGTTGAATTATTTTTTAATCATTTTTTCCCAGATATTTTAGATCTGCAGTTGGTTGAATCTGCCATGCAGAACCTGCAGACATGGAGAAAATGACTGTATATTGGAAGAGGCTGATAATGGATGTAGAGAAACAAAACTACTTAATAAATTCAACCAAGTCAGATAAATTCAGGTCTACTTCCTGGGGTTCAAAAATCTCAGCCAATTGCTTAATACACCGTTGTGTGTTTTTCATGTATTTCATTTACACTTCCACATTACAACTATGTGTATTGATACTGAATGAGAAATGACCGCTGGAGTCAAATGACCCCTGGAGAATTCAGCTAATGGTACTAAGCTGAGTAGCCATCTGGAGAAATAAAATAAGATCTCGACCTCACAACTTATACCACAAAATTTACAGATCGATCATAGATTTAAGGTAACAAACTGAAATCAAGTCTTTAGAAGGCACCATGGAAGAATTGCATGTAGGTAAATATATAGGAATATTTTGTATATGTAAGATAAATATGCATATAAACTATATATGTAAAAATTTATATATGAAAAATAAAACCCCAATCTAAAACCCCAATCTATAAGGAAAAAGATTGCTGACCTCAACTAGATCAGCAGCAGCAGCACCACTATCATCTACATGTAAAACCCATAATAGGAAAAATGCAAAAGACAAATGACAAATGAAGAGAACATACTTGGAAGGACTGATATTTTTAACATTGCTCTTTTAAAAAAACATTCCAATAACCTAGTAGGAAAACAATAAGCAAAAGACATAAAAGGATGGTTCACAGAAAAAATATATAAATGGCTCAAATATATGAGAAGATGCTCAACTTCACTCATAATAAGAGAAATACAAACCAAACTATACAAAGATACCAATTTTGCATAGTGGTTTGGCATGCATATTGCTGTTGGCAAGGGTTGAGGGAGCAGGCACTCTCAGACGTTTTGGATAAGAATGTAAATTGCTGTAATCTCTTTGTGGCAGTGCAGGGTGTTAAAAGAAAAACTTCAGCTGAATTAAATTTAAAGGAGTTTAATTGAACAATGACCGATTTGTGAATCGGGCAGCCCCCAGGATCACAGCAAATTCAGGGAGACTCCAGGAATACCTCATGTTCAGAACAAATTTATAGACAAGAAAAGGGAAGTGAGGTACAGAAATCAGAAGTGAGGTACAGAAATAAGTGGATTGGTTACAGCTCAGCGTTTGCCTTATTTGAACAGTTGGAGCACTCAGTAGCCTATGACTGGTTGAAGTATGGCTGCTGGGCTTGGCCGAGACTGAACTATTTTTACAGGCGCACACTGCTAAGTTAGGTCTTGTATCATGTCTACCTATTAAGTTAGGTTGCAGTTCGTCCACAAGGACTCAATATAGAAGTACAGAGTCCTTCTCAGGCCATATTTAGTTTGCTTTAATGGGGCAATTTGAAAACAGCTATTAAAATAGAAAATAACAAAATGTCCTTTGAGTGGGCAATTCCACCTCTAAGAAATTATCTTGGCCGGGCGCAGTGGCTCACCCCTGTAATCCCAGCACTTTGGGAGGCCGAGGGGGGTTGGATCACCTGAGGTCAGGAGTTCAAGATCAGCCTGACCAACATGGTGAAACCCCATCTCTACTAAAAATACAAAATTTAGCCAGGCATTATGGCGCGTGCCTGTAATTGCAGCTACTCAGGAGGCTGAGGCAGGAGAATCACTTGAACCCGAGAGGCAGAGGTTGCAGTGAGCCAAGATCGCACCACTGAACTCCAGCCTGGGTGTCACAATGAGACTCTGTCTCAAAAAAAAAAAAAAAAAAAAAAAAAAAATTAGCCGTGGGTGGTGGCGCATGCCTGTAGTCCCAGCTACTTGGAAGGCTGAGGCAGGAGAATCGCTTGAACCCGGAAGGCAGAGGTTGCAGTGAGCCGAGATTGTGCCACTGCACTCCAGCCTAGGCGACAGAGTAAGACTCGGTCTCAAAAAATAAAAAAAAAGAGAGAAATTATCTTAAATATATGCTTTGCCTATGTAAAATTTTATATGTGTGTGTTTATTATACAGGGCATTTTTTCTGAAGCAGCAAAATTTTGGAAACAATCTAAATATCCGTTAATGGGGAATGATTAAATCAGAATATCCTACAATGGAGCACTATGCAACAATATATAAAGGAATGAGGCAAGCTATTCATGGTCTTAAATGGAAAGGCTCCCATATTAATTGTTTAAAAAGTGCAAACAGGTGCATTGGTACCCTAATATTTGCGTAATATGAGATAAAAAAGAGTAAATATATGTAGATCCATATATATTCAGGGTTAATTACATATGCATGAAATACCTCTGTAACAATGTAAACTACAGTGATAAAATTTGTTGATCCAGAATGGAGAAATTGGGAGTCTGGAGTTTAGGATTGGGAGAGATCATTTTTACATTCTACTCTTCCTTTTGTACCTTTTTCATTTTGTACCATGTGAATGTATAATCTACAGAAAAAAATAATATTAAAGAGAAGAACAGAACCAACCATCAGAAGTCAAAAATAATCTGTAATAAAGGACTACAGACTATAAGAGATTAATTTTTTCCCCACCTAGTTTCTTATTTAATGTTTGTCTGTGATCATTTCTTTTCACAAATGAAGAAATTGCATTGTAAAGATAAGTAACTTTTCCACAATGATGTAGCTAGGAAGTGGACCTTAGATCTGGCTTCATATCTCATTCATTTAGTCCTGTTTGCATTTCAATTTCCAATGCTTTACTTGTTTCAACACTTTTTTTTATTTTAATATAACGGACATAGCTAAAATGTGTTGGTGCCTACTTCTTTCCTGCACAGAACTTTCTATTGTTGTTTTTTCCCTTTTAGAGTTTTAGGAAGCTTAGGAGTAAGGTTGAGTTCAAAAATGCCTTGAAACACAAGGACAAGAGACAAAGTCTGAGAGCACAGTTAGTGGCCCCAAAGTTAGACTTCAGACTGCCACTCAGAAATAGTTATAACAGGCAACTCTACCTTACAGAAACTTGAAGAACATGATAAATCATTCATCCTTGTTTGAGAGGTCACTTTATTACATGCTGCATGAGTGGCAGATGGAAGGAAAATACTTAGAAATGTACTAGGAGAATGGTTTTGTCTATGTACCCTGTGGATATTATGTTTATTAAGTCCTATCTTACTTTCGAGGAGAAAATTGTGCCCAGTAATTATGTGTCTCTTACTTGTCAGTTCCTAAGAGATCCGCTGACAGATAGGGTGCCAATTATATTGACAGATCCTGCTCCCTGAATTCCACAGTGGCGTGGCTTAGCTTTGCCCTCTCCCACCTGCTAAGAGTAGATCATTAAAGTAGGTAGAGAGACACCATCAGGAAAGGAACACAGCCAACAAGGTGGAGGGGCCAAGTTTTCTTTTAATCATAGGTCTCCCTCCAACTGAGCAAGTTCCAAGGATGAGAGTCATGTAAAACAAGAAGTCTCAGAAGCACAGAAGTGTAAGAACATGGAAGGAAAGAGTCCATGCTGGTCTCATTGAAATGAGATGGGCTGTAAGGCTAGCCTTCATGGCTTGGTTTTGTTGTTATTTGATTTAAAAAATCAAATGGCTTTTCTAGCAGGGTTAATTAAAGTCTGGATTTAAGTATAAAGATTGCTGAAGGATCTGATGTTGGTCTTGTCCTTCATAATTAGAGGCACTTGTGATATTAACTTGGCTAAACAACTGCGACAAAATTGAAATAGCCAGAAGAGACTCTTCATTCAATACCAAAATATTACATTTAGAGTTAATATTCAGTGTTAGTGAGGAACAAATGGGCAATTTACCTGTTAGTGGGTGTTAAATTAGTGCAGTTCTTCCAAAGAGTTTTAACAATGTTTCAAATATGGTTAAAATGTTCATACATGTTCAATCAGCATTCCACATCAAATTATTTCTCTTAAATTTCTTAAATATTTGAACAAATATGTACAAGGATGTTCATAGCAGTGTTGTTTATAATGGTCAGAAACTGTGAGCCTCCTAAATGTTTAGGAAAAGGATTGGAGAAATATTCAGTCATTATAATGTCAATCTGTATTTATCAATATGGGGAGACGTTCATGTGTTATCCGAGAAAGATAGTTTACAAACCACATTTGTAGTGTGATTATGGTTTTTGCACATTTATACACCATACATGCCTAGTGTAAAATATACAATAACATGTGCCCAGCAATTCCCTTTGTGTGATAGGCCTAATAATGCCTTTCTTTTTTTGTACTTTTTGTTTACATTTTCTATTTTTTCCACTACAAACGTGAATTACTTATGAGATGAAAAAAAGAAAAAAAAATCTGCTAAGGGATCTACCATCCAAAGCATTTTATCTAAATTTTAAGTTGAAACATTAAAAATAGATAATATTATGTGCTCTAATAAATAAAACTAGTGTACTAGTATTCAGTATATAGCAGGTTTGGAGAGTGACAACCAGTTTGGTTTACCTATAATATAATTTGCAAGTAGATGATTAGTGGATCCTAAGCTAAGAAGCCTGCACTCTGTTCAATAGTCTTTCAACAAGTTGAGGGAGCTGTACCATTTGAATAGGGTAATGATCTGATTAATTGTGCCATAAGACAATTAATATGGCGATACTTCATAAGATGAATGGGAGGAAGAAGACATCTCTTTTAAAATATCTTGACTGATCAACAGAAATTTGTCAGTAGTAAATTACTCATTTCCATCCATGTTTATAACACTACTATCTTTTGTTCATCAAGTTGATATACATTCAGAGTTATATTGATGAGAGACATGCTTACTTGTGGAGGGAAAACAAGGAAGGTCACATTTAAACCTTAACAAGACTATTTTTGTCTCATGTAGCTTTCTCATCACAGAAGTAGTACTAGGCCCAAAGAAGTTATTCACATACTGGTTAAGCACTTATTCTCTAGAATTAGAATGTTTGGTTCTGAAGTCATTCTACCACTTAATAGATGTGTGACTTGGAACAAGTTACTTATACTTTCTGTGCCTTAATTTACTTACCTATTAAATAGGAAATTTACAGAATCTACTCCATAGTGCAGCTGTGAAGAGTAAATTAAATAATACCAATAAAGTGTTTAGAACAGTGGCTGGCTCATAGCCTTCAATAAATATTGAGGATATTATTTTTCTCCTTTTGAAAAAAGAAAAATAAGAGTCAATGTTATGTCTGGACTTGAATTTGTTGTAGTTTGCAAATCTGCAAGGAGAGAACCAGACCTAGTGGTCTGCATTTTGTTTGTTTGTTGCTTGCTTGCTTCTTTTTGCTAGCAAGAGAATCTATTTGGTATGTAGAGTAGAAATAAATTAACCCAAGGCTAGGGAATTCATTTCAAAGCTTAAATGAAAAAATTTAATTCTTATAGAACACATTTTATACTTTAAGTGCACAAACACGATTTCCAATAACAAAACTGTTTATAAATTTAAGTGGTTAAATTATTTTATTTATAAAGTTTTCTTCCCACTATCAGGAAATATAGGGAATCATATAACTGAGCTTAGCGAGTTTGTGTAGTTTAATCTTGTAGGACTTGACCCACCCTATTCTTTGTGTATGATACTGATGTGGACACTGAAATATAAATAGTGCATAAACACCTTTCTCTCCCCTTTAATTCATGGTTAGTAACATACTTTGAATTCCATAAGTCTTGTCATTAGTTAAATTATAGTGTATTCATGTATTTAAAGTCAAAGACTTTTAAGTCCACAATTTTTCATTTATACATCCCATTTACAAAATGTGAATCCTAAACTTCATGATATTTTAGGACATGGCCACGTTTAAAGTTCTATGACAATAAATATGTGGCTGGGAGTCAATATTCCTGGATGGGTAAGTGCTTGCTAGAGGGTAACTCTCATAGGATGAAATGGTTGGTGGTTTGGTTTCAACTTGTGTGGGCATGTAATTTAATATTTCAAATGATTTTAGAGTTCATTTATCCAACTAATATCTAATGGATAGCTACTAAGTGTCAGACACTCTTCAAACTACGGGATTAAACCTCCATCAGACAAGTGACCTCATTTTATGGAACTTACGTTCTGCTTTACAAGACAGGATATATGAGAAAAGTAAATAAACAAGGTTTTCAGGCAGTGCTAAGTTCTGAGAAGAGAAGAAAATGAGATACGGTGGCAACCAGTAACTATGGAGACTGTGTTAGATCAAATCATCAGGGAAATTCTCACTGAGAGCTTGACATTTGAGCTGTACCTGATCCCAGAGACCTCTCTCCAGGTCCTTTGTCAAGACATTCAATGATCACCTTGGAGGGTTTGTTTGTTTGTTTGTTTATTTTAAATAGACCTTGCATTTTAGAATAGTTTCAGATTTACAGAAAAAATTGTGAAGATTATAATAGAGTTCCCTTATACCTCACCAGTTTCTGATATTGTTAATGTCTTACATTAATATGGTATGTTTGTCACAATTAATGATCCGATATTGACACATTATTATTGATTAAAGCCCCTACTTTATTTCTTTTAAACTTCTGTCCTTTTTCTGTTTCGGGTTAAACTTCTGCCCTTCTGTTTCAGGATTCCATCCAGAGTACCAAATTACATTCGGTTGTCATGTCTCCTAGAGACCTCTTGGCTTTACCAGTTTCTCAGACTTTCCTTGTTTTTAATAATCTTGATAATTTTATAGAGTATTGGTCAGGTATTTTGTTGAATGGCCCTCAATTAGGATTTGTCTGATGATTTTTGTAATGATTAGACTGGGGTTATGTGTTTTGGAGATGAAGGTCACAGAGGTAAAGTGCCATTTTCAGTGCATCATATCAAGGGTACATATGAGCAACATGAGCTGTCAGTGTTGATGTTCCCTTGATTACCTGACTGAGTTAGTGTTTGTCAGGTTTCTCTGCTGTAAAGTATATACATAAACTGGTCTTTGTAGAAAATGAGTGAGGGGAGAAGGCAGAGGAGTCTGGAGCTAAGAACCTAGAAAGTTTGCTTGATAATAACAGTGGTGCTCAAAGATAACTAATTTGCTGGCAATAGGTGGAGAAATTTAGAGGAAAAAGAAATGGGACAATTTCCTTCTGTAGTCTCAGCATATTAAGATATTCTCTAATATTTCATGTACAAATTTGCATTTTACAATTAGAGTTTTATAAATAATCATTGTATAATAAAGGAGTCCATTTTATATGTGGATAAGCAAATGTCTCAGCATGTTTTGTTGAATTTTTTCACTGATCTGTATTGTCACCCTTTTCATATATCAAGCTTGCTTATACATGTGAGTCTGGTTCTAAGTTCTCTATTCTTCTTCGTTAGTCTATTTGTGTATAACTGTGCTGATTCCACATTGTCTTAATTATTAGTCTTATAATAATTTGATATTTGATTAAACCTAATCTTCTGATTTGTTGTTTTTCAAAATTTCCAGGATTCATGTCATGATAGCGTCATGACCATTCTTGGCTTATAGGTGGTCAAATTACATGACAAACCTTATTGGAAATTTATTTTGAATTGCATTGAATTTATAGATTAATCTAAATGATACTGAGTTAGTGTAACTATGAACTAAGTTACATTTGAAATTCTTTGTGTTGATTCTGGAGTGTTTACTCATTTATTCATTCACCACCAAGATGGCATACGGTAAGAACACAGGATGGTGCAGCTGAGCTTGGGTGAAAGAAAAAGATCATTGAAGGACAGAACACCAAGGAATTATATTGCTGCAGTTGCACTGAAGATTATCTATGTTTCATTTGAAGTCATAAAGAATTATGATTGGGGCAGGGTTGACAGGGTTAGAGAAAGTGAAAACAAGCTGCTAGCTAAAATCTTTAAGGAATCCTGAAAAAATCCAAGGACGTATATATGACTTGAAAAAGAAATGAGTGCATGTGGAATAATGTAATGATTTTAGATTCAAATTTGAGAGGCTTTTATGTTGGAGAGGGACACTATGGTTTGGAAGAAGCTATGACAGTTGTTCAAACAAACCTTACACTCATGTGAGGGCAGACCTGTGGTTACTCGGAGGAGTTTGTGGTCATTGTTTTTGCACCCAAAGTCCAGGTAAAGACAGGCAATCTTGTTTATAATTTCTTGTGCTGGTATGTTTTTAAAAAATATATAGTTCACCTTTTCCTTGAGAATATAGCTCTTCAGTCTTGGCTTTGTAGGGAGGATTTTTGGTTCTTACTTTACTTTGACCAGTCTCAAGACCTTTTCTCTTGACAGGATTGGCGACTAAAACCCAAGTCCCTTTGTTCCTGAGTTTGCTTTGCTTTCACCCCTATTCCAGCAAAATTATCAAGTTCCTCTTTATAATGTGGTTTTTAATATCTTTATTTGACTTCTGAGATATGCTTTCTTTCCTTTAGGCCTTATTCGTCAAATATGTATTTAAAAAGATGTCTTATATATTTTCCAGCATTTTAAGCTGCTTTGAATTAGTTAGTCATGGTGCTAAAAATGGGAATTCCTTGCACTTGCTCTTTCTCCCTCAAAATGAACAAGGAAAAAAGTTTATGTGAAGACCAAAACTTACCATATAATATTATAAAATAAATGGAAACTAGCAACACATATAATCACTGCAACATTTTTGGACTTCTGTAAAAATAGCCCATTTTTCTACCACACTTTACACATCAACATATGTTGTTCAAATATTTGAAATGATGCAGTGATTTCATTTCTACTTTGTGAAACACATATTACAAGTTGCCCAATCATATACATTTATGCAGGTAGTTATTTTCTCAAGCAATAGACTAGCATATGCATGTGTACAAAAGCATGGACACTTAAATATTTGAACAACACTCACATTGTATTTTAATAAAATAAAAGTGATTTTTTCTCTTTTTCACTGTTGTATGATGGCAATTAAATATCAGTTGAACTCAACTTGTAAAATTCTCTCATCACACATTTGAATCAAACTTCATTAATAGATTGGCCCAAAAGAGTATCCTATAGGTGCAGGCAAACAAGGCCCAGATACCAGTCTATGTGTGGGCCCCCACTCCCTCCCACTTTTTGGAGAGATTTCTAGTAATTTTCTAAGACGCCCTGCCAAGGCTTCGACTGTTAGTACAGCAGTGCCTTCCAGGCAAAGTATGTAAGCATAAGCTCTTTCTCCAATCCTCCACCCACCTGTGGACTCAACTAGATGCTTGGAGAAGCCCTGGAAATTGGGCACCCATGTCACTTCCTGGAGGGTGGCCTCCCAACCCATCATTCTCTCAGCAGGTACCTAATTTCTTTCTCCAGATAAAGCACCAACAGAAAGGTGCTGAAACAGTGATTTGGAGAGAGTAACATAGTTCTGCAGACAAGTGACCCACACTAAAACATTTTCCCACATGCCTTATGGTACGGATGAGGAAGGAGTCCATAGATGTGCTATGAAAACATTCTCCCTCCTACTCCATCTCTCTAGTCTGCACTTTTGAGAGTAAATACCAATGAGCAACTTAACCACGGTCACTTATTCTTTTCATGAAAGTGATTCCAGTAAGATTCTCAAGGGATGAAAAATCTTAGAAGAGACACAGTAACTCTCCTGTCCACCTATTCTTAGGAGGGAATATTTACCTCCACTGTCCACTGTTGCTGTAAGAACTCGGGGAAAATAAAGCCCAGTTCCCTTAGCTTGCTATTGGTTCACAAGTGTGAAGGCAGAGCCCCAGAGCCCCCATGTGATCAGGTGCTGAGCCAAGTGCACTTGATGAAGGATGGTGGGAAAAGTGCCAATAAATCTGTGTCTTTTTCTTTTTCTTATAGTCCAAATGCCAAAACATGGTGAGAGAGAGGCCATTTTCACTGATTTCTGGCCCATTCAGAAATACTAGAAATCTCCGAAGAAGTAGTTTTAGGGAAATTTACAGTTCAATTTTGCTGACCCAGTAGGTTTAGATGAGAATTGAACTGTATTATTGGTTTGTGACATTTTTCTTTGTTTGGGGGGACAGAGGACTGATTGTGAAGGAGGCTCTGAAAACCCATCAAAATCTGTTCACAATGATGTATCAATGTGAAAATGTACTGTAAACAAAGACACTGGGGGGAAAAATCCTTCTCATTTTAAAATTTTTTATTTTTATGTTTCCTGGACTACTCCTGTCTGAGACTGAAAAGCAAATAGAGAAACATAGTGATTTAAGCACAATAGCAGTAGATACAAATCAATTGTTATCCAGTTTTACTTCATTATGAGTGGGATCTTTGGAGCTATTAATTCACTATTCACAACCTCATATAAATAAAGAAGAATGATAGAAACATGCATTTAATTATTTACTTTCTGCCTTGGGATTAGAGAAGTCTCTGCAGTGGTCTTACTACAGAATCATCCATCAGGCCTCTGAGGAAATGACAGAGAGCACAATATGGGTGACCTGGGGGCTTGTCATCTTATACTCTATGAAACAGGAAGAAAGATATGAGGGGTTCGGGAAGCCCATCCTCCATATTTCAGAAGACTTAAGAGTTGGAATCAGTTTCATCACCCCTCCTGCCCCCTCTGATAACCCCATTTTGTATTCTTCACGTGAGGCCTTGGAAAGAATGGCGGCCTGTCTGAGAAACTGACCAGCTGCCTTGGAGACACTGGGGCTGAGTTCTCCTGAAGCACATTGCCAAAATCTTGTTGATGTAGAAAGAAATTTGAAAGGTAAACTGCAAAAGGGAGAGAGAATGGGAGAAGGGGAGAAAGAGGGAATAGCAAATGGGCAGGGAGGGGTATCTATTTATTGTCTAATTGGCAGTTATTCAGATTTCTTTGTTAAAGCCCAAGGACACAATGCTATCATCTCAAATTAATAGGCTGAACCCAAAGCAACAGGGACAACAGCAAAAGTCGCAGACAACAGAGTGAACATCCCTCCATTTCAACTGAAGCTCAGCCAATTAGTGAAATCAGTCTCCCTCAGCTCTGTGCTTTGTTTTGAGCATTTGACACATTCTCATGTTTGAGTAAACAACAACAACAAAAAAAACCATGCAAACAATAACTGCAGGCATTGTTTTTGTTTCCTAGGGCTGCCATGACAAAGTACCACAACAGCACAAATATAACGAGTGACTTACACAACAATAATTTATTGGATCACAGTTCTAGGGGCTGGAAGTCCAAGATGAATGCGTTGACAGGTTCATTTTGAGGGTGGTGAGAAAAATCTGTTCCGTGCCTCTCCCCTAGCTTCTTATGGTTTGCTGGCACTCTTTATCATTCTTTGGCTATCGATCTATTGCCTATCTCTGCTTTCATCCTCATGTGGCATTCTTCCTATGGGTCTGTCTGTCTCTCTGTCCACATTTCTCCTATTATAAGAGCTCGGTCATGTTGGACCGGCAGCCATTCTAACCTCTTTTTAACTATATCATCTGCAAAGGCTCTATTTCCAAATAAAGTCATATTCACAGGTACTGGTGTTTAGGACTTTAACATTTTAATTTCAGGAAGTTTATAATTCATTCCACACCAGGCATGAATGTAATAAGTAATTTAAATATAGCCTTTAACCTTGAATAGTGAAACATAGATGGATGTGGGCAGCACTGCTGGCTCTCTACCTGACATTAGGTTAAGGTGTTCACTCCAAGGTCTAGGCTTAACAATAATGTAAATATAACTAGTTTTCAAATACTCGTCATGCCCACAATCCCTTAAGCTTTCAGGAAGCTATCAGACTTCATCCCCAATCCTTCAGCTATACTTCACCTTCCCGGCCTACTCATCACATTATAACTACTGTTGATTGAGTGCTAACCAAGTGCCTAGCCATGAGCTTCGTGTTTCACACTTACATAACATGTTATAATAATTACATGAGATAGAAACAGTTCTTATCTCCATTTTGCCAAATGGGAAACCTAGCTGAGAGGTTAGGTAACTTTCTCGGCCCTCATGGCTAGTATGAGACTGAATTCAGACTTAAGCCATGTTTGTCAGAATCTGAAACCTGTGCTCATAATTACTGTGCTAATATTACTGTGCTAATGTTTCCCTCCTATGACATTTTAAAAATTGTGTTAAAAAGTCATAAAATTACCATCTTAATCATTTTAAGTGTACAGTACAGGAGTGTTAAACTATATGTGCGTTGTTGCACAACAGATCTCCAGAAATTTTTCCCCTTGCAAAACTGAAACTCTATAGACATTGAACAACAACTACTGATTGTCCCCATTTCCCCCATCCCCTGGTGACCACATTCTATTACTGTTACTGTTACTGAGTCTGACTATTTTAGATACCTGGTATAGGTGTAATCATACAGTATTTGCCTTTTTACTTGTTTTTGTTGTTGTTGTTGTTTTGTTTTGTTTTGTTTTTGTGTTTCTAGACAGAGTCTCTATCGCCCAGGCCAGGCTGGAGTGCAGTGGCACGATCTCAGTTCACTGCAACCTCCGCCTCCCGGGTTTAAGAAATTCTCCTGCCTCAGCCTCCTGAGTAGCTGGTATTACAGGTGTGTGCCACCATGCCTGGCTCATTTTTGTATTTTTAGTAGAGATGGGGTTTCACCATGTTGGCCAGGCTGGTCTCAAACACACGACCTCAGGTGATCTGCCTGCCTCAGCCTCCCAAAGTACTGGGATTACATGGCGTGAGCCACTGTGCCCAGCCCAGTATTTGTCTTTTTGCGATTGGCTTAATTCACTTGGTCTAGCGTCCTCAAGGTTCATCCATGTTGCAGCGTAGGACAGGATCTCCTACCTTTTTAAGACAGAATGGTGTCCCGTCGTGTGAGTGTATCACATTTTCTTGGTCTGTTCATCTGTTGATAGACATTTGTATTGCTTCCATCTCTTGGTTATTGTGAATAATGCTGCAATAAGCATGGATGTGCAAACATCAAAAATAAACAAATATAGCCTTTTTTTTAAAAGAACAAAATAAAGTCATAAACTTGCATTTGAATTTGGAAAACTAAATTTGAATGTAGTTCTTGTGTTATAATTGAAGTAGGTCCTAGACATATTGAAAATGACTATCTTGTTTGATTTTGAACATTTGGGACATAATATAACATGTACCTAGTTCTGAGGATACCTATAAAGAGTGCCCCAGGTGGTATCACAGAACATAATTTGATAACTGAAATATCTCTTGCACATAAAGCAGCATTACAGCTTTTGCTAAAAATAAATAACTTTTAAAAATACGTTAAACAATTTGTGCTCTTTTTCTACTTTTATAAAATCAAGTTTGGTTCTGCCATTTCCTTTTCACCACTCCTTGCCTGACTTTCACTTTAACTGCTTTACACCTGAGATTTTTGCCTGAGATATAAATGGGCATATTCCCTACAAAAAGTTCTAGTCAGGAACAAAGAATAAACATTTCTCATTGAGCATAATTTGGTGAGGAAACAGGTGAGTGTACTTTTGGCATGATGCACAATTACAAACAGCTCTCTGATCTTGAAAATTATCCTTTGATTTCACTCATATTTATTACATGTGAAATATCTTAGGAAATGAATCACCATCACGTGATTAAAATTGTCTGTATATTTTAATTCCCAGAATTCCAGTGGGAGTAACACCCAGATCCTCTGTATGTAAAAAGGAATTGAAGAAAGGATTGGAGGTCTTAAAGGGTAATACAAATGGATTCAGAATTCTAAAACACTAGCAACACTAAAAATGATTTCAGAACACTACAGAGCCCTGGGCAAACATTTTTGCTGGGAGGTTACACACATACACACACGTGCACACGCGCACACACACACACACACTCCTTCCGATATTGCCCCAGTATCTGGATTTTAAGGTTAGGTAATACAAATATAAATTTGCCTCATGATGTATCATTCAGAAGAAACTGACTATCGCGATGTTCTCAGGTACCATGTAATTTACATCGAGAAGACTATGCTGTTGAGTTGAGCCTAGGCTAGCGTTATTTCATCCTGTTTCATTCCTGTTACAACATAAGTTTACAGAAGGTTAGAGTTGGAAAGAACCTAGAGATCACTTAGCCCTCCCCCCAACCACTCTTTAAAGATAAGGACACAGGTGAAGTGAATTGCCTAAGGTCATTTGTGCTTTGCAGAGCACCCTGATCTAGAATCTGGCTCACTGGGTTCCCACACCAATGTTCTTTTCCCCATATCACAGTTGGCTCAGTAATTTTTAGGTCTGTGTTTGGAAAAGCATCTCCCTTTTATTCCAGGTGCTTCAAATTTATATTCAGAGTCAGTTCCAGTGCCTCAAATGTGAGAGAATGTTGTTGACCATCCCTGGCTTATTTGAGTAATGTGTTTTTAGGGGTGGGAGGGAGAGAGAGAGAGAGAGGGAGAAGGAGAGGGAAAGAGAGGGAGAGAGAGAGAGAGAGGGAGAAGGAGAGGGAAAGAGAGAGAGAGAGAGAGACAGAGAGAAGAATCTTAGCAGTGAAGTACATTGTCAGTCATTTAGCTAAGACAAGGAATAGGAGAAAGACTAAGATAACTTTTCAGAGAGATCATCTGTTTATAATATGTGCTTATATGATCTGACAGTCTCACTTTCCAAAATTGTATTAATAAATCATCTATAGTACTGGCTGGAATAGTTAATACACTTCTTGTGCCTCAGCAGAGAGAAAAATGGCCCTGCTTTCCTTAGCTTTATGACACATTAAGCCTAAATAGAATTAATGATTGAGCTTTGGAATCATATTTACCATGGCGAGCTCCACTTGAAGGCCGGGAGAGCTACAGAAATACAGAAGAGACTTCTTATATTATTAAAAGTAGCTTTTTAGCAGCTCAGAGAACTTTTTCCAGTTGTTGAGGTAGCATTACTTGATGACATAAACTGTTTCAGTATGTCTCTGTATGTATGAATTTGCTATTTATGCATATCAAAGCTGTTAGGGAAATGTACATGCGTTTTTTTTTTTTAACTAGTGTTGGGTATTTTCATATTATTTAATATATTTAATGTGTTGAATCTTCCCAAGCCCTAAATACTCTTTGGAGAGAAAGAGAGATGGAGAAAGAAAGAGTGAGAGAAAAACAAAGAGAGACAGAGACAGAGAGAATGAATAGAAACACAATTCTTATTGTTCTTCAGGGACTAGCTAAAAGAAAGAAGAGGGAATCTTTACCTTGAAACTCAAATAATTTCTGATGTTTTGTAGTCCCTGGGACATTAGGAAGTAGATGAAAATGGCAAGAACAATGAAATATTTTAAAGGGTGAAAATAAATTAAAAATTTTCTCTTACTGTTAACGCTAGTTAATTATTGAAATGTTAAGCATATTATAATTAATGAATAATTGAATCATAATTTTAATAAAAGATGAGGATTTTAAAGTTAGAGCAAAACATGTTAATTTTATTGCAACAACGTTGGAACATGTCTCATTTCTAGGGTCTCACCACTGCAGCCATCATCAAAAGTGGTTATTACCAAGACTAGATTGCAGCTCCGGACAGAGCAGCTGGCAGGGACTCATATTGTGAATTGCAGCTCCAGCTCGACTGCAAGAACAAACCAGCAATCCCGAGAGGACCCACAGACCCTCTAAAGGAAGTGGACTGCTCCTGCAGGACCTGGGAGACACCCCAAATATTGTGAGTACCCCAACTGCAGAAGTAGGAAAAGGAGACCCTCCTCTCCCAAACGCACCCCCCCACTGTGGAGAACCTGAAGGTCTCTTAGCAGGAGAAGTTTCCGACTTTACCTGCTGAGTCAATTTCGAGAGCTGAGCAAAATACGGGGGTAGAGGAAGCAGCAGAAAGGCCGTGGGAGCTGGCTAGGTCCCCAAGCAGACCATTCCAGCCTGGCACCACAGGGATCTATCAGGAGAGGAGCAGGGAGTAAAACTCCAAAGGGAGAAGGAAATCTCTAGCTGAACTTTGTAACAGTTTGAACAGGGTGAGAAGCCTGCTGGCCAGAGCTTGGGGAAGGCTGCCAAGCCTGCGTGCAGACTGCACAGCTGGGGGAAGAACTAAGCCCTTTTCTTTTGCAGCTGGGAGGTGAGGTGGGTATCCTGGGGCAGATTTTCAAGCCCCTATCATTCTCCACCTGGAAATGGGCTGGGGGCTTTTGTAGGGGTCATGGTGGGAGCGAGACCGGCCCTTCGGTTTCCGTGGGAGCTGGGTGAGACCTGTGACTTCTGGCTTTCCCCTACTTCCCTGACAACCAGCATGACTCAGCAGAGGAAGCCATAATCCTCCTAGGTACACAACTCCAGTGACCTGAGACTATCACCCCCAACCCCAACAGCAGCCGCAGCAAGTCCCACCCAAGTAGAGTCTGAGCTCAGACACACCTAGCCCCTCCCCCACCTGAGGGTCCTTCCCTACTCATCCTGGTAGTGGAAGACAAATGGCATATAATCTTGGGAGTCCTAGGCCCCACCCACCACTTATTCCTCCCCATAGTACCACAGCTCATGCTCTCTGGAAAGTGCCACCTCCTGGCAGGAGGCCAACCGGCACAAAAACAGAGCATTAAACCACCAAAGCTAGGAACCTTCACAGAGTCCATTGTACCCACCCCACCACCTCCACTGGAACAGGCACTGGTATCCATGGCTGAGACCCATAGACAGTTCACATCACAGGACTCTGTGCAGACAACCCTCAGTATCAGCCCAAAGCTGGGTAGACTCGCTGGGTGGCTAGACCTAGAAGTGAGATAACAATCACTGCAGTTTGGCCACAGGAGGCCACATCCACAGGGAAAGGGGGAGAGTACTACATCAAGGGAATACCCCATGGGACAAAAGAATCTGAACAACAGCCTTCAGCCCTAGACCTTCCCTCTGACAGAGCCTACCCAAATGAGAAGGAAACAGAAAACCAGCCCTGGTAATATGAAAAAACAAGGCTCATCAATACTCCCAAAAAGTCACACTAATTCACCAGCAATGGATCCAAACCAAGAAGAAATTCCTGATTTACATGAAAAAGAATTCAGGAGGTTAGTTATTAAGCTAATCAGGGAAGGGCCAGAGAAAGGCAAAGCCCCATGCAAGGAAATCCAAAAAGTGATACAAGAAGTGAAGGAAGAAATATTCAAGAAAATGGATGGCTTAAAGAAAAAACAATAAAAATTCAGGAAACTTTGGACACAGTTTTAGAAATGCAAAATGCTCTGGAAAGTCTCAGCACTAGAATTGAACAAGTAGATGAAAGAAATTCAGAGCTCGAAGACAAGGTCTTCAAATTAACCCAATCTAACAAAGACAAAAAAGAATAAAATATGAACAAAGCCTCCAAGATTTCTGGGATTATGTTAAATGACCAAACCTAAGAATAATTGGTGTTCCTGAGTAAGAAGAGAATTCTAAAACATTAGAAAACAAATTTGGGAGAATAATTGAGGAGAATTTCTGCAGCCTCACTAGAGACCTAGACATCCAAATACAAGAAGCACAAAGAACACCTGGGAAATTCATTGCAAAAAAGATAATTGCCTAGGCATATTGTCATCAGGTTATCCAAAATTAAGTCAATGGAAAGAATCTTAAGAGCTGTGAGACAAAAGCACCAGGTAACCTATAAAGGAAAACCTAACAGGTTAACAGCAGATTTCTCGGCAGAAACCCTACAAGCTAGAAGAGACTGGGGCCCTATCTTCAGCCTTCTCAAATAAAACAATCATCAGCCAAGACTTTTGTATCCAGTGAAACTAAGCATCACATATGAAGGAAAAATACAGTCTTTTTCAGACAAACAAATGCTGAAAGAATTCACCATTACCAAGCCACCACTACAAGGACTGCTAAAAGGAGCTCTAAATCTTGAAACAAATCCTGGAAACACATCAAAATAGAACCTCTTTAAAGCACAAATCACACAGGACCTATAAAACAAAAATACAATGTAAAAAGCGAAAACAAAAAAACAAAACCCAAAATACACAGTCAATAAATAGCACAATGAATGCAAAGGCACCTCACATCTCAATACTAACATTCAATGTAAATGGTCTAAATGCTCCACTTAAAAGATACAGGACTGCAGAATGGATAAGAACTCACCAACCATCTATCTGCTGCCTTTAGAAGACTCACCTAGCACATAAGCACTCACATAAACTTAAAGTAAAGGGGTGGAAAAAGGCATTTCATGCAAATGGACACCAAAAGTGAGCAGAGGTAGCTATTCTTACATCAGACAAAACAAACTTTAAAGCAACAGCAGTTAAAAGAGACAAAGAAGGACATTATGTAATGGTAAAAGGCTTTGTCCAACAGGAAAATATCACAATCCTAAATATATATGCACCTATCACTGGAGCTCCCAAATTTGTAAAACAATTACTAATAGACTTAAGAAATGAGATAGACAGCAACATGATAATAATGGGGGACTTCAATACTCCACTGACAGCATTAGGTCATCAAGATAGGAAGTCAACAAAGAAACAATGGATTTAAACTATACCTTGTAACAAATGGATTTATATTTATATATATAGAACATTTCATCCAACAACCACAGAATACACATTCTATCCAAGAGCACATGGAACTTTCTCCAAAATAGACCATATGATAGACCATGAAACGAACCTCAATAAATTTAAGAAAATTGAAATTATATCGAGTACTCTATCAGACCACAGTAGAATAAAACTGAAACTCAACTCCAAAAGGAACCTTCAAAACTCTGTAAATACATGGAAATTAAATAACCTGCTCCTGAATGAGCATTGGGTCAAAAACAAAATCAAGATGAAAATTTAAAAATTATTCAAACTGAATGACAATAATGACACAACTTTTCAAAACCTCTGGGATACAGCAAAGGTGGTACTAAGAGGAACATTCATAGCCCTAAACCCCCACATCAAAAAAGACTGAAAGTGCACAAACTGACACTCTAAGATCACACCTCAAGAAACTAGAGAAACAAGAGCAAACCAAACCCAAACCCAGCAGAAGAAAGGAAATAACCAAGATCAGAGCAGAACTAAATAAGATTGAAACAAAAAAAATTACAAAAAATAAATGAAACAAAAAGCTGGTTCTTCAAAAAGTTAAATAAAATTGATAGACCTTTGGCAAGATTAACCA
Organism: Homo sapiens; assembly: GCF_000001405.40. Classification (NCBI taxonomy): domain Eukaryota; kingdom Metazoa; phylum Chordata; class Mammalia; order Primates; family Hominidae; genus Homo; species Homo sapiens. The sequence continues at coordinate 34,178,469 of NC_000008.11, forward strand.
AGAAAAGAAGAGAGAAAATCCAAATAACCTCACTAAGAAACGAAACAGGAGATATTGCAACTGACATCACTGAAATACAAAGATCATTCCAGGCTACTATGATCACCTTTACACACATAAACTAGAAAATCTAGAAGAGATGGACAAATTCCTGGAAAAATACAACCCTCCTAGCTTAAATCAGGAAGAATTAGATACCCTGAACAGACCAATAACAAGCATCAAGAATGAAATGGTAATTAAAAAATAACCAGGAAAAAAAGGCCAGGATCAGATGAATTCATAGAAGAATTCTACCAGACATTCAAAGAAGAATTGGTACCAATACTTTTGACACTATTCCACAAGATAGAGAAAGAGGGGACCCTTCCTAATTCATTCTATGAAGCCAGCATCACCCGAATACCAAAACCAGGGAAGGACATAACCAAAAAAGAAAACCACATACCGATATTCTTGATGAACATAGATGCTAAAATCCTTAACAAAATACTAGCTAACAGAATTTGACAACATATCAAAAAGATTATCCACCATGATCAAGTGGATTTCATACCAGGGATGCAGGGATTATTTAATATATGCAAGTCAGTAAATGTGTTACATCACATAAACAGAATTTTTAAAAAATCACATGATCATTTCAATAGATGCAGAAAAAGCATGAAACAAAATTCAGAATCCCTTTATGATTAAAACTCTCAGGAAAATCGGCATACAAGGGACATAGCTTAATGTAATAAAAGCCATCTATGACAATCCTACAGCCAACATAATACCGAATGGGGAAAAATTGAAAGTATTTCCTCTGAGAACTGGAATGAGACAAGGATGCCCACTCTCACCACTCCTCTTCAACATAATACTGGGGAGTCCTAGCCAGAGCAATCAGAGAAGAGAAAGAAATAAAGGGCGTCCAAATCAGCAAAAAGGAAGTCAAACTGTCACTGTTTGCTCACAATATGATCATTTGCTTTGAAAACCATAAGGATTCCTCCAGAAATATCCTAGAACTGATAAAAGTGTTCAGCAAGGTTTCCAGATAAAAGATTAATGTGCACAAATCAGTAGCTCTTCTATACACCAGCAGCAAACAAGCAGAGAATCAAATCAAGAACCCAACCCCTTTTACAATAGCTGCAAAAAATAAAATAAAATACTTAGCAATAAACCGAGGAGTCAAAAGACCTCTACAAGGGAAACTACAAAACACTGCTGAAAGAAATCATAGATGACATGAACAAATGGAAACACATCCCATGCTCATGGATGGGTAGAATCAATATTGTGAAAATGACCATGCAGCAAAAAGCAATCTACAAATTCACTGCAATCCCCATCAAAATATCACCATCATTTTTCACAGAATTAGAAAAAACAATTCTAAAATTCATATAACATCAAAAGAGAACCCGCATAGCCAAAGCAAGATTAAGCAAAAAGAATAAATCTGGAGGCATCGCACTACCCGATTTCAAACTACACTATAAGCCCATAGTCAGCAAAACAGCATTGTACTGGTACAAAAAGAGGTGCATAGACCAATGGAATGAATAGAGAACACAGAAATAAACCCAAATACTTACAGTCAACTGATCTTTGACAAAGCAAACAAAAACATAAAGTGGGGAAAGGACACTCTTTTCAACAAATAGTGCTAGGATAATTGGCGAGCCACATGTAGGAGAATGAAACTGGATCCTCATCTCTCACCTTATAGAAAAATCAGCTCAGGATGGATTAAGGACTTAAATCTAAGACCTGAATATAAAAATTCTAGAAGACAACATTGGAAATACCCTTCTAGACATTGGCTTAGGCAAGGCTTTCATGACCAAGAACCCAAAAGCAAATGCAATAAAAACAAAGATAAGTAGCTGGGACCTAAGTAAACTAAAGAGCTTTTGCACAGCAAAAGGAACAGTTAGCAGGGTAAACAGACAACCCACAAAGGGGGGAGAAAATCTTCACAATCTATACATCTGACAAAGGACTAATATTCAGAATCTGCAATGAACTCAAACAGTAAGAAAAAAACAATCCCTTCCAAAAGTGGGCTAAGGACATGAATAGACAATTCTCAAAAGAAGATATACAAATGGCCAACAAACATGAAAAATGGCTCACCATCACTAATGATCAGGGAAATGCAAGTCAAAGCCACAATGGGATACCACCTCACTCATGCAAGAATGGCCATAATAAAAAAAATCAAAAAACAGTAGATGTTGGCGTGGATGCAATGAACAGGGAACACTTCTACACTGCTGGTGGGAATGTATACTAGTACAGCCACTATGGAAAACAGCATAGAGATTCCTTAAATAACTAAAAGAAGAACTACCATTTGATCCCACTACTGGGTATCTACCCAGAGGAAAAGAAGTCATTCTTAGAAAAAGATACTTGCACATACATGTTTGTAGCAGCACAATTCACAATTGCGAAATCATGGAACCAACCCAAATGCCCATCAGTCAATGAGTGGATAAAGAAACTGGTATATATACATGATGGAATACCACACAGCCATAAAAAGGAATGAGTTAACACCATTTGCAGTGACCTGGATGTGCTTGGAGACTATTATTCTAAGTGAAGTAACTCAAGAATGGAAAACCAAACGTCGTATGTTCTCACTGATATGTGGGAGTTAAGCTACAAGGATGCAGTCTTAAAAATTATACAATGGACTTTGGGGACTTGGGGGGAAGAGTGAAGGGGGGTGAGGGATAAAGCACTACAAATAGGGTGCAGTGTATACTGCTCGGGTGATGGGTGCACCAAAATCTCACAAATCACCACTAAAGAATTCATGTAACCAAATACAACCTGTACCCCAATAACTTATGGAAAGAAAAGATAGGTAAGAGCAAGATATTGAAGACCTGTCATCCACAGAGATAGTATTTTGTTGGAGAGGGAAATATAAAGTAGTAACAGACAAAAGAAAAAAAAAGCGTTGGAACATGTCTTTCTTCCCTTTGGTGAGCATTATACTAAAAAAAAAGTCATTTCTGTCATCAGAATATATTTTCCTTTGTTTTAAAATTCTAGCATGATAAAGGTAGATTAAAAGATTATTTCATCCATTCCTCTGGCTATAGAACATACTACACCCAGAGTCGATTTTTAAAGAAACCTCATGCATCCTCTTCCTCTCAGGATATGCATTATTTACAAAGATATGTGCATATTATTTTTTTTAAAGTTAATTGATATTTATCCTGTAAAAATAAGTGAACTTTTTAATCTAACATTATGAGTCTCCATGGCCAGCGTGTGCACTATGGAAACATATATTTTACTAAATCATTCAATATTTCAGAAGTGTAAAGATTTTATGTTACTCTTTAAAAATTTGTGATATCTTATAGATTGTCAAAATAAAAAAAAGGAGGGATATTGGTAGGAGGTAAAATAAAATATTTTACCATTTATCAAATAATGAGTAAAGGCATTCTCTTAAAAAAAAAAAAAACAAAAACCAATAGAGAAGCAGGAAAGAATTGGCCTTTTTGGGGACCCAATTTATATTCCTCTCCCTAGACATGAGTGATAATATATTATTTACCTTTTCGTATGAAAAATTTCTCCTGTTCCCCTCTGTATATCAATTCCAGCAGCCTGGACATTCAAAGGAGCAGGGGATGGAATCTGTGGAGAAGTTAAAGCTCCTGAGATCGATTACTTGAGTAAATAGTTGTAGAGCCTTGTTCGAGACAGACGCCTGGCTAACTTAGGTAAATACTGTAATCCATTTAAACCAGAAACTAGAATTCCAAAACATTTGTATTCATTAAAATTTCTGGCAGTTCAGCAAGTGTGAGTAGAATCCTTGAACATCATCTTAAAGCCCCAAGCTTAACATGAATCCTACTGTGGTCTTTGCCAGGCACTTCTTAACTATTACCTTTTCCAGGTAGAGAAAGAAAGGAGAGATATCATTTTTTTTTTCAGGGTAAAACAACAACAACAAATACAACATCTTTGCCTTCTTTTTTATATACTGAAGTATTTATCTAATATCCTAGATTAACTAGATATTTTGGCCAGTGGCACATAGGGAATGAACTCAACCTTCATTTCACCATCCAGTCTTTACCCAGTGCTATAAATGCCTTTGCTGAGTTAATTAATCCCTTAGAGATTTCTTCTCAAGTCAGGTTTTTGTCCCTTGTTTCTAAGAAGCCAAATTGCTGGTGACGTGCTAAGCTCTTGCAGTCCTTAAGTTATCACTTGAGAGCAATGATACATGGTAAATTAATCAATTTAGGACATAATAATCAAGTAGAAGTATGAGAGGGAAAAAAGATACAAAATTGTGATTTATTACCTTTGAATTTTTTTCTGCCACCTGGATCTCAAGATAGCAATTGAGTTTGTTTTTCTATCCAAGGAGCCTAAAATACGCGGCTTGCAAATCTTTGTCAAACACTAGGGTGAGTGATGTAGCTGACATTAGTTGATGGGTTGGGTAGGAGGCTGGCAGGGTTAGTGCATTAGGAGGCTGATGAAGAGAAGTGAGTGGGAGAGAAAAGCTGAAAGATACCTTTTCTTCTAAAGACTAAGAACCTACTGTACACAAGATTTAGCGTATTTCCAGACACTATTTCTCTAAGTAGACAACCAATTGTGTACGAGATGTTTATTTATGCAAAATTAAATAATACAGATATGCAAAAGGAAAGTTATGTGCGTGGAGTGCTAATGATATGTTTCTAATGATAGAATACACACGTATAGGATATGTATTAGGGTTCCCCAGAGAAACAAAACCAATTGACTATGTTTCCCTAGAGAAACAGACCCAATATGATTCCGAAGAGACACAGAACAATAGGAGACAGGAAGAGAGAGAAAAAGTTTCATTGATTAGTTGATTGATTGATTTGAGGAATTGGCTTATGTGATTGTGGGGATGGCAAGTCTGAAATCTACAGGGCCGACCAGCAGGCTGGACACCTGGGGAAGAGTTGCTATTGCAGCTTCAGCCTGCAGACAGTCTAGAGGCGAATTCCTTCTTTCTTGGGGAACCTCATCTCTTTCTCTTAAGCCCTTCAACTTATTGGATGAGGCCCACCTACACTGTGGAGAGTAATCTACTCAAAGTCTACTGATTTAAATGTTAATCACATCTAAAAATAAAATACCTTCACAGAAACATCTAGATTAACATTTGACCAAAAACTGGGTACTATGTGCTAGCCAAATTGACACATAAATTCACCATCACAGGATAATAATATTAAGCTATTATTAGTTGAAAGCACATGTTGTACACTGCTGAATATGGTGCACTGAGTCAGAGTCCTGGGTTTGGAGGCAAGAGATCTGGGTACTTGTCCTCTATCTGCTAGGCAAGTAACCTAAGATATTTCCAATTTTTTAAATTGTGAAACATGGTGCATCTTGGTAATAGAATATGAGACAGGCAACCCAAGGAAGAGAAAAGGTTTTCTCAATATTGACCCTGAAGTACCCATGGAACACGGAGGCGAAGTCCTGCAGACAGTTGAATGCGTGTATACATCTAGAGCTCACAGAGAAACTGGCTGGTGAAAGTGAGGTTTGAGAGTCATTCACATATAGATGGCAACTGAGGCCCTGTGAATGACCAGAAGGGAGGTCTAGAATGATAATGGAAGTAGTCCAAGGAAACAAGAGGAAGTAGAGGTAGAAGTATCAATGCAGCATACCAAGAAAGAATAGTCAGGGTGTAGAATGAGAATCAGGATAAAGTGGTGTTATGGTGGTCAAGGCTTAGGGAAGTTTAAGATGTTCAATAACATCAGATAGCAAAAGGAAGCTGTAGAGACTAGGTCTGAAAGCATTCCATTGGATTTAACAATTAGTTGAACATTTAGTGAATTTTGCTAGTACAGTTTAAATAATGGCTAACATTCGTGTAATTCTCGATGAGTTTCTATGCTGTGCTGTTCTTTGTATGGATTCTTTCTTTTAATATTTCCTATAACCTGTGAGACTGGTATTAATATCACTGTCTTTATTTTATAGATCTATAAACTCAATTTTAGGAAGTCAAGTATCTTCCCGAAAGTCACACAAGTAAAGATGGACTTGGGTCTCTAATCCATTTGTTTGACTTCAAAACATGTTATCTCCATTCCACTACCTCTTCTGTTCAGTGGAATGAAAGAGGTTAAAACAGTTCACAGGGTCCATGGAGTGAATGAAAAATGAAAATGGGAAGATAAAATACAGATTATAGTTTTCAAGGATTGGAGCTGGAAGGAGTTGCCTGTTTGAGAGCTGTGTTAAGGTCTGAGAAACATGTGCATGTTGTGCACTGCAAGAAAGGAATCAAGAGGAAGGAGAGGATGGAGATATAGAAGATGAAAATCAGCCAGAGTAACAAGGCTCCAGGAAAGCCACATGGCTATGTGCATCCCTTAGAGAAACAAATTGGAAAAAGGGTAAGTGACACCTCTTTTCCTTAGACTAAAAATAATTAAATGTGGGGAGAAGATATAGCAACATTTAAAATGGTGGTAGAAGGTGAGTGAGTTGGTTAGAATAAGCTGAGAGAAATGAATGCTTCAGATTGTTCTGGAGAAGGTCAAACAGTAAATGTTGTTGCACAATAATTAGGAACTTGGGCTTGGACCACCCCTCCCCTAAGTACCAGCTCCACTCTGCTGCTCCCCAGTGCATCCTGTAGCTGACTGGCTGTCCTTGAGGACTCAGGCTGTATGTGCCCTCTGCAGCAAAGCTTTCCTGACCACCTTCTTTGGAGGCTTCCTTTTATTCTGTATTTAATGACATCACAATTTGCCAACATTTTAATCCTTATTTACCTTTTTCCCTCACTGTAACAAAATCTCCATGAGGGTACCTCTATCTTTCTCATGGGTGTGTTTCTTACTCCTAATGTAGTGCTTCTCTTCTTAGCACTTAGTAGGTCCTGAACAACTTTGCATTGAATGAAAAAAAAAAAAAAAGCCTGAATGCCACTCTCTATTACTCAATAGCTATCTGACCTTGGGCAAGATGATTTAACTTCTCAGGCCTTTGTTTTATCATTTGCATAATGAAGAGACTTATATCCTATCAAGGTGTCTTACAAGCATAAAAGATGCTAAACATAAAGGTCTCAATTTTATTCTGGTTGAAAATATGTCCAATAGGTATCAGCTATTATTATTTTGTTGAGTGTGAGAGTGCAAAGGCTGGAAGGGTTGTTAAAAAATGGAGTTTAAGACATCAGAGGGGACTCCTCAAAATAATAACAGAATCCAGACTGAGATCTTTCCCTCTTAGACTGATGGACTGGTACCCACTTATAAAGTTGTTTGGCAATGAAGACAAAGGGAAGGGACACAGAAAATGAAAATGGATCTTGAGAATACAGACATCTGGTTCCAAGGAAAGGGAGTAGAAGGGGATTCAGACCAAGTGCATTTCCTTTCAAACAAGTGCTTTCATCTGAACTGTTCTGCTGAAATAGAAAAGTCACTGTCAATAGCACATCTCATTACAGCCTAGCTTGATGCAGCTTAATACCAAGCAATATGCTCCATTAATTAAATTTAAGGCACTAAGGCTGGAATCTGGAAGCTGTAACCTGAGTCACTTCTCCCCAGGTAAACATGAATGTGTTTTTCTATAAATTGCTTTGAGGTGCTCTGAGATTTCTTTAATCTAATCACCAGACATGATAGCCAATGCCTTATTTGATGGGGCCATGTGGCACGTCTTTTCCCTTCTTTCATTACATTTCCCCCCAGATAATAAGGCTCCACAGGCTCTGGATTAAAAAAAAATATTACTGCTATCACAAGGGAGGAGGTGAAGAAGAGTTTGTTTTTTTATGTGCTTTCTGTGGTTCAGCAAGAGCTAGAGGTTCTCTATTGGCTGAACACGCTAAGAGGTGGAAGGTGAAAATTCAACTGATTCAGAGTTTGGTAGATTTGTTCAGACTAGACATCTCAAAGGCTTTTAATTACTTGGGAACACGTCTGCATGATATTAATGACTAAACCACAAGTAGCCCTCAGAGGGATCCTGAAATCCATCCAGAATTATTTATTAACATCTAAACTAGACTCCACTTAGATCTAGAGATAGTGATAAGGCCCTGCATAATGTAATTTTATCGCAACTTACACATATATTTGTATTTAGAAGCTACGTATTCTTCATTCATCCTTGACTAGCACAGAAACATCAAAGCTGTCATCATTATATTTGTCAAGAATAGTTGTTTTTTATTTCTCTTTAGTTATTAATAGTGCATAGGCAAAGAGGTCTTTGGGCTCCTTCTAGATGTTTTATTTCTTTTTTCTTGTTTCCACAGCATGAAAATTTATCAAAGCTACCTCTCTAATCTATTGTTCTTTGCCTTGAATGCTCTTTGTCAGATGCTTATCTTTGATGTTTTAAGCCTTTAAAAACACTCTTTTAATCTCCCTTTATCGCATTGCTCTGTATCTAGCTACAAGCTCTCCTAATATCACCCTCTCCTTTTTGTTTACATCCAAGTCTGAATGTGCAGATAAAAGATGGTTGGGACACAGTGAACGTTTTCCCTGCACCTCCTGTGAAACACACATTGGACATAGACGTGGTCCACTGGCTCCTCAAAGATTTTTTTTTTTAGAGGAATGATTTTCCAGTTCTAATCTCAAAGCTATAAAATCTGATTTTCTGATCCTACATTTATCCTGTACTCCTCCCTATGTTTCATAGCGAGAGATAGCATGCCTGATTTCCACTAAATTCAGCTGATGTCCACCACACACTTCAGCTGCTGGGTTTCCAAGTAACAGTGGTGTTTTTGTGTCATGGGATATTAGAAGAGGGGCCCAGGAGTGTTGACTCACAACTGTAATCCCAGTGCTTTGGGAAGCTGAGGTAGGAGGATTGCTTGAGGCTAAGAGTTTGAAACCAGCTTGGGCAACAAAGGGAAACTTCGTCTCTGAAAAAATAAAATAAAATAAAAAGTAGAAGAGGCAGATGGGTGCTTTCTTACACCACCATGTTTCCTCTAAGACTCTTTGGCCAACCAGCCAAGACTGATGTAGAAACCAAAATTTTGTATCCACATTTCTTTGCTATATACTACTTTGCTATTCCCTGCTCAATTTTACCATATATACCATTTTGATGTCCATACCAAGTCTTAGCCATTTCAATGTGTTCCATTCTTTCTATCTTACATTTACTCACATGTATTCCAACATGCTACAACCAGTGGTTCCCAAAATTGGCTGCACGTTGGAATCACTTAGGAAACTTTAAAAGGTCTTCAGTGCCTGGCTTCTCACCCCAGGCCAATTAAATTAGAATCTCAGGGGTGGGGGCATAGACATCAATATTCTATAAAATCTCACCAGATGATTATAATATGCAGCTAGGGTAGAAAACCATTTTTAGCTCATGGTTTCCTAGATGCTGTGAGTTTCTGCCCAACTTACTATTAGGCAATGCTTGCAAAGCCCTTTTACTTTCTCTGAAGTTCAGTTCTGAACTCTCAGATGCTTTCTCTAAAGGTTGATCCTGACAGTCTTATTATCTGAGATAATGTGCCCTCACATCCAATTCTTCCAGGAATCACACCACATAGATGCCGTCCTCTAGTGTTCACTTCCAGAAACTCAGGAACTGGGCTAAGTAACATAGTAACAGCTATCTAATTTTATTAAGGAAAGCCAATTGTTAGAAAGGTAGTGGGGGCAAAGAGCAGAGAGGCAGTCCACCTACCTAGAAGTGGGGTTGTAGAAAAGTAATATTTCCTTTAGATTGTCCATCCAGCCATTGACTAGCCCAAGTTTAGCAGGTTCAAGACAAAACGACATCTTATCTCTTTGGTCAATAATTGTGCCTTAACCACAGGCTGCCCTGCACAAGTAGTTTTGGGTTCATTCTCTGCCTGTCTACTACACTGGAATGTATATATTTAGAGAAGATGCTTGGCCACAGCTCCTGTCATGTTGTGGAACTAGATGGCTTCAGGATGCAGTCCTCTCTATGCAAATAGTATTCACCTAGTGTCTTGCTTGGAATATAAATTAAAGCATCACTCCACAATAAACTGTAGGTGTTTGGTGATCAATACAGAACTCTAATTTTCTCAAGTTAATGCCTTTTAATGACAGGTTCCCAATGCTTGCTGTAGATGGTTACATGCAAGATTATAAATCATGGAGATGTCTTAGCTTTGAATTACTAATCTTTGCTCCCCCCTGCATTGCATAATTGATAATGACTATATTGACAACGCCAAGAGGGCTCCTGGGATGGATCTGTGCAGTGGAAGGAAAAGCATCACCACTGTGCAGAAATGACATGCTGTGTATTCTAATGAGTGGATTCCTTAACCTCTAGTTGTATCCTTGAGTTTTCCAGAGTTTTCTTTCTCCTGAAAGCTTACTGGTGGTCAGAAAGTGACTGTATAAATATGTGATCGTCTTACCATGGATATTTGTTTCCTGTGAGTCTTCAAGACATTTTTGGTGACTTTTACTGATGAAAAAATACATTTTATCTCCCCTTTGGGTCCACAGGTTCAACAAAGTTACATGAGAGAGAACTGTAGTGTATTCTTCCCAGCAGATCAGCATTCTTTATGGATTTACTCTTTTTCATAGCAAATAGAAGGCAAAAAGAGGGGTAAACAAGACAATTTTGAGGAGAGAAGATGCCCAGAGACTAAAGTGACTAAATTTTAAAAATTTTAAATTGACTAATTTTTAAAAATGCTTGTCTTTCTTGAAATAGAGATTTTATTCATTTAAAAAGCAATTTTTCCCCCTATGAGTTTGGCTGGCTTTGTCTGACAAAGAGGATAAATAAAAATTATTTTACAGTTTTAACAGAAGTCAGACCTAGAGGGAGTAATCGGTGTGTATGTGACTACTTTGTGAAGTCTGTCGACAGTACAGTTTATTCTCTGTGCAGTTGAACCATTCCCTCTGTGGGAACTGGCTTTTCATATCTTCACTGTAAATACAAACAAGTTATTAACTCCCTAATTGACCTTTGTTGTTTTCAGCTTTTCTTTCATTGTATACATGGCGGGGCTCTCTATCCACACAACCCACAGGAGGGCACCTGCTTAGGCCAAAGAATGCTTTAAAACAGGCTACTGTCACTCACCCAGAAGGGCGATGCCTTCATAATAATCAACTATATGTCCCTTTACCCTCCCTGCATCCCTGCAACCTAAAGGAATAAATGATGGATAATTTCTTCAAAATGATTTTCACCATCATCCCAGGAGCCCATTTGACAACTCATTTGCTGCAAAATCCTTCTCTCTATTCCCCTCTTCTTTTCCTTTTGCTGCACATGCTGTCACTGGGCCACACGTCTTGCTGTGATATGGAACAGCCAGGAGTAGAATCTTGGCCACTGGAGGCCTGATGCTTTGCTTTTGTTTCATGTTTAAAAACTTGCCTCATGTTACTGAGTCTTTTTCCTCTATATGTACAGTGGTGATAATAAAACACTCCCTGACTTATCAGTCATATGTGAAAGAGCCTTGAAAGGTGTAAAGTATAATGTAAATCTATGCTGTCATTAATATTCTTGAAGGGTACATGGTCCCAGATAAATACACAGGAGTTTGTGAGCAAGATGTATCCTTGGGTTTTCTTAACAGTTTCTTGCCCTTGAACATTAAACCTGATATTCATTTGGAGTCTCTCCATTCTCTAACTCGCTTTAAATGTTTTATATTTACTGTATAGTTGGCAACTTATGGAGTGATTTCCTGGTCCCTAATTGTCATTATTTACTACCCCAAATGGCATTCTATCATCGTATGTTGCCTTACCCTGAAATCACTTCATGAGAGTTCAGATTATTTTCTCAACCACGTGACACCTGCCCACACCCTTTATAACAGTGCAATGTAACAGAGTATGTCCCTGATAGATACTGAAGGAACTAACAGCTCCATGTATTCACTGCACTTCATGTAATGGTAAAAATAAGGTTTATTATGTACATTTCTAGTTAAGCCTCAGAGGAAGAATAGATGTGCTGATGTAGTAAGAATTAAACACATCCCAGATGAGAGTGGTTTGGACAAATCCCATTGGTACAATTAGCATCTGCTAAAAAATGCACATTTTGTAATTCCTGACAGAGAAAATAAGTCATGTTTTAGTCTGAATCCTTGGTCTGGTATCTATGGCAAGAATGTGTATTGCATTTTTAGACATAATTTCCTATTTCAACTAATCTACATTTGTGCCACTGAGGATTTTTAAAAATTTAAATAAATATTATGGAATTAATGCTTTCATTTTAATGAATACATCAGTCTTCTAATGTTCATGCATGCCATATATTGGAATACATTCAAGCTATGGTGAGATCACTGCTAAATCATTTCCAGTTGAATAATCAACTTATGGAAAGAAGATTGACTTGAGGTCACTTGGGGAAAAAATGTCCCTTCATTTTGTAGATGAATTGAAACACTTAGGCTGATAACATAATGGGAAAAACTAATTTGACACCATCTATTAGAGAATGGCTTTGGTTGCATGTCTTTTAAATGCCCCTGTTTTATACATATGAGATACTTGACTTTTCTTTATTAAACCCTGTTTCTTTCTATGTATATACTGATCAATAATATGTGTTCCTCAATTTGATAGACACCATGGTCCTTCCACCTTTAAGAAATTTCTCTGAAAAAAGATTAAAAAATATATTTCTTCAAAATATAACTGAATTTAGATATCAGTGTCTAAAAACAGAATAGAGGTTTTTGACTTGATTTTGTATTGATAAACCCTGCCTATGTACTACTTTCCACCACTTGTCTCCTTCCAATGTTGGAGCCAATTCTTTCTGGTCTTCCGAAACAGCCTTCTGGCTGGGTGTGGTGGCTCACACCTGTAATCCCAGCACTTTAGGAGGCTGAGGTGGGTGGATCACTTGAGGTACGGGGTTCGAGACTAGCCTGGCCAAGATGGTGACACCCATCTCTACTAAAAATATAAAAATTAGCCAGGCGTGGTGGTGTGCACCTGTTGTCCCAGCTACTTGGGAGACTGAGGCAGGAGAATTTCTTGAACCTGGGAGGTGGAGATTGCAGTGAGCTGAGATCATGCCACTGCACTCCAGCCTGGGTGACAGCATGAGACTGTCTCAAAAAAAAAAAAAAAAAAAAGAAAGAAAAAGAAAACAGCTCTCTCTACTCAGTGCCAGGCCATTGTCATATTGCTAGTTTAGCCTGACTTGTGGCCCATTTTAAATTATTAGATATTTTTTGCATTGCCAAGATTTCCTCCCCTCTCCTCCCCTCCGCTCCCCTCCCCCTCTCCTCCTCTCCCCTCCCCCTCTCCTCCCCTCCCCTCCCCTTCCTTCCCCTCCCTCCGTCCGTCCGTCCCTTCCTTCTTTCCTTCCTTCCTTCCTTCCTTCCTTCCTTCCTTCCTTCCTTCCTTCCTTCCTTCCTTCCTTCCTTCCAGCATTAAAACAGACAGACCCACTTGCCTCCAGTCAACACTTGGCTATTTTACTATTGCTTCAGCTGCCTTTATTCTACAGTCACAAAGTAAGCATCTTCAACTCGCACATACTTTCCAAGTTCATTTCTGCCTCCACCGTCCTCTTCATGTTGAATCGTTACTTACTAGACTTTTCCCTTTTCATGGGGGGTGTTTTTTTCTTGTAAATTTGTTTAATTTCCTTGTAGATTCTGGATATTAGACCTTTGTCAGATGGGTAGATTGCAAAAATTTTCTCCCATTCTGTAGGTTGCCTGTTCACTCTGATGATAGTTTCTCTTGCCTTGCAGAAGCTCTTTATTTTAATTACATCCCATTTGTCAATTTTGGCTTTTGTTGCAGTTGCTTTTGGCATTTTTGTCATGAGGTCTTTGTCCATGCCTATGTCCTGAATGGCATTAAGTGTTCTTCTAGGGTTTTTATGGTTTTGGGTTTATATTTGAGTATATCATCCACCTTGGGTTAATTTTTGTATAAGGTGTAAGAAAGGGGTCCAGTTTCAGTTTTCTGCATATGGCTAGCCAGTTCTCCCAGAACCAATTACTGAATAGGAGATCCTTTCCTCATTGCTTGTTTTTGTCAGGTTTGTCGATGATGATCAGATGGTTGTAGATATGTGGTGTTATTTCTGAGGTCTCTATTCCTCCATTGGTCTATATGTGTTTTGGTATGAGTACCGTGCTGTTTTGGTTAGTGTAGCCTTGTAGTGTAGTTTGAAGTCAAGTAGTGTGATGCCTCTAGCTTTGTTCTTTTTGCTTAGGATTGTTTTGGCTATATGGGCTCTTTGATTCCATATGAAATTAAAATAGGTTATTCTAATTCTGTGAAGAATGTCAATGGTAGTTTGATGGAATAGCATTGAATCTATAAATTACCTTGGGCAGTATGGCCTTTTTCATGATATTGATTATTCCTATCCATGAGGATGGAATGTTTTTCCATTTGTTTGCATTCTCTTATTTCCTTGAGCAGTTGTTTGTAGTTCTCCTTGAAGAGTTCTTTCACATCCCTTGTTAGCTGTGTTCCTAGGTATTTTATTCTCTGTGTAGTGATAGTGAATGGGAGTTCATTCATGATTTGACTCTCTGCTTGTCTATTGCTGGTGTAAATTAATGCTTGTGATTTTTGCACATACATTTTGTATCCTGGGATTTTTCTGAAGTTGCTTGTCAGTTTAAGGAATTTGGGGCCTGAGATGATGGGGTTTTCTAAATATAAAATCATGTCGTCTGCAAACAAAGACAATTTGAATTCCTCTGTTCCTATTTGAATACCCTTTATTTCTTTCTCTTGTCTGATTGCCCTGGCCAGAACTTCCAATACTATGTTGAATAGGAGTGGTTACAGAGGGCATCTTTGTCTTGTGCCGGTTTTCAAAGGGAATGCTTCCAGGTTTTGCCCATTCAGTATGATATTGGCTGTGGGTTTGTCATAAATAGCTCTTATTATTTTGAGATATGTTTCATCATTACCTAGTTTATTGAGAGTTTTTAACATGACGGGATGTTGAATTTTATCAAAGGCCTTTTCTGCATCTATTGAGTTAATCATGTGGTTTTTGTCTTTCGTTCTGTTTATGTGATGGATTACGCTTATTGATTTACATATGTTGAACCAGCCTTGCATCTCAGGGATGAAGCCGACTTGATCATGGTAGATAAGTTTTTTGATGGCTGCTGGATTCAGCTTGCCAGTATTTTATTGAGGATTTTCATATCGATGTTTATCAGGGATATTGGCCTAAAGTTTTATCTTATTGTAACTGGTTGATTTATTATACCCTGATTATACTTCCTTTCCATATTTCTCAACAGAATCCTAACTCATCTCTGAACACTAAAGCACTTCAGGTATGGCAACAGTTCCATCATTTTTATGGAGACCTTTTTCAGAGACTGCTCTCCTTGCTCTCTGCTAGACTCATGCTCAAGCCTGACTGACCACAGCTCTCATTCTTAGACTTTACCTCTCTTCTTTCTTGGATTCTCTATTTACCAAATCATCTTTTTTCTTCATTTACTCCCTTTTTTTTTTAGCAACACACATTCACCAGGTTCTTGAAGAAAGGAGAAAGGGAGATTTTTTTTAAACCTTACATATATGAATTTGTTTTGTTGTGCCTTCATGTTTGACAGTTTAGTAGCATTTGCTAGCATAGTTTTAAAGCCATTTGAAGAAATTGTTACATCATCTTCTAGATTTGAGTGATGTTTCTGAGAAGTCCAATGCCATTACGTCTCCTGATGCTTTTTATGTTATTTGATTTATTTCTTTTCTGGAAGTCTTCTGGATTTTTTTTCTTTTTCTTTTCTTTCTGAAATTGTGTTTTGATGTGACTGAGGTCATTTATTATGCTGGAACCTTAGTAAACCCTGTTAATCTGGAAAATAATATTGTTGGCTTTTAAAAATTGTTTCTGAATTATTGTACCACAGATTTAGTTCCCGGGACAGTGGACTGTGACACAGAGATTAAAATGCAGAAGGCATGGATCTCCTGGATTGATACTTGAATTTTTTTTGTATATATTTGTAGGTCTGAAGGACTAGTGGGCTTCATTGTAGGAAACTGTGTGAGGACCCAACTGCTTCATTGAGGGACCATCAGTGGTCAGTATTTATGTCTTTGTTGGGTGCTGTTGAGTTTTTCCAGAAAAGACTATTCTAACCACTTACTTGAGCATATTGGTTTAACAAAGGGTGTTCTTGCAATGGAGTGAAATTAAGAAGGTTGAGGCATTGGATTAAACAGTAACTTTCCAGAATGGTACCTCTCCCCCACTTTTCCTCTGTGCCAGGTGTGCTCAAATCTGGATGCTCTTGAATTCAATTTCCATGAAATGAACTGCTGGGAAGAGGCCAATATGTAAACACTTCCCTCAAGGACTTTCAGTTTTCTGTTTGTGCCACACCTGGCCTTCCTTGGTTTCTAGTATCAAAATGTATGAGCCTTTCCAAGTTCTTGCTGCACGATGCAGGTTGCTTCTCCTTGTATCACCCACGTTCCAATAGTTTGTGGATAACTCTGTTCCCTGATAGCTTCCTTTCTTTCTCTTTGTGCTTATGGGTTCAACTTTACTCTAATTTGAATGCAATTTCTGGAACCAGCACAGAAAAAATTGCTTATGTAGTCACTTCTCCATGCTTATCCAGAAGTTCTTTCCATTTGAAACATAAAATCTTAAGGAGGTCAGAGAAGAAAAGGATTATTTTTGGCTTAAGGGTATGTGTAGGTCAAGGCAGCTTTATACAATAATAAAGATATTTCCTTTCAGAGTGTATAAAAGACTGGGCATATGGTTTGAAAATTATCAATATAGTCTGTTTAATGGGTAACAGTACTGAAAGTGTTGTTTAATTTCTTCTGGCAAGACTGATTATTGATTTTTTTTGATACTGTCTGGAAAAGGCTATTTTTGTGCTGTTGATTCTTACTGAATTTAAAAAAAGAAAATATATGATGACCAGGGTTAGATTAGGCTTTCTTTTCTTCTCTATTTTCTCTGTCCCAAGCAGAATTAAAGTATTGAGGGGGAAATGTGCTTAACAAACAGTACTTGTTCTTGCCATTGATGCTATCATTAATCTAATAGGGCTGCTCGAAGTTCTGTGGCTGTTCCATTTAGTAATGTCAAAATAACCTTGTTAAAGAAAAATGCTTAACTTGACCTTTAAAACCCTTGTCCTTTTCTTTCTTATTTATTATTATGTATGTCTTTTAAGATAAAGTAAATAAAAGTTTTCTTTAAAAAAAACTCTATTTATTTACTCATTCGGTTTTTTAGAGAAACTCTTCAAGGTATTGACTTCACCAGTATGAGATGTCAGGAAATGCAATTGTCGTATATCTATAATTACACATTATTAAGTAAATTGAAAATATTATTTGGTGGGGGAGGTAACACTTTGGTTGTCTTCAAAATGCTTTTGATTGTTTTATTTTTTAAAAGCAGAATCTCGCTTTTTTTTTTTTTTTTTTTTAAATTGAGTCTCACTCTTGTCGCCCAGGCTAGAGTGCAGTGGTGCGATCTTGGTTCACTGCAACCTCCGCCTCCCAGGTTCCAGCAATTCTTCTGCCTCAGCCTCCAGAATAGCTGGGATTACAGACATGTGCCACCACCTAGCTAATTTTTGTATTTTTAGTAGAGACAGGGTTTCACCATGTGAACCAGGCTGGTCTCAAACTCCTGACCTCAGGTGATCCACCCACCTTGACCTCCCAAACTGCTGGGATTACAGGCATGAGCCACCATGCTGGCTGAATCTGGCATTTTAATAATTATAAATGTGGCCTAATTATTTATTTTCAGCATTTATACAAAGTACCAACATTATGACCTCTTGCCTACTGATTGACAGATATTTCTTGAAAACTCAAGAAAATGACAGATGAGAAGACAAAGGTACAACTTGGCTTCTATCCCCCAACATTCAATTGGATACGGCCCCTTCAAAAATCAATGGTGGCTTCCTAATTGACAAATCTGAAAGCATTTCCTTAGCTTTAATTCTCCATGGAATCTATGTTAGTAAGTGACTGAGAGAGCTCTTCCTTGGAAGTTTCATTGCACCAGTTTATCCTGGATCCCTGTTAGCCATTTAACTATTCTTTGTGTGTGTTTGTGTGTGTGTGTTCTGCTTGATTATCACAGTGTTTCCTTGACATATGCACACCTAACATGGGTCTCCTCATCTTTTTCCTCCTTTAAACCAAATCTCTTGGCATTTTCTTATTGGTGTGCATTTGTCATGTAGGCTTGACACCTCATTCATCTTTGACTTGTCTTCATCTCCTTCCATTTTAAGCATGGTACTGTTGACTTCTCCCTCATGTTTTTCTTATATCCAAGTCTTTCCATTGTATTATCACTGCTATTTTCCTTCATTCCTTCATTCTTTTCTTCCCTAAACATTTATTCAGCATCTTTTATTCTAGGTCTTGTGCAATAAATAAACTACCCAAACAACTAACCAACTGTTGCAGAAGTTTGCTCCTTAGTTCAGCTAAAACTGGGTTCTTGTCACATGAGGAGGAAAGATTAGGCAAGTGGATACATTGAAGGGTGAGGAGAGCAGAATTTATCGGGTGTAAAGGAAAAAAGAAAGAAAAACAATCAGCAAAGCGAGAGGGAGTCCTGCTATCAGGCCCCCACCTCACAAATTGAATACTAAGCCATCGCACAGGAACTGAAAATGCCAGGCTCCTCCTTCCTGCACAAGGTGTAAGCTTCCCCTGGTTTCACCCCATTCTCCCAGTGCCCAGGTGGGCCCCCAGTCCATTGTGAACATGTGCAGACAAGACCCTGGGCAGGTTCCCTCCTCTGCATAAAAGCCTCTGATGTGGGGTGGGTCGAAGATTCTTCAGGGGTCCTCCCTCTTACCTGCCTCCTGCATCTATCACAATCTATCAATTACTCAGTCAATGAATACTTAACAAGTGCCCCGCTCTAGGGGCCCATCATTGAACTGAAGAAATAGTCAAATAATTAATTTATATCATAAATCATCAATAACTCAAATTATATGTAGAGAAATCTCTGTGTGATTTTAAGAAGATTCTGAGGTTGAATGGCCTCTGCCATCTGGGGTCAGTTTACCTCCTCACCTTGCCCCCTACTCTTCTGCATAAACCATCCATTATAGACAGGTAGAAATATTAAAACCCGTTTAGCACATCTTATGTCTTGAGTTTCCCACATCTGAGCTTTGCATCTGTGGCGACTTATTTGCCTGAGAAACCATTTTTCTCCTGTCTGCTAATTTGAATAGTATGAGGACGGCCTCTTCCTCCAAGGAGCCTCTTCAGATTGCCCCAGGGCTCAATGGTTTCCTTTTATTTTGAATTTTCTAACTTACCTATGGATCACACACCTGGCTTCTGTGAATAATTGGGGTTTTAGTCTAAATAATTCCTCTGCAAGGAAGCTTCCCTTGACTAATCTATCTAGGACAAGTTGTCTCCCAACCTATTTGCTACCACGTTATCCTGTTTCAACCACAGCACCTGCTACACTCTAACACTTCCATGTTCACAGTTATCTCCCCAGTTCACCTCCCTGCTGGAGAATGTCACCTCTAAGAGGAAGGGGAAATTGTGTTAGTGATGTTGTCTGCATATGTAGTAAAAATTGATACTCAGTACATATTTACTGAAAAAAGTAAATGAACAATAACACTTAGTGGCTGTATCTCCTTAGGCACCATTTTTATCACTTTGTGTACACTTACTAATTTAATATTCACAAAAACCCTATGATGTATATTGTACTATGGACATCATTTACAGCTGTGATAACTAAATTGCACAGCCACAGTCATCCAAACCCAAAGAAACCCAATGAGAAGCCTGACTCCAGAGCACAGAAGCTGCATTTATTTTAAGTTATCTTTTACCCAAAGCCTCAGATAAGTCTTAAAATATTGACATATACTCTCTCTTAACTCTAGAGTAAGTTGTCTGAAGATAGGAAACTGAGTCTTATAATTATTTTTTGTCTCCTATGGTGTTTAGAATAGTCTTGGAAATGGACAAGATTTAACAGTAAGTGTGATGTCACAAATTTAACCTAGCAACACCCCACAGAGCTATCCAAATGGGATATAACTACATTAAGAAAAGGAAAAAAATTTTCAAATCTTAGAGATAGGAAAGAAATGGAAAGAGACACTATGTTTTCTCCTAATGAGGCCTTTCCCCTCTTTCCAAATATACAGGCATCCTCAGGAATTAAAACAAGGAAACATTAATGTTTTACATCTTTTATAAAACATGAATTTATATGTCATTAACCTTGAAGTACTGATGTCGTGGGAAGTGGGGAGTAACTGATGGTTTATGTCAGTGTTATGACATCTTTTCCAGGAATATCATAAGATCAGTTTTCTTAAATAATTTAGATGTTTCCGTTTACATCTCCAACCAGGAAAAACTGTAACTCTGATGAACGATTTTCTTTACCAGACCAGACACTTCATTTCCTGCCATGACAAATTTGAATTAGCATCCAAACTGTCCCTAGAGGCAAAAAATACATATAGTAAGGCACCAAATCAATGCCATTTTGAAATGTGATTGTAACATGTTAGAAAAATATCTTGTATTAATTTTTGCAGTTTGGCCTGATATTACTATTAAAACTTTCCTCATTTGAAAAAAATCAAATCAATATTTCAGGATCTGTGAAATTGAAGTTTAAAATAAATAAAGCAATTCGACTGAAGATCAGTTGATGTACTCAAAAACAACAAAACAAATTTTGACAGTAATTTTGGGATCAAATTTGTTAATGTTATTATGAACTTACAAGCAGCATGAGTCAAAGGACAGCATTTGTTTCTGTGAATTTCACCTGTGCAATCATACCGTCTCTGCAAAGTCACTCTAGCATTCAACATCAGTTGATGTTTCAAATGGGACCATGAAAAGTCCAAGCCGTGGCTGGTGTGTAATAGAACAGGCTAAGAAAACGTCGTTCAGGATCAACACTGCATCTATCACCATCTTCCATCTTTCTCTACTTCACCAGCCTCTCCATTTTTACTTGTATAATGCTTTATTGGTAGCCCAGTTTGTTCCATCAAAACCCCTAACTCATGCTACAAACACTTCCTGCCATAGTATCCACTCCTTTTTTTTTTGCTATCCGTACTCACGAAGCCCATATCAGTAAAATGCTGTTCTATAACTGTCATTTCTGTCCTACAACAAATCTCACTGCAGCAGACTGTTCTGTGGCTGCAGATGCTATTAATGTTTTCCCTGCTATGTCAATTGATTTCAAGGCTGCATCCCTATCAAGCCATGTGCGTGCTCTTTCAAATGGTACGTAAGCCAGACTGAAGGGAAGGATATAGAAGTGTCGGACAGTCTCACATCATCTCCACACAACTTGTCATTGCTGGATAAATTCTTCCCATGTGGATCTTTTGGTAACCATCTTCCCAGCTTGCTAGTTAGCCTTCCTCTTTCCCCTTATGTGAAAGTTTTCAACTGACCTGAGGAAACCATCTGGCTGTCTTGCAGCCGCTAGGGGTGTCATGTTCATTTTCAAAATAAAAAGTAAAATAGGAAAGTAGGCACTTTCTCTCTTTTAATTCTGAAGATAGCTCATCATCGATATACTGATAGATTCCCCTGAAACTTTTAAACTTTAATTTAAGGAAATCTGCTCATGGTTTTTCATCATTGGTTGTCAATTCTCTTGACTGCTTACCCCCTACCCATCATGCCAACATGTCCTTTGCTTTCATGTCGAGTACAAAACACATGCCATTGCTTGAGTGCCCACAGAGGTTGGCTGTGTAACAGTGATTACAGACATGCTATGAGAATGGACATTACTCAAAGAGAGTGAGCTAAGTAAGAAGAAAATAAGGAGAATACTAGCATGTATGGGGCGGGCCAAAGGTGACCATGTGCAGTGCATTGTGGCATCCAGACTGCTCTGATTTGCTGAAATAGGGTCATCTGTTCTTTTGATATTTTGTGCTTGCTCCTGTTCTGCAGCTTTTTTTTTTTTTTTAATTATTATACTTTAAGTTCTAGGGTACGTGTGCACAACATGCAGGTTTGTTACATATGTATCCATGTGCCATGTTGGTGTGCCGCACCCATTAACTCGTCACTTACATTAGGTATATCTCCTAATGCTATCCCTCCCCCTCCCCCTACCCCACGACAGGCCCCGGTGTGTGATGTTCCCCTTCCTGTGTCCAAGTGTTCTCATTGTTCAATTCCCACCTATGAGTGAGAACATGCAGTGTTTGGTTTTCTGTCCTTACGATAGTTTGCTGAGAATGATGGTTTCCAGCTTCATCCATGTCCCTACAAAGGACATGAACTCATCCTTTTTTATGGCTGCATAGTATTCCATGGTGTATATGTGCCACATTTTCTTGCAGCTTTTCAATACTGACTTTTCCCCATTGGCCCAGGCTTGTGGTTTGTGTGACATTCAAGGAGGTAGAGAATGACTCTGACTGTGTTCTTCCAATAGGAATGCAGTTGTTTCCATGGAGGATTCAAATAAACTCTACTTGGGACTTTGTATACCCTAGAACACACCCAACTGTTTCACCTCAAAAGATCTTGTTTCCTTTAAGATAATGTGAAAATCACACAACCTCTACATGAGGGGCTTTGAAACCTGGCCCCAAAGTACATTGTGACATTTGCTATTTGCTCTTTCAATGCCCATCTACTCCTATAACTTTGCTTTGGTCATTCCTTGTCCTAGACATACCATGTTCTTTGACACCTCTAAGTCTGAATTTGTGCTGTTTCCCTACTTTAAATAGCATTCATACTAGTTATGATGAGCTATTTATTCATTTGTTTTTCTACCACAAATCTTGCATTGTACTTTGAATAGACCTAATGATCACACGCTGCATTGAATTTCACACATTTCTCCTCTACTAGCCTGGGGGCCCCTCTAAGTCAAGAACAATCTGTGTCCACATCTAAGTACAGTCATGCACTGCTTAAAGACAGGAATATGTTCTGAGAAATGTATCATTAGGCCATTTCATCGTTGTGCAAACATCTTAGAGTGTACTTACACAAATTTAGATGGTGCAGCCTACTGCACATCTAGGCTATATGATATAGCCTATTGCTCCTAGGCTGCAAACCCGTACAGCATGTCACTGTACTGAACATCGTAGGCAACTGTAGTACAATGATAGGTACTGTAGATCTAAACATAGAAAAGGCCTAGTAAAAATATAGTATAAAAGATTTTTTAAAATGATGCATCTGTATAGGGCACTTACCATGAATTTAGCATGCAGAACTAGAAGTGGTTCTGAATGAGTCAGTGAGTAGTGAGTGAATGTGAAGGCCTAGGACATTACTGTGCATGACTGTAGGCCTTATCAACACTGCACATTTAGACTATACTAAATTTGTAAAATTTATACAAAATTATTTCTTCAATAACAAATTCACCTCAACATACTGTAACATTTTTATTTTATGAACTTTTTATTTTTTAAACTTTTTGACTTTTTGTACCAAAATTTAGTTTAAAACAGAAACATTATACGGCTCTATGAAAATATTTTCTTACTTTATATCCTGATTCTGTAAGTTTTTTCTATTTTTATTTTTTTACTTTTTAAACTTTTTTCTTAAAAACTAAGACATAAACACACACATTAGCCTAGGCCTACACGGGGTGAGGATCACTATCTTCCACCTCCATATCTTGTCCCACTGGGAGGTCTTCAGGGGCAGTAACATGCTTAGAGTGGTCATCTCCTAGGATAACAATGCCTTCTTCTGGATACCTCTTGAAGGACCTGCCTGAAGCCGTTTCACAGTTAACTTAAAAAAAAAAAGTACAGAGTACACTCTAAAATCACAATAAAAAGTATGGCATAGTAAATATATGAGCCAGTAATAGTCATTTATTATCATCATCAAGTAGTCTCTGCTGCACATAATTGTATGTGCTAGACTTTTTTTTTTTTTTTTGAGACAGAGTTTAGTTATTGTTGTCCAGGCTGGAGTGCAGTGGTGCAATCTTGGCTCACTGCAGTCTCTACCTCCTGGGTTCAAGCAATTCTCCTGCCTCAGCCTCCTGAGTAGCTGGGATTACAGGCGCACGCCACCATGCACGGCTAATTTTTGTATTTTTAGGAGAGATGGGGTTTTACCATGTTGGTTAGGCTGGTCTCAAACTCCTGATCTTGTGATCCTCCCACCTCGGCCTCCCAAAGTGTTGGGATTACAGATGTGAGTCAACGCACCCAGCCCATATGTGCTAGACTTTTAAGAGACTGCCAGTGCAGTAGGTTTGCTTACACTAGCTTCACCACAAACACATGAGTAATGTGCTGTGTTATGATGTGACAGCTACAAAGTCAGTAGGCAATGGGAGATTTTCAGCTTCATTATAATCTTGCAGGACTACCATTATATATGTGGTTCATTGTTTACTGAAACATCATTATATGGCACGTGACTGTACTTCATGCCTGGCAAAGTACTTGGCAGGTAAAATGTCTAACTGAAACCAAACACTTTAGGGAGAAAAGAAAATACTTTTTACGTGAAGGGTTTCATGGACTGCATCTACCTGCTTCTTTTTCTATCTCCTCATGTTCATTCTTAGCATACAAACCAAGAATAGATTTTGGAGTCCCTTTTTTATAGAAAAATACCTGTCCTTAAGTGAAAAGAGAATATACTGTAAAGGAAAGTAGCAGTGCAGACCACAATCTAGAAATAGAGCTGATATTTGGAAATCAAGAAGAAACATGGACCTTAAAAACTAAAGCAAGGGCCAGGTGCAGTGGCTCATGCCTTGTAATCCCAGCACTTTGGGAGGTTGAGGCGGGTAGATCATTTGAGGTTGGGGCTCAAGACCAGCCTGGTCAACATGGTAAAACCCAGTCTCTACTAAAAATACAAAAATTAGCTGGGCATGGTGGCATGTGCCTGTGGTCCCAGCTACTCGGGAGGCTGAGGCAGGAGAATTGCTTGAACCGGGAGGCGGAGGTTGCAGTGAGCCTAGATTGTGCCATTGCACTCCAGCCTGGGCAACAAAAGTGAAACTCTGTCTCTCAAAACAAACAAAGAAAAAAACCGAAGCAAAATGGATCACGAAGGTTTAGTTCTAGTGTATGCAGCAGGTGGCTAATGTTCCCCTTTCCCTACGGCCCAATGTACCACATTTCCTGTCCTAATAAGCATTTCTGTTTTTACTTTGAACTTTTCGTAAAAATCGCAGAAACATCCCTCTTTGGCAAGCACCAATGGCAAAGATACTTTGGAGGAAAATAAAATTTTGCAAGTGATGCTGGGTGGCTCTAGATGCCACCAACCAAGGCTGTTATTATTCTCTGCTTTATTCTTGCAATGTGGGCTCAACTTTTCTCCTGATGTCTCTGACCACAGCTGGGCAGAGTGTAGATGCTTGAAGAAGAGGTGGTGGGAGGATGATGTATATGGGGAAGTGGACTCAGAAGACTTCTCCCGCAGTCCACGAGTAGGAGGGGTGAGGCGGTGGCACACGTGGAGTGGCAGTAATTGGGTACCACTCCACTTCATTACTCTCTTTGCGATGATCCTGCTGTCACCCAGGCAGGGACAGATGGAGCTATCAAGTGAGAAAGACATCACAGACCCAAAGGAAGAATGGTTTGCCACCTGTCCAGTAAGAGGTGAAATGGGGCATCTATGCATATTTTTTGAATTGGAGATACACCCTTAAAATGAGAGGATTACTGTCTCATTAACAGTCATCTAAAATACCCAAGTTAATTTGACCCACTGGAGCTAAATGAATACATTCTTGTAAAGGGCATGAAGAGATACGGGGATTAGAATAAAACAATATATGTGGCAACAAGTGGAAAATACAGCTCTGTTATCTTATTCCTTCTCCTGTTATGTGCCTGTGAGATTATAACCCAGGTACTCATTCAGACTGAACTATTGAGTAGGACTTAGTGCTGCTACTCTGCTACTCTGCCTCTTTTTACTAATTCTAGTACTATTCATAATGTTATCTCTGCTGCTTGACCCTTCTGAACCTGTCAAATACGTTATCTCACAATGCATATTAATCTGAGACATGTGGTTGAAAGAAAGAGCTGATAAGTCCATCTTCAAGAAGTGATAAGTATAAAGCATTTCTACTGAATGGGTATTGTGTTAAACATCTGCAGTATCACCAGAACCTGGGGATATTTAATTAAAAACGCACACACACAAGATAATAAGGAGGGAAGGGCGACTCCCCTTGTATGGGGGTTTCTAATTCCTGATAGTAGGTTTCTTTTGCTGTATTGCTGCTAATTAAATATTCCATAGAAAGTCTTGCATTGATCTTGAAAGGTACAGTTAAACACATTTTAAAATTTATGTATGGCTTTGTGTGTATGTGAGTGTATGTTTAATAAGCTTAAATAGTTTAGGCATTAAAGCAGTCATAAATACAACACTAGAGCTAGTTCAGTTCCTCGGAAAGCAAGGTTATACTGGGGAGAAAAACTTGTTTTGAGATAAGAAGAAAGAAAATAAAAAATATAAAAAAAAGCATTATGAAAACGGTGTTATGAAGCTAAACTGGGAAGCTTAAATAATCATTCCTGAACAAAGGAATCTGCATCACAAGAAGCCTGCCAGAAGTTGAGTGCTCATTTGAAGAGAATTCTTAAAGGCTATTTCTGCCAAGGAAAGTTAGGTTGAAAGATGACACGTTTTCTTTCCCCCTTTACAGGCTATAATTTACACTTTGAGGACTATTTTCCTTTTTCACCTCTACGGTGGATTTACTAGCTCTAGTTGTTGAAGAAGCACAAAGATTTGGCCAACTGAGAGAGGGGATGCACCTTGAGAAATTTTAGTATCCTTGGGTTCCACGAGATTGTCAAGGCTTTCATCTCCTCTCTGTTAGCTGTAGCTGAAAACCCCTTTTGCTCTTTTCAAAGGTCAGGGTCGGTAGATATTTTTGTAAGGGGCACATTTGAACTAAAGAGGTGAGCAATTGCACTGACAGCAAGAAGCTTCTGCAAAAGAGTTGGTAAGAAAGAAAGGAAAGGTCATTGTTCTGGAATTTTTCCTCAAGGTGCAGATTCAGAGCAAAGGGATAGAGACCCAGACTGAGGACAGGACCACAAAATAGGTGATTCCGGCAATGGGTCTCTTCACTTGCTTGAGCAATGTGGGGAAAGACTATTGCCAAGGGAGAAGGGATACGATGAAAAGAAATGTAGAAGCCAGGTCAAATGATTCCTTCTCTCGCTCTATTCACTGTTAGCTCATTTTCTTGTTCTTAGGGTCTCCGAATCCTCCATATGAGGATAATATTAAATGCGTGTACCAAGAAAAATGACAACACCCCAAATTCATTAAAAAAACATGAAAACACTGTAGTCTAGAAAAAGTCCTAATGCAATCTGTAGCATTGACCTCCACGAAGATACCCTTTTAATCTTAAACCTACAAAATCACAGATTTCATTTTTCTCCTTGTTACTTTTTCTGAAATTGAAGTACAATGCTACTGGGTAAACAATGTCTTGGACTGGGTACAATGGCTCATGTGTATAATCCCAGTATTTTGGGAGATTGAGGCAGGAGGATTGCTTGAGGCCAGGAGTTCAAGGCCAACCTGGCCAACATAGCAAGACCCCATCTCTACAAACAATAAGAAAAAGTTAGCTGGGTGTGGTAGCACACGATGGTAGTCCTAGCTATTCAGGAGGCAGAAGCAGGAGGATTGCTTGAACCCGAGATTCTGAGGCTGCAGTGAGCTATGATCACACTGCTGCACTCTACTCCAGCCTGGACCACAACCTGTGTCTCAGAAAACAAGTGAAAAACAAACAAAAAACAATGTCTTGATTTTCACTGTAGGAGTAGTCATGCTTTCTATGTATAGTGTTAAGTAAATCAAAAGAGGACATACACTTTTTCACTCTTGCTTGTTTTTAAATTAAAAAGAAAATCTCATCTCACCATAGAAGATACAGAGAGGGCAAATAAGCATAGGAAAAGATGCACTATGTCTTACATCTTCAGGTGAATGCAAACTAAAACAGCAATGAGATGCCACTACACACACACCTATTAGAATGACCAAAATCCAGGACACTGACAATACCAAATGCTGGTTAGGATGTAAACTAATAGGAACTTTCTTTCATTTCTAGTGGGAATGTGAAATGGCGAAGGCACTTTGGAAGACAGTTTGGCATAGTTTCTTAAAAATCTAAGCCTATTCTTACCATATGATCCAGTAATCACACTCCTTGGTATTTACCCAAAGGAGTTGAAAATTATTTCTACACAATAACATGAACATGGATGTTTAAGCAGCTTTACTTGTAATTGCTGAAACTTAGAAGCAACCAAGATGCTCCTCAGTATGTGAATAAACAAACTGTGGTACACTGAGACAATGAAATATTATTTAGCACTAAAACAAAATGAGGCATCAAGCCATGAAAGACATGGAGGAACCTTAACTGCATCTCACTAAGTGAAGAGAAACAATCAGAAACAGCTACATACTGTGTGATTCCAAGTATAAGACATCTGAAAAGGGTAAAACTATGTAGACAGTAAAAAGATAAGTGGTTGTCAAGGGTTGGGGGGAGTGGAAGAGGGAGGGATGAATAGGCAGAGTGCAGAGGATTTTTAGGGCAGTGAAAATACTCCGTATAGTACTATAATAATGGTAGATACTTGCCATTACACATTTGTCCAAATTCATAGAATGTACAATACCGAGAGTGAACCTTAATGTAAATTATAAACTTTGGGTGATTAAGATGTGTCAATATAGATTGATCAGTTATATCAAATGTACCACTCTAGTAGGAAATATTGATGGCTAGGGAAGCTATGCATGTATAAAGACAGGGGTATATGGGAAATCTCTGTATCTTGATCAAAATTTTCTTGTAAACCTAAAACTGCTCTAAAAAGTAAAACTTTTTTTTTTTAAAGAAAATTACACAGCTATCTGTTTTGGAAAATAAATTTTGGAAAAATGTATAAAAGCAGTAAATAGATAAAAGACAACTTTAATAAAGAGCATAAAAACATATTGATGACATATTTTGCCTTCTTATTACACGTAACTTAGAATATGATGTAATGAAATATGTTTACCTGAGAATATAGGCATTTAAGTGTTTGTGTCACTGTTTTGTTTCCTCAAGGTTACCCTCTTGACTAAAACTGGCTATAATTTTCTAATTTGCTGTTAGCCTTGTCTATGCATTTCAAGATTCTCCACTTATTTTGCCTACATTCAAGAATCTGTTGCTTTTCTTCTGTGATAGGCTTTTCTTTTACATTAATCTTAACACTAACAAGAAGGCCTGATATATCCTAAACATTTTCTTGTTCTTTAGCATTTTTTTAAAATACTCTATTGAAGGAAAATAAAGTAACTGTTGGTAGAAACTGTGATTAGAACAAAGACTCATAGGAGATTTTGATTTAGGTTGTTTTATTCTTTTTTTCCCCAAAGAACTTTAAACTTTTTTCCTTGAGAATGTTTGTTCTGCATTTGTATATAATTTATAGATGTGTTAAAAACTGCATTTACCTTCAAGAATTTATAGTCTGGAACAAATTTCTTGGTTTACAATAGAATTGATTCTTTCTTAAAATTACATTATTGCGAGGTCTTTTAAAAAGTAAATTGCCTGTGCTTTATTTGCACATGTTGATTTGTCAAAATAAAAATACGTAGTCATTTCTTCAGAGTCTTAATGATAAATCCTAGAGGTGATGAACAGAATATAGTGAAATTAAAATAAAAATCTGAGAAATCTAGACAATTAAGAGAAATTGAGAGTTTGAAGAGCAGAGCAGCTATTGATTGATAATAATTAGATACATATTTATATTAACTTGTTATTTTAAAGGATCAGTTTGCTCCTTGTAGCAAAACTTGGAAGAAAAGTAGTCAGATTTTATATATGTTTCTTTCAATTAATGATTTTCCTTCATATAGGACAGATTTATTTAGTTACTGCTACTTCTGTTTCATGATTATACTGATTGACTTTTTCTACCAGGTAAATAAATATTTCACAAAAGACTTTTTTCTATTTGCCCCTCTCTCCTTTATGTATGTTTCACTTGATGGATTTTGTCCTTATAAATTACTTTCTTTTTCCCAGTTAAAAAAATTGTTTCACAACTTTGAAATAAAAAGCAATACACAAAACACAAGAACTACCAAAAACATTGAACAAAATTTAAAATGTGTTTTTAACATTTTGCTTTCTTAAGATCTAGAAAGTTAGTTCCGGAAGATGTAAGGGATTTGTTTTTTTGTTTGTTTGTTTTAATTTGTTTTTTCTTTTTAATTTTTATTTTTAGTTCTGGAGTATATGTGCAGGATGTTCAGGTTTGTTACATAGGTAAACATGTGTCCTGGTGGTTTGCTGCACCTATCAATCTATCACCTAGGTATTAAGCCCAGCATGAATTAACTATTTTTCTTAATGCTCTCCCTCCCCCAACCTCATCCCCTTACAGGCCCCAGTGTGTCTTGGAGAGTATGTGTTGTTTACCTCCCTGTGTTCATGTATTCTCATTGGGCAGCTCCCACTTACAAGTGAGAACATGCAGTGTTTGGTTTTCTGTTCCTGCATTAGTTTGCTGAGGATAATGGCTTCCAGTTTCATCTATGTTCCTGCAAAGGACCTGATCTTATTCCTTTTGATGGCTGCATAGTATTCCATGATGTATATGTACCACATTTTCTTTATCCAGTCTATCATTGATGGGCATTTGTGTTGATTCCATGTCTTTGCTATTGTGAATGCTGCAGTGAACATACACATGCATGTATCTTTGTAATAGAATGACTTATATTCCTTTGGGTACATACCCAGTAATGGGATTGCTGGGTCAAATGGTATTTCTGGTTCTAGCTCTTTGAGGAATCGCCACACCATCTTCTACAATGGTTGAATTAATGAGAATTAGCCTTTAGAAAAATGCTTATTTTTATAGCAGTCTTAATCTAATCCTTAGGTACATTTACTTTCATCTACTTCTCCTTTATCACAAGAAAATTTGTTAATCAGGCATTTACCCATTGGAGAATATTGGTAAGCATCTGGTTGGCATAGAAAAAGTCTATTGTTGGAAGTCTGTAGTTTCTTGGTTTGCATTTTAAGTGGTTCTCATGAACGTTTACTTATATTTGCTATAAATCCTTCCTTATTAACTACATCATGTTAGCCATCCAGTGGTAATCAATTTCTATCACTCTAAGCCCTGAATCTAGATCCATGAATTACCATTTTACTTCCTCAGCACTGATGAAGTCCACTAGTTTCCACATCATTTAAGCATCAAGATGATAAAGTCTATTTATAAGCATTGAGTCCAAGAATGAATATTATGTAAATGTAGAGAATCATTATTCTATCCTAAACTGAGGAGCATCCCAGATCAATGCTATGATACATTGTTGAATTTATTGTTCTAGTCCTAATGGCACACACATTATATTGTCAATTTCAAGTTACTGGGCAACTTGTGCCAAAATGCCTCCATTCATCATATTGACAGTAATTTTAATCAAATTAACTATCCTTAAAAAAAAGCCCTGCTTCATTTGAGTTATATTGCTTTTCTGCCTACGGGGAACATTTACACAATTAACAAAAGCAGATCAAATGCTAATAAAGAAAACAAATGAAGATTTATTCATAATCCTCCAAAGAATTGTAATAATTTAATTAAGGTGTATGCTACTTTTGGAAGAAAAGTGATAAGATGGAAAAAAAATCCTTTGTGAGAAGGTAAAAGGAGGGGCAAAATAGCTTGTTTAAGAATTCTTCAGCTTTTGTAATTTTTATTGATTTCATCTCAAAGAACAATAGGCAAAAATCCATTGAAGATAGACGTTAGCACTTGGGGAGAAGAAAAAAAGGGTGGATCAATCAAAATCTGCAGCTTGCCAAATATTTGAAAGATATAGAGACAGCCAGGAGGGAGAACAACAGTCTGGGGTGGTCCAAGGGAATAAAATAAATACTTAATGGGATGAAGTAAGAAGCAAAAGAAAATTCAAACTGATAATCAAGTAATGTTTTCTGGCAGTCACAGATTATTCATTCCTAAGCAATGTTAGACTTCCCATGGAGATGTTTTTCTTTAGAGTTTTATTCTCAGTCATTAAAAGAGAAACAAAGCTCCCTAAACTGTGATGTGAATGAAACATCAATGTTTGTGAAGATTGTTGGATCAGCTAAATGTAGTGAGGCATTTTGGGGGCAAGAATCCCAATGAAGTAATAGCCTTCAAACCTAGAGTAGACTTTGAGATTCAACTCCTAATTAATAAATCAGGTACAGAGAGTATTGCAGAGTAATTTAGAAAGTCACAGTCATTCTTTAAAGTCATCAAAGTGGTAATTCAGTCCTTCAAATTTATATATTATTGAGAAGGAGTTATGTCCACCATGGCATGAGAAGATTCTAGGGGTCATGGACCCATTCCTCGTCCAGGTGAAGGTTAAGTATAATCTGTATGGCAACTGTAAGATTGATATGTGCGATATAGGTATATTATTAAGGGGTAAAGCATCTAGGATTGACTATAAGGGGAAATCAATGAAAGCTGAATTCTTCAGGGGAGCCAATATGGAGTTGGGCTAGGAACAACTGACAAATTCAAATGTGTAAAAGAGATAGGAAGCTATACGTGAAGAGAAATCTATTGGAAGTCACTAAGGCAATGGCAACTATTTGCTCATTTCACAATACTGTGAAATTTATAAAGTCTGCATGTTCAACTCCCTAAAACTTATAGGAAGAGTTTCATAGGATTGCTTATAGGAAGAGAATTTTACACAAAGAGAATGTAGAACATTGTTTTTTTTCTTAAAAAATAAACAAAGCTATTGTATATTCATGGAAATGCCTATATATAAAGGAAGCAGTACGTACAATAGAGTAAGGACTGAATTGAAACTTTTAAGACATGGATGCTCAACACAATTCTGCTATTAACTAGCATCAAGCTTTTGGTAAGAATCTTCACGCCTATGGACGGACCTCAGTTTAGCCATTTGTAATGAATGAATGAATAGAAGAAAGTAGGTAAATAAGTAACATTTCCTAATTTCTTCAATGCTCCTTTTCTCTTCTACATTTCTAAAATTCTCTGAAGTATTTAGAAAAACAGTGTAGAACTACCCATGGCCTAAAAATTTTGAGTATGGGAAAGCTCATTGCACACTGATGTTGATATGAGAACACATGGAAGATACCCAGTTCAAGTGAATGGTGAAAGGAACTCCAACCAAGAAATTGATATCCTTCTTCATTACCTCCTTTCCCTTATCAGTTTTCCTTCCAGGAGCATGGTGGGTTGGGTCCCAACCTCAAATCCCATGAAGAGACATCATCAGGCTAACATCAGACAGACACAGGAATATAGTGTTAGGTTTGGAAAGAGGAAATAAAATTAATTAGTTTGATCTCTGAGTCAAGTAGCATTTCCTTCCCCTTGCAGTTTATCATTTCAGTGTGATATAACATCAGTATCCTAACTAGTAGCTTTCCTTTTGCAAACACTTAGTGTGACATAGTTCCTAAAGAATAAGTTGGAGCTGGAGAATCCTATTTGACAAGGAAGATTTAAAAATGTGTAGAATGAGGAAATGGAGTAGATCGAACACAAACATTTCTCACTTTTCAACATATGCAGTTAATATTGTTATTAATCTAAGTACTGCTTTGATATAAGGAAAAAACCTACTTGTACTTACTTATGTCATTTTATTACTTTTTTATTTGGAAATAAGAAAGGCTATATTGTGTTGCTCAGTGCTTCTGTTTGTGATTGTTAGGAAGACAGGTGGGATTAGCGATGGCATGTAATGAAATTGATTATATTTTAAAAAGTTTATTGCTTCACTTTGAAAATATAAATTTACAAGAAAAAAACAACCCTATCAAAAAGTGGGCGAAGGATATGAACAGACACTTCTCAAAAGAAGACATTTATGCAGCCAAAAGACACATGAAAAAATGCTCATCATCACTGGCCATCAGAGAAATGCAAATCAAAACCACAATGAGATACCATCTCACACCAGTTAGAATGGTGATCATTACAAAGTCAGGAAACAACAGGTGCTGGAGAGGATGTGGAGAAATACAAACACTTTTACACTGTTGGTGGGACTATAAACTAGTTCAACCATTGTGGAAGTTAGTGTGGTGATTCCTCAGGGATCTAGAACTAGAAATACCATTTGACCCAGCCATCCCATTACTGGGTATATACTCAAAGGATTATAAATCATGCTGCCATAAAAACACATGCACACGTATGTTTATTGTAGCACTATTCACAATAGCAAAGACTTGGAACCAAGCCAAATGTCCAACAACGATAGACTGGATTAAGAAAATGTGGCACATATACACCATGGAATACTATGCAGCCATAAAAAATGATGAGTTCATGTCCTTTGTAGGGACATGGATGAAGCTGGAAACCATCATTCTCAGCAAACTATCGCAAGGACAAAAAACCAAACACCGCATGTTCTCGCTCATAGGTGGGAATTGAACAATGAGAACACATGGACATGGGAAGGGGAACATCACACACCAGGGCCTGTTGTGGGGTTGGGGGAGGGGGGAGGGATAGCATTAGGAGATATACCTAATGTTAAATGAGGAGTTAATGGGTGCAGCACACCAACATGGCACATGTATACATATGTAAGAAACCTGCACCTTGTGCACATGTACCCTAAAACTTAAAGTATAATAAAAAAATATATAAATTAAACATAAGCTGATAGAAAGGACAGAACTTAGCACAAACCCATGTCAAGGAAGGCTTGAGATATAGAGCCCTATAGCATTTTTGGCTTATTTTGCATAATGCTTCTAAATAGCAAGATTCAGTGCTCTAGACTATAGCACAGATGGAGATTATCTTGTAAAAACTATTTAAATAATGAGATCCAGACAGATTTTATGTGAAAGCAGGTAATTTGACTGGTAAATATAATTGACTGGTTGGACAAAGCCCCATCGGCCTGAATATCTCTTATAACTCATCGAGATGACAGGTTCAGTCTAGAACTGACATTCCAAATATTTCTTGTCTTGATAAGAGAGTTAATAACAGGGAGTGGAGAAAGCACTGGGATAAGTATAAGGGGTTCTGAGCCTTCTAAGTTTGGTTCTACCATTTATGAGCTATGTTGTCTTGGGCAAGATACCTTTACATGTCTACACAAATAAACCTCCTATTTAAAAAGATGGTAATGCCCACTCTTCCTTACTCGAACAGAATTGTGAAATTTGATTGAAATGATGTTGATGACATAACAATGATTAAATGATAACTCAGTAACTGAATCCCAAGTTCTTAGTGTTATCCTAAGTGTTATAATTGGATCATTTTTGATTTCTACAAATGACCTAAGAGATCACTATTACCTTTTCCATTTTAAGGATGAGAAAACTGCTGCTCAGAACGTTAAAGGGACTTATCCAAACTCATGAGATAAGTAAAAGGCAGAACAAAGTTTTAAATCAGCTCTCACTGGTCCTAAAGCCTGTACTTATTCCACAGTACTATTGGAAAACAGAGGAGTGCCAAACAAGTGACTGTAAGTATAGAGCACTTTTCAGTTTTCAGTTATGTTTCATTTCTATAAACAGAAATAAATTGTAAAAATTCCTGTTACAACTTTGGTTATTTGTATTTTGGTTTTACAAGCAAGGTTTAAAAGCTTACCAAAGTCTTCTTATTTCTTAAGATCTATTTCAAATGCTGCTTAGTCTGTGAAGCCTTTAGTTAAACTCCTAGTCAGTGCTAGTTACTTCTTACATGAGTTAATGGGACTTCTGGCATTTTTAAACATATAGTAGTCTTTGTGTTTTTCCGTGCCTCTCTTTTCTTTTAGACAAGGCTATTCAATAAAGTATCATGTGGCTATTTGAATGACTTAAATTAAATTAAAAATGTGGTACCTTAGTAACACAAAGTCACATTTCAAGAGTTCAACAGCCACATGTGGCTGTTGGTTATGTAGACACAGGACACTTTCATCATTACATCTATTGGACAGTGCTTCTTTAGATCAGGGGATGAAAACTATGGCCTGGGGGCAAAATCTGGCCTGCTGCCTATTTATGTAAATTAAGTTTTATTGGATGACAGCCATACTTATTCATTTGATATTTTCTTTGGCTACATTTGTGTTAACAATGCAAGAATTAAGTAGCTCCAACAGAGACCAAATGGCCCACTAAGTCTAAAATATATACTATCTGGACCTTTACACAAAAAGGTTTGCAGGCTTCCAATTTAGACTACAAGTTGTTTGAGGCTTAAAGCTCCAAGCATGTTCCTTTTATTTTGGGGCCCATCATATTAGATTATCTAGTAAGAACCAAGGCACTTTTGCTGAACTAAGTTGACATCAAATTAAGAAACAAACCCCATCTGATCCGAGGCTGGCAGCCAAGATGGCCGAATAGGAACAGCTCCGGTCTACAGGTCTACAGCTCCCAGCATGAGCGATGCAGAAGACGGGTGATTTCTGCATTTCCAT
This sequence comes from Homo sapiens, assembly GCF_000001405.40. Classification (NCBI taxonomy): domain Eukaryota; kingdom Metazoa; phylum Chordata; class Mammalia; order Primates; family Hominidae; genus Homo; species Homo sapiens. The sequence goes on from NC_000008.11 coordinate 34,215,026, forward strand.
CTGAGGTACCGGGTTCATCTCACTAGGGAGTGCCAGACAGTGGGCGCAGGACAGTGGGTGCAGCGCACCGTGTGCGAGCTGAAGCAGGGTGAGGCATTGCCTCACTCAGGAAGCACAAGGGGTCAGGGAGTTACCTTTCCTAGTCAAAGAAAGGGGTGACAGACGGCACCTGGAAAATCGGGTCAGTCCCACCCTAATACTGCGCCTTTCCAACGGGCTTAAAAAACGGTGCACCAGGAGATTATATCCCGCACCTGGCTTGGAGGGTCCTACGCCCACGGAGTCTCGCTGATTGCTAGCACAGCAGTCTGAGATCAAACTGCAAGGCGGCAGCGAGGCTGGGGGAGGGGCGCCCACCATTGCCCAGCTTGCTTAGTTAAACAAAGCAGCTGTGAAGCTCGAACTGGGTGGAGCCCCCCATAGCTCAAGGAGGCCTTCATGCCTCTGTAGGCTCCACTTCTGGGGGCAGGGCACAGACAAACAAAAAGACAGCAGTAACCTCTGCAGACTTAAATCTCCCTGTCTGACAGCTTTGAAGGAGCAGTGTTTCTTCCAGCACACAGCTTGAGATCTGAGAACGGGCAGACTGCCTCCTCAAATGGGTCCCTGACCCCTGACCCCCAAGCAGCCTAACTGGGAGGCACCCTGCAGTAGGGGCAGACTGACACCTCACATGGCCGGGTACTCCTCTGAGACAAAACTTCCAGAGGAACGATCAGACAGCAGCATTCGCGGTTCACGAAAATCCGCTGTTCTGCAGCCACCGCCACTGGTACCCAGGCAAACAGGGTCTGGAGTGGACCTCTAGCAAACTCCAACACACCTGCAGCTGAGGGTCCTGTCTGTTAGAAGGAAAACAAACAGAAAGGACATCCACACCAGAGACCCATGTGTACATCACCATCATCAAAGACCAAAAGTAGATAAAACCACAAAGATGGGGAAAAAACAGAGCAGAAAAACTGGAAACTCTAAAAAACAGAGCACCTCTCCTCTTGCAAAGGAATGCAGTTCCTCACCAGCAACGGAACAAAGCTGGACGGAGAATGACTTTGACGAGTTGAGAGAATAAGGCTTCAGACGATCAAACTACTCTGAGCTACAGGAGGAAATTCAAACCAAAGGCAAAGAAGTTAAAAACTTTGAAAAAAATTTAGACGAATGTTTAACTAGAATAACCAATACAGAGAAGTGCTTAAAGGGGCTGATGGAGCTGAAAGCCAAGGCTCGAGAACTACGTGAAGAATGCAGAAGCCTCAGGAGCCGATGCAATCAACTGGAAGAAAGGGTATCAGTGATGGAAGATGAAATGAATGAAATGAAGCCAGAAGGGAAGTTTAGAGAAAAAAGAATAAAAAGAAACAAACAAAGCCTCCAAGAAATATGGGACTATGTGAAAAGACCAAATCTACGTCTGATTGGTGTACCTGAAAGTAACGGGGAGAGTGGAACCAAGTTGGAAAACACTCTGCAGGATATTATCCAGGCGAACATCCCCAATCTAGCAAGGCAGGCCAACATTCAGATTCAGGAAATACAGAGAGCGCCACAAAGATACTCCTCGAGAAGAGCAACTCCAAGACACTTAATTGTCAGATTCACCAAAGTTGAAATGGAGGAAAAAATGTTAAGGGCAGCCGAGAGAAAGGTCGGGTTACCGACAAAGGGAAGCCCATCAGACTAACAGCTGATCTCTCGGCAGAAACTCTACAAGCCAGAAGAGAGTGGGGGCCAATATTCAACATTCTTAAAGAAAAGAATTTTTAACCCAGAATTTCATATCCAGCCAAACTAAGCTTCATAAGTGAAGGAGAAATAAAATACCTTACAGACAAGCAAATGCTGAGAGATTTTTGTCACCACCAGGCCTGCCCTAAAAGAGCTCTTGTAGGAAGCACTAAACATGGAAAGGAAAAACCGGTACCAGCCACTGCAAAAACATGCCAAATTGTAAAGACCATCAAGGCTAGGAAGAAACTGCATGAACTAATGAGCAAAATAACCAGCTAACATCATAATGACAGGATCAAATTCACACATAACAATATTAACTTTAAATGTAAATGGACTAAATGCTCCAATTAAAAGACACAGACTGGCAAATTGGATAAAGAGTCAAGACCCATCAGTGTGCTGTATTCAGGAAACCCATCTCACAGGCAGAGACACACATAGGCTCAAAATAAAAGGATGGAGGAAGATCTTCCAAGCAAATGGAAAACAAAAAAAGGCAGGGGTTGCAATCATAGTCTCAGATAAAACAGACGTTAAATCAACAAAGATCAAAAGAGACAAAGAAGGCCATTACATAATGGTAAAGGGATCAATTCAACAAGAAGAGCTAACTATCCTAAATATATATGCACCCAATACAGGAGCACCCAGATTCATAAAGCAAGTCCTGAGTGACCTACAAACAGACTTAGACTCCCACACAATAATAATGGGAGACTTTAACACCCCACTGTCAACATTAGACAGATCAATGAGACAGAAAGTTAACAAGGATACCCAGGAATTGAACTCAGCTCTGCACCAAGTGGACCTAATAGACATCTACAGAACTCTCCACCCCAAATCAACAGAATATACATTTTTTCAGCACCACACCACACCTATTCCAAAATTGACCACATAGTTGGAAGTAAAGCTCTCCTCAGCAAACGTAAAAGAGCAGAAATTATAACAAACTGTCTCTCAGACCACAGTGCAATCAAACTAGAACTCAAGATTAAGAAACTCACTCAAAACCGCTCAACTACATGGAAACTGAACAACCTGCTCCTGAATGACTACTGGGTACATAACAAAATGAAGGCAGAAATTAAGATGTTCTTTGAAACCAACAAGAACAAAGACACAACATACCAGACTCTCTGGGACACACTCAAAGCAGTGTGTAGAGGGAAATTTATAGCACTAAATGCCCATGAGAGAAAGCAGGAAAGATCCAAAATTGACACCCTAACATCACAATTAAAAGAACTAGAAAAGCAAGAGCAAACACATTCAAAAGCTCGCAGAAGGCCAGAAATAACTAAAATCAGAGCAGAACTGAAGGAAATAGAGACACAAAAAACCCTTCAAAAAATTAATGAATCCTGGAGCTGGTTTTTTGAAGGGATCAACAAAATTGGTAGACTGCTAGCAAGACTAATGAAGAAAAGAGAGAAGAATCAAATAGACGTAATAAAAAATGATAAAGGGGATATCACCACCGATCCCACAGAAATACAAACTACCATCAGAGAATACTACAAACACCTCTATGCAAATAAACTAGAAAATCTAGAAGAAATGGATAAATTCGTCAACACATACACCCTCCCAAGACTAAACCAGGAAGAAGTTGAGTCTCTGAATCGACCAATAACAGGCTCTGAAATTGTGGCAATAATCAATATCTTACCAACCAAAAAAAGTCCAGGACCAGATGGATTCACAGCTGAATTCTACCAGAGGTACAAGGAGGAGCTGGTACCATTCCTTCTGAAACTATTCCAATCAATAGAAAAAGAGGGAATCCTCCCTAACTCATTTTATGAGGCCAGCATCATCCTGATACCAAAGCCGGGCAGAGACACAACCAAAAAAGAGAATTTTAGACCAATATCCTTGATGAACATTGATGCAAAAATCCTCAATAAAATACTGGCAAACCAAATCCAGCAGCACATCAAAAAGCTTATCCACCATGATCAAGTGGGCTTCATCCCTGGGATGCAAGGCTGGTTCAGTATACACAAATCAATAAATGTAATCCAGCATATAAAGAGAACCAAAGACAAAAACCACATGATTATCTCAATAGATGCAGAAAAGGCCTTTGACAAAATTCAACAACGCTTCATGCTAAAAACTCTCAATAAATTAGGTATTGATGGGATGTATCTCAAAATAATAAGAGCTATCTATGACAAACCCACAGCCAATATCATACTGAATGGGCAAAAACTGGAAGCATTCCCTTTGAAAACTGGCACAAGACAGGAATGCCCTCTCTCACCACTCCTATTCAACATAGTGTTGGAAGTTCTGGCCAGGGTAATTAGGCAGGAGAAGGAAATAAAGGGTATTCAATGAGGAAAAGAGGAAATCAAATTGTCCCTGTTTGCAGATGACATGATAGTATATCTAGAAAACCCCATTGTCTCAACCCAAAATCTCCTTAAGCTGATAAGCAACTTCAGCAAAGTCTCAGGATACAAAATCAATGTGCAAAAATCACAAGCATTCTTATACACCAATAACAGACAAACAAAGAGCCAAATCATGAGTGAACTCCCATTCACAATTGCTTCAAAGAGAATAAAATACCTAGGAATCCAACTTACAAGGGATGTGAAGGACCTCTTCAAGGAGAACTACAAACCACTGCTCAATGAAATAAAAGAGGATACAAACAAATGGAAGAACATTCCATGCTCATGGATAGGAAGAATCAATATCGTGAAAATGGCCATACTGCCCAAGGTGATTTATAGAAAAAATGCCATCCCCATCAAGCTACCAATGACTTTCTTCACAGAATTGGAAAAAACTACTTTAAAGTTCATATGGCACCAAAAAAGAGCCCACATTGCCAAGTCAATCCTAAGCCAAAAGAACAAAGCTGGAGGCATCACGCTACCTGACTTCAAACTATACTACAAGGCTCCAGTAACCAAAACAGCATGGTACTGATACCAAAACAGATATAGATCAGTGGAACAGAACAGAGCCCTCAGAAATAATGCCGCATATCTACAACTATCTGATCTTTGACAAACCTGAGAAAAACAAGCAATGGGGAAAGGATTCCCTATTTAATAAATGGTGCTGGGAAAACTGGCTAGCCATATGGAGAAAGCTAAAACTGGATCCCTTCTTTACACCTTATACAAAAATTAATTCAAGATGGATTAAAGACTTACATGTTAGACCTAAAACCATAAAAACCCTAGAAGAAAACCTAGGCATTACCATTCAGGACATAGGCATGGGCAAGGACTTCATGTCTAAAACACCAAAAGCAATGGCAACAAAAGCCAAAATTGACCAATGGGATCTAATTAAACTAAAGAGCTTCTGCACAGCAAAAGAAACTACCATCAGAGTGAACAGGCAAACTACAAAATGGGAGAAAATTTTCGCAACCTACTCATCTGACAAAGGGCTAATATCCAGAATCTACAATGAACTCAAACAAATTTACAAGAAAAAAACAACCCCATCAAAAAGTGGGCAAAGGACATGAACAGACACTTCTCAAAAGAAGACATTTATGCAGCCAAAAAACACATGAAAAACTGCTCACCATCACTGGCCATCAGAGAAATGCAAATCAAAACCACAATGAGATACCATCTCACACCAGTTAGAATGGTGATCATTAAAAAGTCAGGAAACAACAGGTGCTGGAGAGGATGTGGAGAAATAGGAACACTTTTACACTGTTGGCAGGACTGTAAACTAGTTCAACCATTGTGGAAGTCAGTGTGGCGATTCCTCAGGGATCTAGAACTAGAAATACCATTTGACCCAGCCATCCCATTACTGGGTATATACCCAAAGGACTATAAATCATGCTGCTATAAAGACACATGCACACGTATGTTTATTGTGGCACTATTCACAATAGCAAAGACTTGGAACCAACGCAAATGTCCAACAACAATAGACTGGATTAAGAAAATGTGGCACATATACACCATGGAATACTATGCAGCCATAAAAATTGATGAGTTCATGTCCTTTGTAGGGACATGAATGAAATTGGAAATCATCATTCTCAGTAAACTATCACAAGGACAAAAAACCAAACACCGCATGTTCTCACTCATAGGTGGGAATTGAACAATGAGAACACATGCACACAGGAAGGGGAACATCATACTCTGGGGACTGTTTTGGGGTAGGGGGAAGGGGGAGGGATAGCATTAGGAGATATACGTAAAGCTAAATGACGAGTTAATGGGTGCAGTACACCAGCATGGCACATGTATACATATGTAACTAACCTGCACATTGTGCACATGTACCCTAAAACTTAAAGTATAATAATAATAAAAGAAAAAAAAGAAACAAACCCAAATTCCCACATCTAGTAAGTGATAGAGCCAGAATTCAAAACTGTTTATCTGATATAAACCCATGCACTCACGCCATGCCATCATGCTGGCTCCTGGTCTTCTGTAGTTGGTGTACCAGTCAAACATTGAGACTGGCCTTCATGTGTAAGATTTCCTCTGGTTAGGCTTTGGTTGTCAAACATGGCTTCCAGCTTTAAGGAACTCACATAAAAGCAATCACAATGGATAATAAAAGGGAAACTCAGACTCATTTAGACTCCCATTCCTCTTCTCCCTATTCTTCAGTTTGCTTTCTCTGTTCCAGCTACAGTGATCTCCCTTTCTCATGATGAACCTACTGGGCATGCTGCCACTCCAGATCTTTTCAGTTGCTGCTGTCTCCACTTGACGGAAACGCTGTGTAGCATTGTTCAGGTTGTGCAATAAAACATGCATGATAGCTGAACATGGTAGCCATGATGCCTACAATTCCCTTCCCTTACAATATCCACTGGCTCTCTCCTTGACTTTCTTCAGGATTATGTTTGCTGTCATTTTCTCTTAAAACAGCCCCTGGCATCCCCAATCCTTTGTACTCAGTTCTGCTTTCCTCAACTTTTTTATTCTAACATAGGATAATATTTAACTTACTTTCTTTGTTTATTCTTTATTTTCTCTCCCAGTGAAAGCTCCAGGGAAGACAGGTCTTCTTTACTGTTGTTGTTGTTCATTGATATTCCCCAGTGCTGGGTAGAGGATTTGGAACAATATCTTCCAGTCTCTTTCTTTGAATTTCAGTACATCTAGCAGCCATATCTGAAGGGGTTGGGAGTAAAGTATACACAATCTAATTAACAACACCTGTAATAAGCACCTTTACTCACTTCTTTTGGTGAATTCTCCTTCTTTTTGTTTCTCTAATCATAAAGGATCTCAGCTCTTTGTTATTTTGAAATCTGCATTATATATATATATGTATAGAAAAGTTCGGGGAATGAGGATTGTGGCTAAACATAGAATAACAATTGCATGTGTGAGTGAGTGTATGTATGTAATTGCATGTGTAAAAGAGAGAGAGGGAGAGACATTGAGAGTTGTGGTATTTATTGGAAAGGGTGTGAGATGCTGAATTTGGCCAGATGTTAATAAAATCTGTAATATATCTATTGGACCAAGCTAAATATGTGGTGGCAAATATGCTTTGAGACACTGAATTATCCAATGCAGTTCCCAGGCAGTGCTCTTACTGTTGGTGCTGCTATTTTGGAGAGTTTCTTGGAAGCTGAAATAGATTCTGCTCATTCCTTCCTGTAAGATTTCTTTTTTTTTTTTTTCCACCAGAAAAACTTAAGAGATTGTCCATAAATCAAATAGAAAGGAAGTGAGAAGTAGAACAAGGGATTCTGTGATCCCTGTGGATTTTCCCTGCATTTTTACTCTCTAAATATATTGAAAGATCAGTTCTATTTCTTTGAATCATTTTTCTTAACCAAAGGAAACAATATCTCACTGCTATTTCAAAGAATTGATTAATTTTGCATAATCTGGGCAGATAAGAAAATCAAGTTCAGTGCTGAGGAGCATTGAAAAGAGTTGTGCAGCCAAGTGTCCTTGCTGTACAATTCAGTGTTGATGCCAATCTTTTAACTGCCTTTGAAGTGGAGCTGAAGAGCCTTATAATAAAGATAATAAGGCTATGAAATTTAGACTCTGTACTGGCTGAAATTGGATAATTAGTTTAGGATTTCTTAAATTATGTGGGAGGTGGCGGTAGAGAAAAATAAAAAGAATAAGAACCTGATTCTCAGCAGCACAAGCTAATAATTTAATCTATATAGATTGATGAATATTCACTGTATGCCCAGGAAATACTAACTACTTTGTGCAGAGATTAACTGGGTCTGGTTCAGGACAGAAAAAGAGGTTATGGTGCAGAAAAGTATCCAACATGAAACAACCTCCCTTTAGAAGACAGGAGAACAATAAAAAGTCACAAAAAAGCATACACTTTATTATGCTGATTTGATATTGCTAGCTTTTTGAATGTGTTCATCTATCTTTTCCTTTTGTTTTGTTCCTTCAATAATCTCATGTCTATATGTAAAGGAGATCTGATAAATTAAAGACAAAATGACAGCAAATAAACTATACCCAGAAAAGTTTTCCTGTTATTTGCCTTTGCTTTTGGTGCTACTATACAATTTTCCTAATAACTTACCATAATAATAGCGGTAACTTCAAGTTTATATCATTGTTGAAAAAACTATAACATCTTTATGTGATCGCTTAACCCCCTAATCCCTGCTGCCTCTCCATCACCTTTCTGTCTCTCTTTATTTACCTCAGCTTTAGAATTTCTCTTAAATATCATTGTAGATGTAGACTTTCTTTTTTTAAATCAACTTTTATTTTAAGTTCCGAGGTACATGTGTAGGTTGTGTAGGCTTGTTACATAGGTAAAGTGCCATGATGCTTTGCTGCACAGATCAACCCATCACTCAGGTATTAAGGCCAGCATCCGTTAGCTCATCTTCCTGTTGCTCTCCCTGCCCCTAGTGTGTGTTGTACCCCTCACCCCACATGTCCATGGGTTCTCATCATTTGGCTCCCACTTACAAGAGAGAACATGTGGTGTTCCTGCATTGGTTTCGTGTTCCTGCATTAGTTTGCTGATAATGACTTCCAGCTTCATCCAGACTTTCTACGATAGAGAAGACCTTATTTTTTGCATAGTTACTTTTAAATGTGCAGAAAGCATCTTGGAATCCAAAACAAACCATCCCAGATCTATTTTGTAAATGTATAAAAATCAGACAACTGACTTGTATTGTCCACCTAATGAATGTAATAAACTAGCTTTGTGTTTCAAGCTCAAGATGGAAAGTAATAGGTCTGTCCTCATCTCCTCCGAATGATGCAGGTATCACTAAGATGAGATTTGAGGTAAGTGATCCTTTACTTCACCTGCAGCATTGTATGTGGAGCCGGTTGTGTGAAACAAATCTTAATATCTCAGAGATAAAAAAGGGAATTATGTATGGTGGAAACAATTTTCAAAATGTAGATAATCTGCTGGAGAGATAAAATTGTATTACTTTTTTCTTAAGGAAAGACAACATTAGAGTAAGTGTATATGAAATCTCTCAAAAATGATTTAGATTCCTTTTTAATCAAATTACCAAAATGTAAGCCTATCTAAATTCACAATATTTTGTTTTTGAAATCTCTCTTTTGAAATTGTTCTCAGAGCAATAAGCACACTTTAAAAAATTATTTCAGCCTAATGATAGCAAATCTTCACCTTTTGAGCAAGGGAGTTGATTTTCAGAAATAGCCAAAATTTTTACCACATATAAATAATGGCATCAGTTATCCCTAATATTATTTTTAATGAAAAATAGTTGGTGAATATTTAGTATTGAATTTAAGATTTTTTTAGTAGTACAAATACTGTTCACAAAGACAATTTCAAACATTTCTTTGAATTATGATTGAAATGAGGAGTATTTGTTTCTTGCATCATAGACCCACTGTGCCCTTTTTAGTGGAAAGTCTTTTGTTGCTAAGAGGGAAAGTTTCAAAGCAAAAAGAAGACAGTGTTAGTGGGGACACCTTTCTTGTTATATTTCTTCAGTGAGTCACCTTGAGGAGTTTACATGACATTAGGGCAGTCTGCAATATAAGTCCGCAATATAAGGTTTATATGATGGCCATGAAAATTCATATATCATTTTTTCCCCTCTGAGCTTTGTTATGTTTGAAATGACAGTCATCCCATTAAGAAAAATTATTCTATTTAAAATCTTCAGGTCCGGTGCAAATAAAAACAATGAGTGGTAAATAACTTAAATTTTACTTTGTGTCAATGGGTAGGCCTTTGCAGACAAACAAAATTGGTTACTGCTCTGAGTCAGTTTTTCTCCCATGGGTCAGAAAGAGATTATAGATAATAAGTGCTGATTTTAATATTAATTTACAGAAGTAAATAAAGTCATTTTTTCTTTGAAATGGTATCTTCCTTTGCAGGTTTTGTTGAATGTTGATGCAATATCATTTGCCATAAATTTGGTTCTGGGCATAGTCTTTCAAGTAGGAGGGAGAATTTTTGTTTGGCACCTGAAGCCAGTTGTTTATTGGTGTGTGTGTGAGCATGAAAAGCAATTCCAGGGGGTGGGAGGAGATACAAAAAATTAACCTCTCATTTTGGAGGTTATACAAAATCCAATTGACATTTTTAAAAACATCTAATATGCACGCAGGTACTTTCTGGGCTCAAACTGGCAGTCAAATATCACAAGAAAGGTTATTCTTGTTATTTCAAAACCTGCTTGAACCAAGAAGCATTGTGTGTCCTTGGGGAGGGGGTATGGGTTCTAATTAAGCTCATCGTGGTTTTCTGTTTAATTAATTAATTACTTAATGTTTGTCAAGTGATTTGAAGATGCTAAATGAAATGTATGTGCTGCTTAGTATTATTCATGAAAAGCAAATAAGACATTAATCCTTTTCATTTCCTCCTAAGTATGTTACCTAAGCTGGCTAACTTTTATGAGCCCTAAGTACAGTTGCCCTCTTATAGATTTGTAAAATGCGTAATACAAAGAAAATGTGTAAATTCGAGCACAGTTTCTAAGAACTAGATGATATATGTTGCTCTATCATTTTAGCTAGCCTATGTTCTCTAATTTTATCAGTGATAAGTTGTCTACATAGAATAAAATATAAGGGGTGTGTACGTGTCTAGCGGTGTTTTACAGTGTTCTTGGCATTAAGTAAACTTGAGAATTGTATGAGAACCTTGAATTTATGCACTAATCTAAAAGGATGCACTAATCTAAAAGGCTGGTATGAATGGAGAATTGTTTTTCCTTGGTACCTTTCACTGAAAATTTTAAATAGAGTAGATATTTTCCCGTATATTCCACTTAATGCTGTTAGTAATAAAAGGAAAGTTCAGTCTATTTGGAGTCAGTTAAATTCTGGACCTTGCTGTGACAGTGCTCATGAATATAGAACCAAAGAAAAATACTTGTGACTTAAAAAACACACATGCATATGACAGTGTAGAAAATGAAGGGTGACTATGACAGCTTACAACTTTTTGGGGCTCTCCCCAAACCATGTCTTCCATTCATCACTAGATGTTTCAGTACCAAGAGACACCAAAATACACCAAAAGAGCAGCTTAGTAGCAATTTTTGAGATGTTGAAACATGTTATCTTTGTTATTGAACCTAGTATAGCTGCAAATCATGCTTTAAATATAAAATTGCAGAAGGTTTTGCAACTTTTAAATCTTTTCTTGTCATTTTATGTTTCTGGTGTTAAATTTTGCTGTGTTAATGTCATCTTCACTTGGTAATATTTACAGCACCTAAATCAATGCTGAAGACACACAGAATATTGAAGGATCAACTCTACTTCTTCGAAATATACTTTAATACTTTCACTGCCAAACCAGAGTTCAAGAAATAACTGCGGTGGAATGATAATGAGAAGTTTAACAGTTTTATGATGGTTGAAGCTGACTTTATGAAAGTTGATAAATTTCATCTTGTAGGTTTCAATTTCTCATTCCCTACCGAGAGATGGGGAGAATACATTGACACTGCATTTCAAATTGGCTAGATCAGAAGGAACAGCAGCTAAAATCCATTACAACCCAATTACATCCATCAGCTGAAGCTGTGTGCATTCACTTGTGAACATCAGCATTTAATCCATAAAGAGGAACTAATGAGAAATTTGAAAATGGAATCCACGCATCAGTAAGTTTAGAGAGATTTTTCTGGGATTAATGATCTGCCAGAGCATCTTCAGCATTCTGGAAAGCTATTCTCTCTGGGTTTGTTTACTGACCAAGAGAAAAAAAAAGGGGGTTTCCTTCTGTCTGCTCATCAAATATTTGAAAGACTACTCATTTCAGTCCTTGAAAATGGGATACCGTGAGCTTTGGAAGTAAGGTACGTGTTGGTGAACACTGTTGTCATTGAACAGGAAAAATTAAATTATTAGGTGAGAAGTTTCCACCTAGAGATTAGTAACAAGTAGCCTGAACAAATTATTTTACCTGTATAGATGCTAAGACAGATGTGTTCTTTTAATTTAAGACCTGAGAGCATGTTTAGAGTTGCACGTAATGGCAATAATTCTATGTTGTAGAAATAGAGAAATAGTTTTTATTTTTCACTTTTGGTGATTGCATGGATAGAAATAAATATTCCTCTTGTCGAATTGCAATTGCTTAAAGAGTAACAAGGAAGCTTAGAGAGAGTAGAGTATAAACTTGTTAACAATTGCATAACTTCACATGTACAATTTCTGAGTTAATAAACATATAGTTTGTGAAAAGTTAACACTGGATGAAGCTTTAGAATGCTGTGCAATTTCTTCTCATCTGGTGAAAACGGTTTCTGTAAGCATACAATTTAGGGATGTTACTATATCCGAGGTCTGGCAAATGTAGTCATCAGATTAAATAAATGTATATGTGGACTGTGGGGGATTGGATCCCCATGTTTGGAAAGTAATTTGGTTCAATTTGTTGCTCTTTGGAGAGAAGGTAAGTGTGTAGATTTCATATTCAAATTACATCAGACAGTATGACTTGTTCCTCTGTTTCTATAGTTCCTGAAGTATGCCTCTCTAAGTGTGAATACAGCACCTCATGATATTGATGGCTTTAATGGAGGTTAAAACATAAGAAATTAGAGTTGTTATTTTTTTTGCTTATGCAAAATTTCAGAGAGAAGTTTAATTTCATTCTATCTTTAGAAAAATAAATAGCAAAGGGAATACACAGAAGTGTGACCCTTGTATTCTGGGCACAGGGAAGCCATTGGAGGATTTTTAGTGGAGAGATAACACACAGGTATTAGAAGGATTACTCTGGCTGCAGTGGAGACTAGATTGGGGTAAGACTGTAAATGGAGAGTGCAGAGAGAACAATGAGGCTTTTTCTGTTTTTAAAGGAAGAGAGTATTGGTGGTGGCAACAATATTGGGAGAGGAGACATGTTGAAGGATATATGAGAAGTAGAGCTGACAGAACTTGGTTGTTGAAATACCGGATGTTGTTTTTAGAGCAAGTGGGTTATTGGTGGTTCCATTTACTGCGAGAGAGGTACTGGGTAAAAGGGGATTAGTCATGGGAGTCCAGGCTATCTTCTTGGCCTTTGCTGATGGGCATGGGTACAGGGCTGTTATTTTTTTGTGGTATTGGTCTGCAGTAGGGTACCTATTACCTTAAAGTTTGTTTTGCTAGCCTTTGCCTTTTGTGTATTTTGGCTTGAGAGAGCTGGCTTTCCATGGGGTGATTTTTGTGTGCTATTGTTGCTGTTTCCAAATTGCTAGCTTGCCATCACACAGTCTGAGATACATGAAGCAAAAAGCAAAATCAAGAAACTCATGTAATTCCTTGAGTTAAGGGTCTCAAATGGTATGTTTTTTTCCTCCAACTTTGGGAGTCCTTTTATGATTGTTTTATACCTAGTGTCCTGGATTTTTAGTTGTACTTAGAAGGAGGAGTAGGGAAATTTACTTCTACTCTATTTTGTTCTGAAACTGCAAGTAACTTAGGATTTCTTGAGCTAGAAACAATTATAAAAGAACTAAGGAGGAAGAGACTAATACAAAAAACAAAGTTCCATTACTGCCTGAAATACTGACCCTTCACATTTAAAACTAAGATTATTATATATTTATCTAAGACTCACTTTTCCAAATTTCTAGCATTATCAGAAACACTAGTCTGTAAGTTCTGCTTCAAAAATAATCTGAAGAAAGGCCATAACTGTGTGTTAGGAATAAGAGTTCCATTATTCTAACATAAGATTAAGATTGCTCTGACTTATGATAAGAAAAGAAAAAATTATTGATTTTGATAACATCTAAACATGACCAACATTTTATTAGAAAATCAAAACATTAGAGAGAAATTTAATATAATTTTAGTATAAAGTCAAATAGGTGAACAAGCATGGAAAATACACATAAAAGGTAACTGGGACTCATTTGGTGGAAATACAAATTACAGCACATCAAGGCCATTGGTGAACAATTATTTATTAAGTGTATTTTTTCTGATTGAGCAGTTCTGTAAATATTTGTGTATGTACTTTTATTATTAAATATATTCAAATATTTACTCATATATAGTCTATGTTGCTATGGAAAGGAACAGAGATGAGAGAGAGAGAAACAGAGGAAAAGAGAGAGAATTAGTGGATTAAACAAGAAGGAAGAAAACATTAAAAAAATAATTCCAGAGGAAGGTGGATGTTCCAGGATGGGTGAATGGCTCAGCTCCATGAAGTTCTGAGCAATTCTTTCTCATTGCTTTACCAGTTCTGAAGGGGTTGCTATTTTTTGCAAGGTCAAGTCTGGGTCAAGTCTGGCTTCCTGAAACTATAGCCTGGTGTTCCATCCTATAGAAAGGGGGAAAGAGAAAATGGATGTCAAGCATATGTTTCCAAGTAAGTCACATGGATTTGTATACATCGTTTCTACACACATTTCGTTTGATGATAACTTCTTTCCCTCACTGACCATTTCCCTAAGGATACTACCCCAAATTCCATTCAGCTACAGTATGCAACTAGAAATTTAGGATCTGTGAGTGATGTGCAATCCTTTCTATATGCTCCAGAATTGGCTCCTGGTTAACTAAGGGGATATAAACTAATATCTGTTCCCACTCCTCACACATACCCAGTATGCAACAGATAGTTGCTTTAAACTCTCCCCATAAATAAAAGGAAGAATTAGAGGCACACCACAGAGTAGTCACAGGTTTTCAAGAAATCCTCTTGCCTCAGCCTCTTGAGTAGCTAGGACTACAGTGCATGCCACTATGATTGGCAAACTTTGTTATTTTTTTTTTTTTTTGTAGATATGGGGTCTTGCTATGTTGCCTAGGCTCATCTTGAACTTCTGGGGTCAAGCAATCCTCCTGCCTTGGCCTCCCAAAGTGCTGGGATTACAGGTGTGAGATGTGGTGCCCAGCCAGTAGTCATAGTTTATAGCAATGAAAAAACTCTACTGGCAAGGAAGGGTGAAAAACCTCTGCCTTGGTCTAAATTCCTTGATTGAATGCTGGTTGTGTTGTCTGGGAGGAATTTCTTTGTACAAAAATCCTCATTGCTCCCAGCTTTGCCCTCTTGGGGATTCTTGTCTATTATTATCTGTGGCTATGTCTGAAATCGGTGTTGGAGAAAATGCCCTTCCTGGGTTCTGCCCAGCATTCCCAGCCTACTTTCTGCACACGCCTTTGGGAGATAAGCAGGTTGCTTTATTCATGTAACAATTATATGGCTTTGAAGGCCAGGGTTGTAGTTGCATTGGTAAAGTAATTTCCTCAAAACTTACCAGAGTTCTGGTCTGTTTACCTCCAGACACTTTTATGTGAAAGTTAAAATAGCCATTATCTTGTCTGGTCATGATTCTGAGCATATTTACTAACTGTTCTCTCTGCTTAACTCACTTCTGTCTTTCTCCGTTGAATGGTGGCTATTGTGAAGCAATGTGAAGCAGTAGGCTTAGGCATGGAGGTTAATCAGTCTCTAGTTGCCAGCAATCACAAAATCTCAGTGGCATACAACAGGAAGCATTCATTCACTCATGTGTCTACTACTGGCTGAGCTTTAGCTGATCTAGGCTGTGTTCAGCTGGATGACTTAAATCTAAGCTATGGGGTTGAGGCCATGTTTATTTCATCCTCTTTGGGTAGCATGTTAGCAGAGGTTCCCCTAATGGGACTTGCAGAAGACAGCCTCAAATATTTGCTATGCTTCTCAAAGCTTATGCTTAGATCTAGCCACTACCACTTTTTTTTTGGCGGAATATATATATATACAGACACACACATATATATATATGTATATATTCCTTTGTGTCTTCTAGTTACAGGAATTTGTAGTCACAGCTTGATTCATAGCACAGATCTTATTTATCTTCATTTCACCTACAGGCCCTACCACAGCCTTTATTTTTTAATTTTTATTTTTTTTTAATTTCCATAGGTTTTCGGAAACAGGTGGTATTTGGTTACACAAGTTCTTCAGTGGTGATTTGTAAGATTTTGGTGTACCCATCACCCAAGCAGTGTACACTGAACCCAGTTTGTAGTCTTTTGTCCTTCACCCCTGTCCTACCCTTTCCCTCCAAGTCCCCAAAGTCCATAGTATCATTTTTATGCCTTCACATCTTCATAGCTTATCTCCTACTTATGAATGCAAACATATGATATTTGATTTTTCCATTCCTGAGTTACTTCACTTAGAATAATAGTCTTTGATCCCATCCAGGTTGCTGCGAATGCCATTACTTCATTCTTTTTTATGGCTAAGTAGTATTCCATCATTTATATAAACACAGATTCTTTATCTGCTCATTGATTAATGGGCATTTGGGCTTGTTCCATATTTTTGCAATTGCGAATTTGGCCACTATCACTTTTGTCCACATTTCATTGGCTAAAGCTGGTCACATTGCCAAGCCCAAGGGGAAATGGGAGAACATGCCCACCTTTAGCATGACGGATATCAAATCATATGACAAAGGACACAGGGAAATAGATACATCTACCACAAGGAACAACACCATTTTGTCTCTGACAGAGGACATTCAATGGGAGCTTCTCTTATTCTTGTTGTTTAACTGTTCCAAACTTCTAAGCCCTGAAATTTCTAGCCTGTCAGTCAAGTTAAGTGAAAGAAAAGTCTCCTTTGAGTAGCTGTATTTCCTCCATTACTGCTTGTAGAGGTACACTTTCCTGACTTTCTCTTACCTACTTTCTTAAAAGTATCAAGGAGAAGGTAACACACACAAATATTCCAATCACTTTCTTAGCCAATATCACATATTGTATGTATTATTTTGACCCCAGCCTATGCTCCACTACCTTGGATACCAAATACTCTAGATGTTAATGTTTGGTGAAGGAAAAATCATTCCAGGTATTGTGAGAATTTAAAATAAAAGAATTTAATACAGGGAACTCAATACTTCCATAAGACATAGAAGAATAGGAGTCTGGGCTACCACTGCTTTAAAGAATTTAAGGACAACTGTTACAGCTACAATCCAGAAATCAGGAGACTGTAGCTGTTGCCATAGCACTGCCTGTTAATACAGGAAAAGCTGGTGACCAGAGGCAAATGCTGAGTATGCCACAAGTAAAGACAAACATCATGTTGACCTTGGTTGCTCAAAAAACAAACAAAATAAATAAATAAATAAAATAACAAGAAGTTGTCCTTGCTTTAATTAGCCTGTACAGTATCTGCATCAGCACACTGGCTAAAATCTATACACATGCAAAATCCTAGCTAAAGGTGAGGCAAATCTTTGAAATATACTTTTCTCTGCAGTTCAAGAAGAGGCAGAGAAGAGGGTGGGGAAGGTGGCTATTTGCCAATGGACTATATCTGGTATGTACAACAAAGGAAGCAATATCATCTCTCAAATCCTGAAATTGGGCTGTATTATGGAATAAATAAATTAGAAAATCAAATGATAAAAGATGGCCAATTTTATGCATAAAGAATTAGCAATGAAGAAAATATCAATGATATTTCATAAAAGAACTCTGTATTGTATCAGAAATCAAGAACACATATTTCAAAAAATAAATATATATACCATCATGGAGAATATTTAGAAATGTATATATTTTCATGGATTTTTTATATGTACCTCTCAGAAGAGATTAAGAGAATCTACAAATTTAATGACAATCATAATTTAATCAAATCTAGAAAAATGAAAATGGTGCAAATTCATAGTTGACACTTTTTTGAAATTTATTTTCATTAGTTTTGATAATCTTATCTGAAATGCTGATGTATCATTATAATAGAATACATTAAGTATTAGAAGGAATATTATTCATCTTTAAAAGGAGGACAATAAACTTGGATTTACAGCAGCAAGCACTGATTTGAATCAATATTTTAGTATCAAATATCACTCTAATATTTTTCAGTATAAAAATGCAATGAGAGGCTGGGCATGGTGGCTCCTGCCTGTAATCCCAGCACTTTGGGAGGCTGAGTTGGGTGGATAACCTGAGGTCAGGAATTTGAGACCAGCCTGGCCAATATGGTGAAACCCTGTCTCTACTAAAAATACAAAAAGCCGGGTGTGGTGGCACATGCCTGTAGTCCCAGCTACTCGGGAGACTGAGGCAGGAGAATCGCTTGAACCCAGGAGACGGAGGTTGCAGTGAGCTGAGATGGTGCCACTGCATTCCAGCCTGGGCAACAGAGCGAGACTCTGTCTCAAAAACAAACAAACAAACAAAAAAAAGAAAAAAATGCAATGAGATAAAAAGGGCTCATCTTTATTTCTATTTAAGAGAGCACTGTTGTTGCTGTTAACTGTTTATGTTTCTATTCATTTTCGTATGAATATATTGACGTATGTGATATACGTAGCTTGCCATTTTTTCTTGGATTTTTTTTCAATTGACAACGTTCGTCTTGACTAATATTAAATATTATTTTTATTCTTTTATAGGCAGTACTCAATACACAAACATACATGCACACATCTCCTTAAACTTCATAGCTAGAAGGGAAATACTGGTAAAATGGTTCACAGAATTTAAATTTTCATTGTTCCATCAAATAGCCTTTAAAATTATCAATTTATATTTAAAAGAAAGAGAATAAAAGTACTTTATTTTCTATATACTGCTAACACTAACTTAACCAAATTTCCCAATGTTTGCCAAATTTATAAAAACCAAAATTATTATCATTGAGGTTTTAGTTTGCATTACCCTTATTATCAGTGAAGTTGAATAGCTTTTCACATTTTTATCATGTTTTTTTCTCTTGTTCTCGAAATTGCCTGTTTATTACAATTTGCCTTTTGGATTTTGAGGTTTTAACTTTTTAGTAACTTATTAGAACTATAATAGATGTGGATGTATATAAAATATGCTCATATATATGGTCATATATATATGGTCATATATATATAGTCATTTATATATGTAAATAAAACAAATATCTTGCCACATTTTCCTTTTCCTGTTTCAGTTTGCTTTGCAGTGATTTAAAAGATTTCTGTGCTCAAATGTCTCAAGTATATTAATCTTTTCCTTTATGATTATTGTGATGCTTAGTACCATAATTATAGATAACTCTTCTTTAATTCACGAATTTGAGTGATATGTATTTTTAATCAACTAATAATTTACATACAATAAAATGCACATTTTAAATATATAGTTCAATGAGTTCTGACACAGATATATGCCTATTTAACCAAATTCCTAATCAAGGTAGAGACTATTTCCATAATCACGGAAGCCCTTGGCATCGGATAGCAAGTCAACCCTTGCTATTCCCTGCTCCAGTCAACCACTGAATAGATTCTATAAGAATAGATTAATTTCACCTATTCTAGGATTTTATGTAAATGAAATCATGCAGTATGTACTATTTTATGTCTAATTTTTTCCCTCAGCATAGAGATTTTCAGATTTATCCATCCATGCTACTGCATTTATCAGTAGCTCATTTCTTTTTATTTCTGAGTATTGTTCCATATCATGAATGTAGCAGTTTAGTAATACATTCACCCGTTAGTGGACATTTGAATTGTTTTCAGTGTTTACTATCATGAGTAAAGCTGCTGTGAACATTTATATATAAATGTTTCTGTGAAATGTGTCTTTATTTCTCTTGGGAAAAGACCCAGGAGAGAGATTACTGAGATATATGGTAAGTAGATGTTCAGTTTTATAAGAAATTGACAAAGTTTCTCAAAGTGGTTGTACTATTTTACACTACAATCAGAAATAAATGGGTTCCAGTTGCTTCAAATTCTTGTCCTCACTTGGTATCACCTTTTTTTTTTGTCATTCTAATAGGTGTGAAATGATTTCAATTTGCACTTCCTTGAAGATTAATAGAATTGAGCAGCTTTTTACGTGCTAATTGGCAATTTGTACATCATCTTTGATGAACTGTCTGCTCAATTCTTTGTCTATTTACTTATTTATTTATTATTTTTATTATTATTGAGATGTAAGAATCTACCATATATTCTAGATTTTAGTATTTTGTCGGATAGCACAAATATTTTCTCCCAGTTTGTAGCTTATCATTATATTTTTAACCACGTATTTTACTTTTTAATATATAATTTAAAATTTGCCCTTTAAATCATAATTTAAATTAAAATTTATAATTTAAAGTGTAATCATTTTTAAGTGTACAATTCAGAGACATTAATTACATTCACAGTGTTGAGCAACCATCAGAACTATGTATTCCCAAAACATTTTTATCACTCCAAACAGAAACTCTATAAACTTTAAGCAATAACTCTACATTCTTCCTGCCTCCCAGCACCTGGCACCCTTTAATCTATTTTCTGTCCCAATGGATTGTCTATTCTAGATATTTCACGTCAGTGCAATGATACAATATTTGTGCTTTGATGTCTGGTTTCTTTTGCTTAGCATAATGTTTTTAAAGTTTATTCATGTTGTAGCATCTTTGAGAGATTTATTTGTTTGTTTGTTTGTTTATTTATTTATTTATTTATTTTGAGATGGAGTCTTGCTCTGTCGCCCACGATGGAGTGCAGTGGCGCTGTCTCGGCTCACTGCAGGCTCCGCCTCCCAGGTTCACGCCATTCTCCTGCCTCAGCCTCCTGAGTAGCTGGGACTACAGGCGCCCGCCAACGAGCCCGGCTAATGTTTTGTGTTTTTAGTAGAGACGGGGTTTCACCATGGTAGCCAGGATGGTCTCGATCTCCTGACCTTGTGATCTGCCCGCCTCGGCCTCCCAAAGTGCTGGGATTACAGGCGTGAGCCACTGCGCCTGGCTTATTTCCTTTCAATGGCTAAATTATATGCATATTATGTGATATATATGTATCACATAACATGGTTATAAATAGCACATTTTGCTTATCCATTCAACATTTGGGTTGTTTCTGTCTTTTGGCTACTGTAATTAATGCTGCAAGGAACACTGGCATTCAAGTACTATACCTGTTTGAGTCCTTGTTTTTAATTCTTTTGGGTACATACCTAAGAGTGGAATTTCTAACTCATATGTAATTCTATGTTTAGCTTTTTGAGGAATCACCAAACTGTTTTCCCTAGTAGCTGTACCACGTTACATCCCCATCTGTAATGTATGAGGGTTCTAATTTCTTTACATCTTCACCAACACTCATTACTTTACTTTGCTTTTAGATAATAGCCATCTAATGAGTGTGAAGTGGTACTCATTGTGATTTTGATTTGCATTTTTCAAAGACTAGTGATGTGTTGAGCATCTCTTCATATGATTCTTGGCCATTAGTATATCTTTATGGAAGAAATGTCTACTGAAGTCCTTTACCCATTTTTAAATTGGATAGCTTGTCTTTTTGTTGTTGCATTATAGTAGTTCCTTATATATTTTGAATATTAAACTCTCATCAGATATATAATTTGCAAATATTTCTCCCATTCCATAGGACATTTTCACTTTCTTTATAATGTCTTTTGATGCACAAAAGTTTTAATTGTGATTATGTCCAAATTATCTATTTTTCCTTTGTTACCTAAACCTTCGTTGTCAAAGCTAAAAATTCATAGGAAATCCATTGTTATAAATATTTATGTTATGGCTGGGTGCGGTGGCTCACACCTGTAATCCCAGCACTTTGGGAGGCCAAGGCGGGCGGATCACAAGGTCAGGAGGTCGAGACCATCCTGGCTAACATGGTGAAACCCCGTCTCTACTTAAAAAAAAAAAATACAAAAAATTAGCCGGGTGTGGTGGCGGGCGCCTGTAGTCCCAGCTACTTGGGAGGCTGAGGCAGGAGAATGGCGTGAACCTGGGAAGGTGGAGCTTGCAGTGAGCTGAGATCGCACCACTGCACTCCAGCCTGGGCGACAGAGCGAGACTCTGTCTCAAAAAAAAAAAAAAATTTACGTTATTATGTTTTCTTCCATGAGATTTATGGTTTTAACTCATATATTTAGGTCATTGATCCATTTTGAGTTACCTTTTGCATATGCAGTGGGAGTTAGGGATCCCACTTCATTCTTTTGCATGTGGAAATTCAATTGACCCAGCACCATCTTTTGAATGTGCTATTATTTCCCCATTGAATGAACTTGATAACCTTGCCAAAAATTTTCACAGGTCCTTTAATACAATACTAAATAAAAGTAGTGAGAGTAAATATCCTTACCTTATTATCAATCTTAGGGATGCGTTTGTTTTCAACATTAAATATTGTGTTAACTGTAGATTTTTTGTACACGCTGTTTATCGTGTTGAGGAAATTTCTTTCCCTTTCTAATCGGTTTGTTTGTGTGTCTTGAAGAAGTGTTAAAGTTTTCCAGATAAATCTTTTATGATTTATTAATCTTGTTTTTTTGAGAATTAAGGAAAATATGTTAAGGTCTCCTAATTCCATTAACCTTCCCTTACACTGTCAACATTTATATATACATATATATATTTTATATATATTTGTGCATTATGTTCAGCATATATATATGCACAAATATTCATAATGCACAAATATTTCTAAAATTTATGTCTTTATTGTAGAATATATTATTTCTCAATAAAATGCTATTTCTTTTTGAATATTATTTTTAAATAATTTTTAATACTTCTAATAAGTATGGTATTAATATTATATATTTCTGTCTCTTTTTGTCTCTCTCTGGCATCTCTTTCCAACTTCTTTTTAATTCAACATTTCTTGTAGACAGTATGTCTTTTTATTTAATCTGAGACTTTTTTAAATATATGCTTTAGGTTTAATGTCAAAATTTATGAACATAATTAATATGTGTGGTGTAATAGGTACAATGAAAGAAAGAAAGGAACTTGGCACTGCAGAGATAGAGAACACACAGCTTTTCAAGAACAAACAGAACATATAAAAATAGATCAAGAATTATGTCTGCAAAAAAATTCCAATAATTCCTAAAACAAAATTAATATAGTCCATATTCCCTGAATATAGTGTAATAAAATTAGAAGTTTAAAACAGCTCTGCAGGTAGAACTTCAGAAATGATCCTCTAAATAAATTGTGGTATAAAGACAAAGTCTAAACTAAAATTAACAACTATCTTGATGCTAAAAGACATTAAAGGCAGCATCTGTCAAGAGTTATATTATCTTGCAAAAGTGGTACTGAGCTAAAAAGTTATAGCATAAAAATGCATATACTTTAAAAAATAAAGCTAATAAATTATGCATGTGAAGTAAAAACCTAGAAGAGAAAAAAAGTAAGAGTAAGAAAAATAAAAGGAATTACTAGAGATAAACATAGAAACTAAATTGCAAACAGAAATAAAAAGTAAAGATGATCAAGAAAATTAAAAACAAACTTTAAAATTATCAATAAGATGGCCAAACTTAGATACTTTCACCAGTTAAAAATACAAACAAATAATGCCAGGAATGAGAAAATAAATACCATTTTAGATATAGAGGCAACCTTGTATTAGTCCATTCTCACACTGCTATAAAGAACTACCTGAAACTGGGTAATTTATGGAGAACAGAGGTCTAATTGACTCATAGTTCTGCAGGCTGTACAGGAAGCATGGCTGGGGAGGCCTCAGGAAAGTTACAATCATGGTGGACGGCAAAGGAGACACAGGCACATCTTACCATGCTGAAACAGGAGAGAGAGAGCAAAGGGGAAAGAGCTACACACTTCTAAACAATCAGATCTCATGAGAACCCACTATCACGAGAACAGCAAGGGGGAAATCTGCTCCCGTGATGTAACCACCACCTCCCACCAGGTCCTTCCCCCAACACTGGGAATTAAATTCAACATGAGATTTGGGTGATGACACAGAGCCAAACCATATCAAACATAAGTACGGTTTATGTTATAAATTAAGCATCTTAGTAAGAATTATTTGCTAGTGACACAAATGACAAAAGTTCACCTAAGGAATAGCAGAAATATTGATAATGTCAGGGGAAATATTGAGAGCTTATTGCCCACGATAAAGGGAAATCAGGTGCAGGATGTTTTATGGGTGAGGCTAACTGTACCTTTATAGAGATAACTTCTTTGTTATGTAATGTTTTTCGACTGACATAAAGAAATAGAATTTTTTTAAAATAATTTTATGGGAGTAATATAACACTGATATCAAGATTTAACAAAAAAAGCACAGAAAAGAAAACTTGTGAATACAGATATGAAAATTATAAATGAACTATTCACAAATTAATTTCAGGAATGTGTTAGCAGACTAATATTAATACATTATGCCCAAAAGGTGTATACTGGGAGTGCAAAAGTATTTCAAATTATGAAACATGTGCATTAATTTAATTAGTACATTAACAAAAGAGAACAGTGAATAAACATCTCAATATGGATGAATAAATGATTTGATTCATTACAATATTTGTTACTGACTCAGAAGAAAGAAGCTCTTAGTAAGCGAGTTATAGAAATATACTCTTGAAAGTGACTTAAAAAAATCTACCAGAAGCCTTAAGAAAACTTCATAAATAATAGTGAAATATTTTAAGCGTGGTAGGTTTAACAATGTCCCCTCCCCGCAAAAATGTCTTAATTCCCGGAACTTGTGAATGTGTTACTTTACGTGTTAAAAGAGGGTTTGCAGATGTGATTAAGTTAAGAACCTTGAGACTGAGAGATTATTCTGAATTATCTGGGTGATAGGAATTTAGACAGAGGTGAAGGCAATGTGATGATGGAAGCAAGCAAGAGGTTGGAGCGTTATGAAGAAGAAGCGTTGACCCAAGGAATGCAGGTGGCTTATAGCAGCTGATAGAGACAAGGAACAGATCCTCCCTTGCAGAAGGGAGAGCATGTTCCCCTCAGAAGGAACCAGCCCTGCAGACACTTTGATTATAGCCCTGTACATCACATTCTGAATTCAGACCTCCAGAACTGTAAGGAAATACAGTTGTGGTGGGTTAAGTTACAAAGTTTGTGGTAATATGTTATAGTGGTAGCAGGAAAGCTAATACGAAGATAATCTGCAGTAAATCAGAAATAAGAAAAGGTTCCCAGCTACCACGTCAATATTGATGTTTGCTGAAGATGCTATTCCATGCAATAAAATAAAAGCAAAATGTGTGTATGTGTGTGTATATACACATACACACATATATATATAGACACATATACAAGCACATATATATACACACATGACAAAGATAAAGTTATTGTCCACCAAAAGAAAAAAATCAGCAAGAATCAATAAAAAACTGTAAGAACTAGTAAGAGTCCAGGAAAGTAGCCAGATTAAAATAAATCAATATTAAAAAATTAATAGCTTTCTTATACACCAGCAATGATGAATTTAAAATGTAATAGAAAAATGAGTCCATTTAGAACAGCCACAAAACTCATTAAATACTTATGGTTAGGCCTGACAAGAAAACTTGTAAAACCTATTTAGAATATAGAAGTCTATTGAAGGTCATAACACAGGCCCTGAAAAAAAGAAAAAGTTATACTATGTTCTTGGTTAAGAAGTATTCAGTATTTGAAAGAGGTAAACTCTCCCCAAAATTATTCTATATGTTAAAATTTATCTGAAAATTAAACTCTAAATATAATTTCTAAGGAATGTATAGGATTACTTTAAATTCATTATGGAAAAAATATTCGCAAAACACTAAGACAACATTTGAAAGGAAGACCAGTGAGAAACTAATCCCACCAATTATCAAAACATATTACAGAATTATAGCAATTTAAACAGTGTGGTTATTGCAGGAAACAGTAAGAAAATTGATGGTACATAATATAGAGTTCAGAAATATTCATGTTTTTATAATGATTCAACTTATAAAAATGGATGGACTATATCACATTGATATTTTGACAACTGATTATCAATCTGGAAAGTTTTATTTAGCTCTCTGTATAACCTCACTAGAAATAATGTACTATGGGCAGGTTAAGAAGCTAAATACTGAACAAGTCTCTGAAATTTTGGAAGAAAATACATGAAAATATTACGTATCTTGGAACTGTAATGCTTTTCTAATAATAATACAAATCTAAACATGACAAGAGACATAATCAGCAAACTCAACTGCACATGAATTATAAATTATGTTTGGTTAAACAGATGGAAAAAAATATTTGCACCATGTATGAAAAATAAAGCATTAATCTTAAATACATTAGAATCCTACAAAACAACAAGAAAGGATAGACAGGTTAATAGAAAAATAAGCAAAGGATTTGAAGCAATTTACACACACATACTGACACAAATACAGATGTCAACATTGGTAGTACTCACATTAGATTAGCAAAAATATAAATAAATGATAAATAATTAAGGGCTGGCAAGGTGTTCTGGTTATAATTTACTATGTGACAAATTACCCCTAAATTAACAGCTTTAAGCAACGAATGTTTATTACCTCATTGTTTCTGTGGATCAGGAGTCTGAGAGGTGTTTGGCTGGGTGTTCCTCACTCAAGGCCTCTCATCAGATTATAGTCAAGCTGTTGGCTGGGGCTGCAGTCATCAGGACTCGCCTGGATCTGGATGACCCATTTCTAAGCTCACTCACCTGGTGTTGGTGAGGCTGCAGCTTCTTGTGAAAGGCTGGACTGAGTGTCTCAGTTCCTTGGGTGTGCCATGCCACATGGGCCTCTCTATAGGGCAGCTCACAATATAGCCATCTTGATTCCCCCAGCATGAGAGGAAGGAAGAGAGAAGGAGAGGGAGAAAGAGAATGTGTGTGTGTGTTTGTGTGTGAAAGAGAATGTGTGTGTGTGAGAGAAAGAGAATGAGAATGTATGTATCTGTGTGTGTGAGAGAGAGAAATAATGAGAAAGTGTGTATGTGTGTGTGACAGAGAGGCAGAGAGAGACGGGAAGAGAAGGAGGGAGACGGAAAGGAGATGTGTGTTT
This sequence comes from Homo sapiens, assembly GCF_000001405.40. Classification (NCBI taxonomy): domain Eukaryota; kingdom Metazoa; phylum Chordata; class Mammalia; order Primates; family Hominidae; genus Homo; species Homo sapiens. Next base: position 34,241,983 of record NC_000008.11, read on the forward strand.
GTGAGAGAGAGAGGAAGAAAGTTGGGGAAGGCGGAGAGAGAGAGAGTGAGAATGTGTGTATGTATCTGTGTGCATGTGTGTGACTGAGAAGGAGGGGGAGAAAGAATGAGAGTGAGATTATGTGTGTGTGTGAAAGAGGGAGTGAGGAAAGAGGGAGGGAGAGAAAGTGAGAGAGAGAATGTGAGTGTGAAAGAGGAGGGGCGAGAGAGAATGTGTGAGGAAGAAAGAGAGAAGGAGAGATGGGAAGGGTAGAGGGAGAGAGAGAATGAAAGAGTGTGTAAGTGTGTGTATGTGTGTGTGTGAGCAAGAAGGAGAGGAGGAGAGAGAGAATGAGAATGAGATTATGCACGTGTGTGTGTATATGTGTGTGTGTGAAAGAGAGAGGAAGCCAAGGAAAGAGAGAGAAAATGCGTGTGTGTTGGGGGGAGAGATGACAGAGGAGAGAGAGATGAGTGAGAAAAAGGGGGAGAGAGAGAATGTGTGTGTGAGAGAAGGAGGGAGAGAGAAAGTGTGTGAGAGAGAGAGAGGAAGAGAGATGAGGAGGGGAGAGAGAGAAAGGGAAAGAGAATGAAAACGTGTGTATGTATGCATCTGTGTGTGAGAGAGAGGGAAGGAGGGAGAGAGAATGTGTGTGAGAGACACAGAGGAGGGGGCAAGGGTGAGAGACAAAGAGAATGTGTCTGTGTGAGAAAAGGGAGGGGTGGGGGGAGAGAGAGAAAGAGAATGAGAATGTCTGTATGCATGCCTATATGTGTATGTGAGAGAGAAAAAGGATGGGGGAAAGAGAGAGAGAGGGAGGAAGAAAGAAATTTGGAAGCCACAGTCTATTTATAGCATCCCATCACTGAGATATTCTATTTGTTAAAAGCCAGTCCGTAAATCTAGTCCACACTCACGGAAAGGGGATTACGCAGTATATGAATATTGGGATGCAGGGATCATCGAGACCCATTTTAGAAGCTTCATAATCTTCACTGGTAAATAGGCTATTGGAATTAAGCCAGAGAGCAGTTTGGTATTACCCACCAAAGCTTAAAGGGCACAAACCCTGAACAAAAATTCCTGAAAGTTTTCTTTATAAATCTGTTCCATAGACATATTTGCACAAGTGTTTAAAAATTCATACATAAGAATGTTCCCTGAAGAACTGTATTAGTGAATATTGAAAGCTCCCTCAATTCTAATTTACCATTAAACAAATACAGTTCAATGTATCTAGGAATTTGGTGCAATTGTTGGAGAGAAAGAGGTAGAATTATGTACTGAGAAGGAAAGTACATTAGCTGTGTTCGTTTTTTAAAATTAAATATGTTTTAGCTTATTAAGGAATAATTGATGTACACAAAATTGCACACAATTAATGTATACATCTTGATCAGTTTGGATATAGGCATACACCATGGTACTATCACCACAGCCAAGGTACTAAACATGTCCATCACTTCAACAAATTCAATGTGTTCTTTTATGCGTGTGTGTGTGTGCATGTGTATGTATTTTGGTAAGAACACTTAACATGAGATCTTACCTTCTCAGATTTAAAGTGCACGATACTGTATTGTACTATGTTGAACAGCAAATCTCTAGAACTTATTTATCTTGTATAATAGAAACTTTATACCTATTGAAGAATGACTGCCCCTGCCAATGGCAACCACCATTCTATTTTCTGCTTCTATGAGTTTGACAATTTTAGACACCTCATTTAAGTAGTATCATGTAGTATTTGTTCTTCTGTGACTGTCTAAGCCATATTGTTAAGTGACAAAAGCCAAGTTATGAAACAGTGCCTTTACTCCAGGAGAATCTCATTATAAAAAAAAGAATAAATGCAAAAGTAAAAATAAAGTTAAAAATAGAAATAAGTTTTTATATAGTTATATTTTTAAAATATATTTTACATTATAAACTTGTGAAGTGTTTGAAATTCTTTTGAATAGAAAATTTATAATTAAAATAATTTTTTAAATAAAAGAATATTTATAGGCATAAGTACTTTTAAACAATTACGTTACTAAGAGTACTTTTACTTTAATTGGATCCTAAGAAATTTGACATGATTTAAGTTCAGATAAACATTATTCCAGATATAGACATTTTTCTTTTACTAACTAGATATCAGTTAGAAATTGTGTAATCTGAGATTATGTCTCATATCTATAGTAAGCTTAAGTTCAAATAGTGGAAAAAAATATGTTCCAGAAAGTCATAGATAATATTTATATTAATATCATTTATCATATATCATATATTACATATGATATATATGTAATAATATATCATATAATTATTGATATAATAATATATAATATAATATATATGATTTATTATATACCAGATATATATAATATATTATGAAATATTATATATCATATATTAATATTTATATCAATAGGATTTTTATGAAAATCTCTGTAGGACAATAAGTTGATGGATCATTAAATATAGGAGAACAGCTCAATGGATTTTCCTTCTGATTAAAATAATAATGCTAATAAAAGTAAGCCAGTCAAATTGTATGACAAAAGTTGTTATATACTCTTTCCTCTTTTGTCTATTTATTACTTTTACTATTTAGGTTTCTGTTTTGTTGTAATACAAATATTCTAAAACAAATAATGTTATTCAAATATGAACAAAAATCTCACAAATTGTAGATATATATTTTTAAAAAAGGCAAAACCTCAATTACTGTTGCACCAACCGAATAACTTGATGCGGTTTCACATAATGCACATATCCTGTAACTTACAGTCAGGAGAGACTGAATACCACCAGCACACACGAAACACCTTCATGCACCCTACTGGCCACACCCTATTGAAAAACACTGTCCTAATTTCCAATGCAATCCATTTGAAATGTATATGAACACATTCATACTAAATGCATTATTCTGTGCCTGATTTCTTTTTCTCAGTATTGGGTTTGGAAGGTTCACTTATGCCAAATGACTATTTATCTACACCACTACAGTCAATGGACAATTTGTGTTGTTTCAGTTTTTGGGTACTTGCAAATTATGATTCTGTGGTCACTCTTGATCTTGTCTTTTGGGACTCATATGTGTATCTGTTAAGTATATACCTAGGAAAATGAGAGTATGCATAAGTTGTACTTCAGTGGATACTTTAAAACAATTTCTAAAGTGATTTGTCAACTTACTCTCACACCAGTACCTTCCAGGGGCTTCCTGTCCTCTTAGCACTTTCTACAAGGAATTTGTTTGTTTTTAAGCATTTCTATTGATTACGTTGTGAAATCTCATTTGGTTTTAAGTTACATTTATTTTATCTTCATTATTACTAGCTTTTTACACAATTATTCACCATTTTGATGTCTTCTTTTTGAAGAAATTGATCAAGTCCTTTGCCATTTTGTTTTCAATTTTGTTTTATATCTTCCTCTCATTGGTTTATAGTGGATCTTTATATATTTGGTGAATCACTTATCAGGTAGATATTACAAGTGTCTTCTACCACTATATGACTTGCCATTTTACTCTTAGTAATGCCTTTTGTAAAACACAATTTCTTTTTTTTAATTCTTTTTTTTTTTTTTTTTTTTTTAGTTTTACTTTAAGTTTTGGGATACATGTGCAGAACATGCAGGTTTGTTACATAGGTATACACATGCCATGGTGGTTTGCTGCACCTATCAAACCATCATCTAGGTTTTAAACCCCCCATGCATTAGGTATTTGTACTAATGCTCTCCCTGTCCTTGCCCCCCATACCCCAAACCGACAAGTCCAGGTGTGTAATGTTCCCCTCCCTGCGTCCATGTGTTTTCTTGTTGAACTCCTACTTATGAGTGAGAACATGCAGTGGTAAAACAGAATTTCTTTAATGTAGCCCAATGTTTGCCTAGGTGAAAGGCATTAAGATATCCTTCTTTGTTACATTCTAGTACATGTATTGGTTTACTTTTTACAGTTAGATTTACAATGCACTTGGAATTGATTTTGTATATGGAGTGAGACAGAAATTAAGACATATTTTTCCACGTGGATAATAAATTGACCCAGTATAATTTACTAAAAATACTATCTTTTCCTCACTTCCACATAATGCCATTTTTATCATAAGTCAGATGACTAGCTATGTGCTATTTTTTTTTCTGGATTCTTGATTGTTTTTCAATGCTCTCATTGTTCTCTGTGCATTAATGTAACACTGTCTTATATATTATATTTTATAATATTTTTGATGCAAAATTTGTAGGTATCCCAAATTTGTTCTTCTTTAAAGTCATCCTTGCTATTCTTTGTCCCATGCATACTCATATGAATTTTACATTTATTTTTGTCAATTTTCCTAAATGTTTGTCTGTTTTTATAAAAAAGTGTTTGTTAGTCATATTGTTCAAATATTTTTGTATTTTTACTGATTGGCTGTCTGCTTGATCTATGAATTACTAAGCAGATATTAAAATCTCCCACTGTTATCGTGTATCTGCCTATTTCTATTTTGATTTCTGCCAATTTTTCCTTTTTGTATTTTCAGGCTATACATTTACGGGTATATAAATTTTAAATGATTATATTTTCCTTTTATCATTATGGATTACCCCTCTTTCACTCTAGGAAATTTCTTGACCTAAAAAATCACTTTGAGGTTCACCAACTTTCTTTTGGTTAGTGTTTTCATAATATAAATCTTTCCATCCTTTAATTTGCAACCATTTCATATTCTTATATTTAGGGTGTGTCTCTTGTAAGTTGCCTTCAGTTGTTTTTTTTTATCTCAGTCTCACAAGTATTATCTTTTAATTTAAATATGTATTTCAGTTCTACTTATTTTATTATGACATATTTGAGCTTGAGTACACCATCATACTGTTTGTTTACTATCCCATCAGTCAATTACTTAAAATTTATTTTACAAAAATGACTATATGCAGTTAATTTTCTATTCTCATGTCCTAAAATATAAATTATAGTATAAATTATAACAAAGGAGACAAAAATAAAGGACTGTGATATTTCCGTAACCTGGAAGCTAAACTGGTATTCTTGATGAATTCTGCTTATTTCCATGGTGATAATGAGATATGAGAGTACAGGACTGTCAGAAGGTCAAGGTTAGAGGATGAACATTGCTGTTTTCAAGGACAATCTTGTACTGAAGTAGATGTTCTGCTTGCGTGTTTGTATTATTTGATAATAAATGTTGAATGAGCCTGACACAGGTCTACGCATGAAGGCAAACTTATGTGTTCCCCAGTGTATGTTTAAACCTGCTAAATAGGACTGTTCCATCCCTACCTTGGTCTCTGAATGCATATGCATCAGGTCCCCAGGACTCCTCTGGTCACTCCTGGCTAAAATCTTATGGTCACAAATTCAAAAACAGCTTTAATTTATACAGACATTTTTGCAGTCCCAAAGAAAACTCAGACTCTGGCCCTGACCTTACATTCTATCTTTGTCCTTCTTAATTTGGGTCCTGTTGCAGGTATTTCCATTAACTTGTGTGTTTCTAGGAGTTTTTCTCTTCTCTCTCTTCACACAATGTGTCCCCCTCTTCCCTCCTCCACATTTTTTTTTTTTTTTGAGATGGAGTCTCGCTTTGTCACCCAGGCTGGAGTGCAGTGGTGAGAACTCTGCTCACTGCAACCTCCGCCTCCCGGGCTCAAGCGATTCTCCTGCCTCAGCCTCCTGAGTAGCTGGGACTATAGGCGTGTGCCACCATGCCGGGCTAATTTTTTGTATTTTTAGTAGAGACGAGGTTTCGCCATCTTAGCCAGGATGTTCTCGATCTCCTGACCTCGTGATCCGCCTGCCTAGGGCTCCCAAAGTGCTAGGATTACAGGCATGAGCCACTGTGCCGGGGAAGGCCTCCTCTTCCCCCTTCTTACTATGCAGAGCCTACCAGCATCAGAGTCAGGGAAAGGAAGAGAGGTCAGTGGGATAGGAATTTGTTTCCCTTGGCTTGTGTGATGTTTGGGGGCCTTTGGCTCTTTGGGTCTCTCTGGTATTTAGAGTTTACTTTCCTGTGGGTGCTTTCATAGATTTTTCAGAGAATCCTACTAGAAAAATTAAACTTGCTTTGACTCCTTAGACACGGCAGTGCATTTTCTTCCAGGTGGATGCTACTGCCTTAGCCTGTTTCTTTTTCTTTTTTGTCTAAGTGATTTCACAAAGACGATCATAAAGTATTGTGAGGTGAATCCAGCTGGACTTCCTGGGTCCAGTGGGGACTTGGAGAACTTTTCTGTCTAGCTAGAGGATTGTAAACTCACCAACCAGCACTCTGTAAAAATGCACCAATCAGTGCTCTGTGTCTAGCTAAAGGATTGTAAACGTACCAATTAGCACTCTGTAAAATGGACCAATCAGCACTCTGTAAAATGGACCAATCAGCAGGACGTGGGTGGGAACAAATAACGGAATAAAAGCTGGCCACCCCAGCCAGCAGTGGCAACCGCTTGGGTCTCCTTCCATGCTGTGGAAGCTTTGTTCTTTGGCTCTTCATAATAAATCTTGCTGCTGCTCACTCTTTGGGTCCACACTAGCTCTATGAGCTGTAACGCTCACCACAAGACTCTGTAGCTTCATTCCTGAAGTCAGTGAGACCACAAACCCACCAGGAGAAACAAACACCTCCAGACATGCCACCCTTAAGAGCTGTAACACTCACTGCGAGGGTCTGCGGCTTCATTCCTGGAGTCGGTAAGACCACAAACCCACTGGAAGGAACAAAGTCTGGACACACCATCTTTAAGAGCTGTAACACTCACCGTGAAGGTCCGCGGCTTCATTCTTGAAGTCAGTGAGACCAAGAACCCACCGGAAGGAATAAATTCTGGACACAGTATCATTCCTCAGAAAAATAGCTACAATCACTTTATATTTATCAGGTTCCCAAACTTAGAGGTTGCAGAGCAACTTCTGTGAGTAATCCTGTTGATGTTCTTCTCTTTCGACTTCAGAGGAAACGTACTGTATCCTTCTCATGCTTCCCTGTTGTATAGAGAAGACACTAATCTCAGGACAGTTCCCTCCAAAAGGCCTTTTTCATGAATTCCTTCTATCTCCAAAAACTTTTATTCATTTGATGTTTATGAGTTGCCCTACTGATTCTGAGAATCTATCTGGAGATTTTTGCTGTATAGAACCTCTCATAATAGGCTTTGGTATCAGTCATCATTTACATCCTGGCTCCTGAGTTGAAACTGCCAAATAATATTCATTAATTTGTTCATGCATTCACGTATTCATTCATTCATGCACACATATATTTAATACATATTGATTACTTACTATATGCTAAGCACTATTTTTGATGCTTTGGCTAGGGTAAAGAAAGGAAAAAGACCAAAATTTCTGCCCTTTTTCTAGAGAGAGATAAACAAACAAATTATAAATAAGTTATATTGTATATGAGAAGCTGGTAAATGAGCGCAGAAAAATAAAGCAGGGAAGAGAAACTGGAGATGGGGTGGGGATATGGAGACAATTTGAAATAGAATGATCAAGGATGGCCTCACTGATCTGAGAGAAGCCCATGATCAGAGAGAAGACCTGTGTGTAAAGAGTGTTCCAAACGGATATAACAGCAAACGCACAGGCCATGACCTGGGAGCGTGCTTGTCTTGTTTGAGAAACATAGGGAGGCCAATAGATGCAATAGCATGATGGATGGGGAGAGTAGTAGGAACTGAAGCATAGAATAATTGAGAAACTAGAGTGCAGAGAGAGTCAACCACCCTACCTGGCTCCACCCTGAGTTACAAAGAAAAGCATGGCAAGGATAGGAACAGAGGAGTGACTGCCAGCTGAAGTTTTTAAATGATAATGTCTTCCTTTTTATAAAAATATGCTATACGAGAGATGCGTGTGAAAGCAGGGAGACTCGTTAAAAAGCTATTGCAATATTCCAAGCAAGAGATGATAGTGGATTGGATCAGAGAGGTAGCAGGCAAGGTGGCAAAACAGAAAGGTTAAGTCAGGGATACATTTTGAAAGTAGATGCAAGAGGATTTCCTGACAGATTTAATGTGAGATGTGGGAGAAAGAGGAAAGGTGAAGGTGATTTTGGAGGCCAACATTTTTGGTCTGAGGAGCTGAAAGAATTAATTACAATGAAGGCACATGAGGGGAGGGGTAGGCTGCAAGGGGCTGCAGAAAGGTAGTGAACAAGGCCAGGGGTTCGTGTTCATTTTTGCACATGCTTAAGTTAATTTACTAATAGATATCCTACTGGAGGTATTGAGTAGGCTGTTAGATACATGAATTGGGCGTTCAGGAGTTTAGCAGAGAGGTCTAGACTCAAGACATTAATTAGAGAATCATCAGAATATGCATGACAGAATTGGATCACCAAGGGAGGAAGTATTAACAGGGAAGAGAAATAGAAGTTTAGGTATGGACCCAAGGTCATACAAAAGGCCGGACAATGAGGAGAAGCCAGCAAACAGACTGTAGGATAGACCAGAGAAATAAGAGGAAAACAAGAAGAATGAAGTCTTGGAAACTAACAAGAAGAATGTAAGGATGAGGGTGTGGTCAACTGGGTCAAATGTTCTCATAGGCGTAGTAAGTTCAGAACTGCATATTGATCATTAAATTTAACAACTTGGAGGTCACTGATGACCTTGACAAGAGCACTTTCAGTGAAGTAGTAAGTCTGTTTAGATAAAATAAAAGAGGAAATGGAAAAAGTTAAAAATTTCAGGTATGGACCAATTAATACAAGTTTTGCAATAAATTAGAGAAGAGAAATGGGGTGGCAGATAGAAGGGAATTGGAGTCAAGAGTGGACTTTCAGAGAGTTCAATGTTTGTATGCTGATGGCAGTTATCTCCTAAGAGAGGAATATTGTTCAGGCAAGGAAGAAGGAGTTTTCACTGAAGCCATGTCCTTATGTAGAAGAGACAGGATGTAATCAATTGCCTAGAAGAAGAAGTTTCCCAAGGACTGAACTATGAGAGAAGAGGAGTTCAAGAAACTGTGAAGCTGGAATACGAAGAGAATCATCTAAATGGATATTTAATGTCCCGTGATGTCATACTGAAGTGAGGTTGGAGAGTGTTACAGAGAGCCAAAACTGCAACTGTGATGGTGAGTGACCCAAGGAGGATGGCAAAAACGAGGAAGTAAAAGGGGAATGGGTAGTAAAATCAATGATAAGGGATTGGAGCTGAGATTTTACTAATTTGGAGGGCTTTAGAGAAGCAGTAACTTTACAGTAAGAAGATGAAAGGAACATTGAGAGAAGAATTCGAGAATGCATTTCTTTGTGTTGAGCAGTCATGAATTCTAGAAGGCACAGTGGAAGGTTTTTGGTAGTGAGAATGTTAGGAGATGAGGACAGAATGTAGGATATGTAGTCTTAGGAAAATTAGGGTAAAGGAAATGAGTGGGTACTCAAAATTCCTAGGCTTCTTGTAGTTCTTAAGTGGCAATAAAGAATATAATGAGATTAATCATAGAGACTCAAAGCAGATAGTGAAGCTGAGACTCTGTTGGGGCCAGAAGGTTTAGGAGGACCATAGGCACATGACCCATTCTAATGAAGGGTAGGATTCTCACTGTAATGCTTTTTTTCTCATCCAGAATATGCCCAGATTTCTTTTTTTAACATTATATTGATTTAATTAGTGTGTATGTACTAGAAACAGCACATATTATTTTGACTTATTCAGTTTTGTTATTTAGGTCATTTGATCAGTTTAATAATCATGAAACTAATTAGTAATCACAAAATATCTTTGCTTTGCAACTCCATTACATAATGCAAAATGATTAAATGAAATTTAACATATGGCACAGGCTTAGTCTTGTTTTGGGTGCTGTGAAGTATGGGGAAAGGGTGCTTTTTATCTATTGCATTATTTATTCTGGTTGCAATGATCTAGTTACATTAGAAATTGATAAAGAAAAGTGTGTGTTTTTAATACAAGGCAAGGGGAGTTCCCAAGGAGGGTTGCAATGTGGGGCTAGACATTATTCAAGTTCTGGAAACTCTTCTGACAATATTTCTTAAGGTCTTAATCAATCAGGGTTCAATATTTGATTTTAATGATAGTTTGTATTCTACAGCATGAATTTAGATTTGAGATGGAGAGAACTCAGCCTTCCCTCACAGCATTCTGTTAGCATTTTCCTTCAGCGTTTGCTCTCAGACTTCACCAAAGATGTCCAAATGGACAGCTCTGACAGGTGGCTCCTCAGAGAGTCCTCTTGCCTGCGCTTCTTGTTTAGTAGAAGTGACAGCCAAAGATGGGTTAGAAGAGCCTGGCAAAACAAGAGGTAGCTAAAACTCATGAAGTGTCAATAATGGATTATGTCAGGGTCAAGGAGAGAGTTGGGGGAAATAGTTTGAGAAAATGTATTAGGGATACACACAACCAATCAGTTTTGTTTGTCTGTTTCTTCAGTGTGAAATTCAACAAAATGAAGCTAGAGAACAAGTGTTCTTGGACATATTAGTAATTCTCAGTTATTAAAGAATTAAATTCTGATAGGGGAATAAAGTCTGATTGACAACTGTCTCCTTTGATCCCTTCCTCAGCTTGTTACACACACACACACACACACACACACACATTATTCTTTATCTCATAGATTTCAATCACTGCCAACAGCAGTAGAATCTGGTTTATATGTGTTCCAACTGCTGACTTCCTATTAATTTATTCAAGAAATATTTATGGAGTATCTTTTATGCCCCAGCTACTATTCTAGGCACTGGTGATTTCACAGTTAACAGGATGGTTAAAGTCCCTGATTGTATAGATGTATCTATTCTAGTGTTTGTGTCGGCAGGAGGAGAGTAGAAACAATAAATGTGTTAGTAAATAACAGGCAGACCTGGCATATTATAAACAGGAAATTAGAATTTTAATATTTATGTTCATGAATCACATAGAAACATGCACCTGTGCTTGAAATATATGTTATCACACAGCTAGGAGGAACATAAAGATATATGACATAAATTACTGCCCTCATTTCATTAGAAGGAAATTTGAGACAGAGATGGTGATTGTGAATTGTATAAAGTCAATCTAAAGTAGAGAAATTGGCAATTACTATTAAGTCAAATCAATACTTAATTTCAAATTAAAGGGTAGTTTATTTCTAACGGTCTAAAACTTGGGCAAACCCCTCCAGTTACACAACTACTTAAACTATAGAAAAATTCTAGTCATATGTATTAACATTGTTCCTTTCTAGTGTGTAATCCTTTGATTACCATTACTCCTGCATCCATATTTTTAAAGACTTCATGCTTGTTGTTTACCACTGAACTATATATCGGTTGTACATAACTAAGTCTAGATTCTATGATTCTTTTGCTTAACTTTATAGACAAGAAAGTGATAGAAACCTGAAATTTATTCAGATTGGGAATTAGATTTAGGATGCAATGACTTCTAATAGTGTTCTACCTTGTTGTAGAGGGATGTTTTCGGATCACACACTGAGTCTGTGGTTTACTGCACTTTCTCACCAACTAAGAGCCTTCAGCAAGGTTACTCTAGATTACTTACATGTAAGATTATATTAGTGGATAGTTGATTTTAAAAAATCACTTCTCCTATCAGCCAAGTCTGTCCTCACCCCCTTACCACTCAGAGCAATGCATTGTGGTTGTCCTACTTTTCCCCTAATACAAACTTTACTCCTAAGTCCTTCTGGCTACTTCATCCTTTTTAGTCAAATATTTGCCAGACAAAAGTAGTTTCCCCTCTTGGAGTATTGTCCTTTCTCTGATGACAGTGTCAAGGCAGATTTAGACTACAGCCCATTCTCTGCAGTACTGACCCTTCACTAATATCTGGGATTTTATTCTCTCATATCAATTTCTTTTGTTGAAAGCAGCAGGAAGCCCAACCAAAATAGCTAAGTTTTTTCAGGCAATATTACACATGCATGTGCAGACTGGCTAGCATTAAAAAAGAGAAGGTCAGGTTCAGGGATCTCATGCTAGTTACGTGTAGACACAGACTATTTCAAGAACAATTTGCTTTTCCTTCAACACTTTTAGATTTGGTTTACTTCCCTGCCTGTATCAGGCCTCCTTAACAGTTGTAACTCTTTTTTTTTTTTTTTAATCCAAAGCAAAGACAGAAGGGGAAGTGATCACAGCACCCAAACAAAATGCACTTCCTGCAAAATGGTGGCTTGCAGAAAGATCTAATTTTTTTTGGTCAATTTAGTGCTTAAAAAACAGAGTTCAACATATTAGTTTGAAAATGTCCTGTTGTAGTTTAGAAAAAAGAAGAAGACACACACGCAGAGGTCTGTTCACAATCTCAGAAGGTCATTTCTAATATCCTCTACCATTATTATGCATTTAAAAATAAATCATAAGAAAAACCAGACTATTATTGAGTTTATGTTAGATGAGGATTACTCATATCTTTCCGAAATAATATTTTTGTTTCCTAATGAAAAATATCTTTGTGTATACCATTTGTAAAATTTCAATATATACACATTCCCAGAGGTTTATTCACTACTTGGCTCCACCAGATATCTAAGATTGCATATAAGGGATACATAAAATAAAAAGGTAGAACAGAAAACAGAAGATGAAAGAGGAAAACAAATGGACAAAAACAATTCCAGGGCTATGAAGCAAAGGTAGAAAGGAGGCCCTTACAGAGACGTCCACCAGAGTCCTCTTCATCAAGCATGGAACATACATTTGGCTCCAAGCTTTCTTACAGTCCTACATAAGGATCCATCTGCTATGAGAATATGGCTTATAATAGTTAACCACGAGCAGACCAAGAAGATAAAATTTATTACTACTTAAAATAGAAACTTTTTCCCTGAGATCATTGTAAATAAGATTATGTATAATATAATAAAAAACTCCCTCTTCGTATTTTTAAAGCAGCTGCAGAAGTAGAGCAGCCAAATGATTTCTTCTAAAGGCCTGCAATGTAGGATAAAGATGTCATTTTCTTGTGAAGTCCTGTAGGGGCCTAGAATTGTGGGTCTAGAAAGAACAGTTCTCAAATATTAATGGGTATTAGGAGCAGCTGGGTAGCTCATTAATGTGTGGACTCCCAGACCCTACCTCCCCAGGAGGTTCTCATTCATAGGTCCAAAGGCAACCCTAGAATATGCATTTTAACAAGCATTTCAGGTGATTCTGATGAGGGACATATTTAAGAGCATCTATGTGACAGTGTCAGTGTTTTTGATACTTGACAGATGATGCTTTCATGGCAGATACACTGCTAAAGACACATATAAGACAGACTTCAGGCATCTTCATGCTTTTTCTCCCACTTGAAAAACACATTTCAGTATGCAAGCTAGCCACAATGATGTTGGAAGAATAACCCTATGTCTGCTCTAATTATTTACTTTAAATAAATCATTTGCAAATTTCACTCTTTTAATTCTACTACTAATAAATAGCCTCCAATATATTCCACAATTGACAACAATGTACTGCTATGTCATTAACGCACAAATTACCTAGAGATGAACGTGAGGTCTGCATATTTTTCAGACAATGCTTGGCAAATGTAATTTATTTCACCTTTTTAAAGATAGATATTGGGTGAAGACTAAACTACCTGGCAGAGACCTAGAATGCAGCTGTTCTAAATTGCAAATTAAATCTAAATAATATGTTTTAAGTGCAGCCAAGCTGGGTGGAAGATTTTTTATGTGGTGAAAATTGAGGACTTAATAAGTATGTGTCCTGGAAGAGACGGCCTTTCCACTTCCACTTGCCAAGTCTAATGTTCTTCTTAAAATATATTTTCAATTCTTATACTTAGGTTAAACTTATAAGTAAGTTTAACCTAAGTTATATCTCAACCAAGAAAGAACAATATGTATGAATCGTCTAAAGGACACTTAGGTTTGCAAAATGTTATTTGTTGATATCCCTTACAAGATAAATTATAATTAACAGTGAGCCCAAATGGTGGGCTGATGTAGAGCCTTGATTCTCAAAGTGTAGTCTTCAGAGCAGGCGCATCAGCGTCAGTTTGTCAACTTGTTACAAAACCAAATTCTCAAGCTCCACCTAGACAAAATGAATATGAAACTCGGGAAATGGGGTTCAACAGTCTGCTTTCACAGGCTCTGCAGGTGATCCTGATGGATGATAAAGTTTGAGAACCACTGCTCCCTAGCATACTAAGATTTGGGGAACATGGGAACATCTGCCTAAAATAATAACTTTGGTTGTGGGAAGGTGATTTTTAAGTCCTGTTTTTCATAACAGGGAGAGCTTGAGTTTATATGTATAAATGCATACATGTGAGATCTCATTTTACCAAGCACTTCTATCTGGTTTATTTCAAACTGTGCTCATTTTTATCTATTTTGTTTGTTCTTTATTACAGGTTGCAAGATGGTGGCTTGCAGGAAGATCTAATATTTTTGGTCAGTTCAGTGCTTAAAAAATAGATTTCAACACTATTAATTTGAAATGTCCTGTTCTAGTTCCTTGCAGGTTGCCACACTGATTTTTGCCCCATTCGGAGATCTGTGTCACAGTCTGGCTCCTGGATGCTTTCTGCTACACCACGTCAGGTCAAAATGACATTAATTTAAATGATACCATTTTTTAGCCTTAACTCTTGCTATACTTTCTTAAACTGCCTTATTCCAGTGATTCTTCTTATATTTTACCAAATGTACCTTGTAATTTTTCACTTTCTGTCTTTGCATATTATGTTATCCTTTCCTAGGATGCACTTTTCATTCCTTTTTCATATTAAAAGCATTCTCCAGAAGCAGCTGAAATCCCATTTCTACCTTAAAGTCCAGCCCAACATAATAATCTCTATTGCCATTTGTATGTGTGTGTGTGCAGGAAATGTCATCTGCATAGATTATATCTATCCAGTGAAGTGTTAAGCTTCTTCAAATGGGCTGTATCTTCTATTACATACATAGGTCCAACTATTTTGTACGTAGTAGTTACCTTATACACTTTTTAAATTAACTTTCTTTTTTTTCTTTTGCCTCCCCCTCCCCTCCCCTCCCCTCCCCTCCCCTCCCCTCCCCTCCCCTCTCCTCTTCTCTCCTCTCCTTTCCTCTCCTTTCCTTTTTTAAGACAGGGTCTTGCTCTGTGTCCCAGGCTGGAATATAATGGCATGATCTTGGCTCACTGAAACCTCCACCTCCCAGGCTCAAGAGATTCTTCTGCCTCAGCCTTCTGAGTAGCTGGGACTACAGGCAAGTGCCACCATGCCTGGCTATTTTTTGTATTTTTTGTAGAGTTGGGGTTTTGCCATGTTGCCCAGGCTGCTCTCGAACTCCTGAGCTCAAGCAATCCACCCACCTTGGCCTCCTAAAGTGCTGGGATTATAAGCGTGAGCCACCACACCCAGCTGATTAATTTTTTTTTATTAACATTATCTACTGAACAGATTTAAAACCTCAGTGTATACTAGGTATCACCTGCCTTTTAAAGAACATTTACTCAGCCCTCTAGAGCCAGTTCTGTTCTTGTGCAGAAATGAGCTCAGCTGGCAAAGTAGAGTCCATGATTAACTAAGCTATAAAGGAATAGACCAGGGATTGGCAGAGGAGAACAGAGCTACCTCTGAGGGGCCTGTCTAGAACGCTGCACAGAACAGAAACTCTCTCCTTAAGGTGTTATCAAGCTAGTCCAAGCAAAGAGAGAATGAACTCACTGTAGGCTAACTAGCTGTGGCTACTGAACTGAATTATTGAAGTCTGCAGTGCCTCCAAAGATCTAGAAAATTGAGGTCCAAAATGACTTATGGAATTTCAGAGTTTTTTATTTTACTCTCATAATCAATAAATATGTATTTAGTCCATAGTGTGTATAAGTAATTGTCCAAGATATTGAGATAGATAGTGAACAAAATAGACAAAGATCCCTGTCCTTGTGAAATTTATAGTCTAGATTACCTATGTGTCCAAATATCAGCTCTGTAATAGCATTTTTATATACTGAATCATCTGACCAATTGAACTGTAATGCTACACCTATTATGAGGAGATCACCCTTTAGTAGAGGAATTTCCAATAGTGGCTACTACTCACATTTCCTGGAGGGTAATGACATACATTTATGTGGGTAAAGGCATGCATTTTAATCTGGGTGGCCAATATTATTAAGTGCTCTCTTTCTGACTATGATTGATTGAATTGTAATAAAATCTTGATTGCATTATTCAATACTGCAATTATTTTTTTAGTTGCTAGTAACGCTTGTACTGACCACAGGGAAATTTCTAGGGTTCTGAACAAATAAAAATAACTTTTATTTGTGCAGTAATTTCTCTTGGACAAAATGCTTTCTCTTATGTTATCTCATTTAATTACAGGGACTGTGATATGAGGTACATACTATTATTTCCATTGCATACTTAAGAAAATGTTCAGAAAATTTGAGTGGCTTATTCCTCTGCCTCCTAAATCCATTCTCTTTTCAGTCTCATGTGTTACCTCTGCCTTGTGCTAATAGTGGGTTATCATCAGCTCACCATTAGAGGCTGCTAGCAAGCAAACCTCTGGTTCATAAAACTGAAACCCTATTTTGAGGTTAAGTTTACTCTTTACTTCCTTGGACTGATTGATTTTTTAGAAGTAAATCAGACTTGTTACTTTATTTGGCAGAAAAGTATTTTTAAAAAACTTAAGAAAATGTGCAAATTTGGTCACTAACTCTATCATAAGGAAAGTCAATGAAAACCCCAAGGCATTTCTAATGTTTTCACTGCAGAAAAGGTCACCCGGTTAAAATGACTCTTTGATGATAACTTAGTTGTGGTATAAAAGGCAGAAACATTGTGATATGTAGAGTTTGCAAAGGGAACACTCTGGGAAGTGTTAACTATCCAGCATTCTGAAATCCCCTTAGAGCCCCCTGCACAAGGAATGCTAAACTTATTTTCACATGTTTGTAACCTAATTAGGTCTTCAGGGATAGTCTCCTGAGGTCAGAGACTAACAATATGCCAACCCTCAGCACTGCTGTATTCACCTTAAAAAAAAAGAAAGCTTTCAGTCCTTCAGGAATAACAGTTTCATTAAAGCAAGTAAATTCCAGGGAAAAACAATCAGGTTGTAAAGAATTTACATCCTCCTTTTTATAAATGATCCTCCTGGCTCTCTCTTTTTTAATCTTCCTAAAAGTTGGTTGGTTTTTTAATCTTCTTAAAACTGTCACTTCCCTTCCTTTCTCCCATTTTGCCCAAGCGTAGTCATTTTGATGTATTTGCAGCAGCCGAGAAGCCATTGCTGAAGACGTATGTTCTAAATATTTTCCTCAGATTCCATGTAGCTACGTAATGTGTAGAGACATTTTTCAGTGGTGCTGGGTACTGTCTTGGGGATTCAAAACTACCCCTTGAGGTACAAAGTCCTCTGTGTTAAACCTAAAATAGTAATGTTCGTTTCAATCATTTAGATTATAACTGTAGAAATGTCCTACAGGTTAGATTTTTATCATCAACGACACTTCTGTATCTATGCTTTCTTGAGGTTTAAGCCTTCTAAATGTGTTTTTCTTTAGCAAGCAACCAGTCTAACTCACCTGCTGTTTCTATGAAATAGAGCAAAAATATGGCTTGATGAAATTTAATAGCTGATCCTTGTTTAGATATAATCTTCCCAATCAAGTTATTCTAGTGGGTGCACCTGGTTTAGGCTATAACTGCTTCATTGGAGTGGAAGACAGCAGATGAATAATATGGCGAAAGCAGAGGACAGTTGAAGCCTAGGCTGAGTTTAGCTAGTTCCTGGTGAGTATTTTGTGCCTTGTGGTTGATAAGAGTAAGGGATAAATTCCTTACCACAACACCTCGTGCGAAGATTGGTTTAAAGTGGCTGATTACCCGAAAGGCTCTCAGGAAAGAAAACCAGAGCTCAAATCAAATAGAGTAGAAAATAAAACAGTGAAGTAATTGTAAACAATTATCACCAGAAACAAGTACTGTGCAAATTATATACTCCTAAGTGGCACTAGATCATTGTCATATTAAATATATTCTAGCAACAGTTCTATGGACCTATGCCTTTTTAATGACTGAATAATTCTTAGACCATAGTGGTAAACTATAACTCTAAACCCTTTCTTTTTGTGTGCCTTAATATTCCAAATACAGTATTATGAGACTTTTTAATTTTTAATATATCAAATATTTAATAGCTATACTTACTAAAATAACTGGGTACTTTGTGGAAGGCATGGCTTGAGGCTGATAAATTGATACCTCCATATATATAAATGAAGGGGTTACCTGTGGTTTAGGTGACATATAAAATGGGGAACACAAAAAGCTTATTTTGTCAGAGTGTACCTTGGGGCTGCCTCTATATCACTCTGGTATTTCGCTTTGACTGTTTATTCTCAAGGATGCTTTAGGTCTATGAATAGCATCTATTGGTCAAAAGCAACTTGTTTATTAAAACACCCATGTAGTTGAGTTTCATGAAATGTGTACTGTTTTCTCATCAAAACCATGGTCTTGTCATGGAAACCTTCATAAATCATACTCCAAGAACAGCTCCTTAACTGCCTACTGTTTTCTTTTCAAATACCTGTTGTTAATCTTGCTGACAGTTCTGACAGGCGTGTGCCTGCAGCTTTGAATTCCACATGTTGTAAGCAGCTTAAAACTTCAAGCCAAAGGAAGAATATTCATCCGTGGTAGAAACCATAGAATCTCATGTGTGACATCATTATAGGCAGGCAGAACTCAAAGAGATTTTCCCAAGGGATCTGAAATTTCTTTATCAATGAGATACTAATAATTTCCATTATTGATGATAATAATAGCAGAATCTACTATTTGTTTAGGGCCAGCCATTCTAATATGCGTTTATCTTGATACTTGCAATAGTCATATAAGGTAAATACTAGCTAAGGCATTAAAAATGATGAAATAAGAGGTTGTAATACCTCTAAAGTATAGCCAGAAAGTGGGAAAACAGGAGTCAAGCCCAGATATTCTTAAAAGTTTAGCTTATTTCTATTTTACCAACCTGACCTTCATTCAATTTGCCCTTTCTAACTTGAAAGGAAGTGTATCCCTTGTTTTCTCATGTTATTTACTGAATAGAGCATTATAATACCAATCAGAATCTTTCCAGAGAGGTTCTGCCAGAGAACACAGGTGGAGATCAGCTTACTCACAAGAGCTGGCTGCTGGGTGTCGCTGTAACCTCTGTCCCACTCCTCATGGAAGCCAAATGTCAGAGGTGGGTTCTGAGGTCAGTCTAGTAGGGGGAACTTGCTTCTTCAAACTCAGTGCTTGGGGTGAGTCGAGAAACTGCTCTCATTGCCCTCACTCACCTTGTAACTAGATACGTGAAAGGAGGAGAGAGAGGTTCAAGCCTCCACTTAGAGCCACAGTGGACAAACTGCTTTGAAGCACCATGCATTGAGGTTCCTGCCCAGAGTTCCTGCTAGACTTAAAACCATGCCAGAGCAAGTGATACTTTGACCTTACTTGTACTTAGGAAATAGGGTGTTTGAGTTGGAAGGAATACACAGTGTTTTCGTACCTTGCTTGACTGTCAGGCCTTCCTCCCCAAGCTCCCAAAGAAGGATTATAAAAGTTGCTAACGGGTTTGAAAGTAGAACATATGGGATTCCAGCATTACAAAGGACCTTGTGAATTTCTAACTTCCTTGTTTTATGAGGGAACTGAATCCCAGAAAAAGTGACATAATGTAAGGTTTGAGCCCTTAGCATGGCCAAGGTCTTCATCTGCCTGCAAGACAAGACCCAGCGAAGTCTTGGCCCACTCTCCTCCTAGTCTTCTTTCACCTGCCCTGCCTCTGACTCCCTGCCCCCTGTCTGTTTGCTGAACTCGCCTTGCATGTTCATATCTGTCTATAACACTCTTGCCCCAGATACTTGTTGGTGAACTCACTTAGCCCAGTTTTTAGATGAAATATCGCCCCCCCCTTTTTTTTTTGCAATGCTTTCTTAGACTGGCCCTCTAAAATAGCATCTTCATC
Source organism: Homo sapiens (assembly GCF_000001405.40). Classification (NCBI taxonomy): domain Eukaryota; kingdom Metazoa; phylum Chordata; class Mammalia; order Primates; family Hominidae; genus Homo; species Homo sapiens. The sequence goes on from NC_000008.11 coordinate 34,261,910, forward strand.
CTTCTCTGTCCCCTTATTCTGATTTCATTTTCTTTATAGCACTTGTCCACTTTCATTTGTCTTTTCCTATGAGCCCCAAGAAGGCAGGTTTTTTGTTTTGTTTTGTTTTAATGTGGTATCCTTAAGCAAGTGTGTCATCCAATAAATAATAACTGAAAGAATAAGTGGGTGAGTGAATACCCATTTGTTCTGTTTTGCTCACTATGTTCTACTTGAAGGATAAATATAGAACTGTATTTATTCTTCAGGTATTGCCTTCTCCAGAATTCTCTATTGTCATTTGGCTAAAGGCTCCTCATTCTGGGTTTCCACATCACTCTCTCTCTTAGCACTTAGCAAAATATGTTGTGTCACCCTTTACCATACATCTTGACTCAGGCTTCTTTGGACGCAGTCCTGAGACAAGAGCATGGGTGCAGATGATTTGTTTGGTTGGTGATCCCAGGGAGAAGAGATGAGGGGTTGAGAATAGTGAAGACTGAGGAATGAGGATAGAGATGGAGGAAAAGCCAATATAAAACTCTGATTGAGAGGTTGCTGCTATGGACAATGGGGGCCTGAGACCCCTAGGACCAGAGAAACCTACAGAATATTTTGCAGAATTGTCTGCTATTTATCCACCAGCTCCTGAGGCTGGTCCTGGATGGTAACTCCCAGACACATCCCAGCTTCAGGTATTATCTCCTCCTGAAGTCTTCCCAGCTTCATAGGAGCAAAAACAGCTCCCGGTGGTATCCAGTAGCAGAGAAGATATGGCACATGCTTGAAAGGAGAAGCTGTTAGCACATCAGGAATCAGGAATTGAAGCACACTTGGAACTCTCTATCCAGACATGGATGGAATCAGAGATGAGGCCAACAGGAAGTAAACAGAGTTCCCATAGGTGTCTGATACTGGCATACAGTACAACTTCAACAAATGTTTATGGAATTGACTTAACTAAAATGAGATTATGACATAACCTTGGGCTCAAGAAACAGGCTTAAGTTTAAATCCCTGTTCTGTCATGAAACCTTGAAACAATTATATCACTTTTTTAGACCTTAGATCTTTCATCTGAAAAGTGGGATAATATTAGTTATTATTTTTTAAATGAGAAAGTTGATACAGAATCCACAGTGTTTAACAAGCAGAATGAGCTAAATAATGGTGAACTACATTACATATAATAATAAATAATAATTAGCTCACTTTAATTTGCCAAGCACTGTGAAATCTGTGGTTATTGACCTGATTATGGATGTGGCCTAAGCTTCCCAAATCCCAGCCCAGTGCTTTTCTACCACCTGTGTTTCCTCTAACATCACAGAGGCAACTTGACTCTGGTTCCTGTGTGTGAATGGGAGCTCAACTCTTACCAGGTCCATCCACATTCTCAGAGTTTCCATAAAGAGATCAGAACATTTCTGTTGGAGATGGTGGACTGGCCACAAGGCTTACCTCCTCTCTTTCCTCAGAATCCCTTAAAATTATATATATACTGAACCAAAAAAGATATAAATCTGTAGTAACAAAGAGAATACGTTCATCAGTAGATAAGAAATGATAACACAATTGCAATAATTGGTCAAATAGATACCAGTTTTTTAAACACTTTTTTTTTCTCTCGAGACAGAATCTTGTTCTGTCATCCAGGCTGGAGTACAATGGCGCCATCTCAGTCCATTGCAACCTCTGTCTCCTGGGTTCAAGTGATTCTCCTGTCTCAGCCTCCTGAGTAGCTGGGATTACAGGTGCACACCACCATGCCTGGCTAATTTTTTGTATTTTTAGTAGAGATGGGGTTTCACCATGTTGGCCAGGCTGGTCTCCAACTCCTGACCTCAAGTGATCCACCTGCCTCGGCCTCCCAAAGTGCTGGGATTACAGGTGTGAGCCACCATGCCTGGCCTTAAACACTACTTAATTCATGTTCTTAGATAAGTGCTGGTATACAATAAGCACTTATTTGTAGAATGAATAAAGGAAGATATACAAATAAGCAATCTAGACATATTATTTGGAAACCAATAGGTAAGCATCAGGAAAAGTTAAAGCAGAAACAGATAAAGTGGTTCTCTCCAGAAGCAGGACTTAGAATGGGAAAAGGGAGTGGCAACAGATTGTTGATTTCCATTATAAATTAGCTTTTATTATTATTTTATTTTTCAATATGTGTTCATATGTTACTGTAAAAAAAAATTAAAAAAAATTTTAAGATGTTTAAGAGGAGAGACACCTGTGAGCCCCTTCCTTTTTGTTTCTTTTTTCTTTTTTCTTATTTATTTATTTTTTTTTGAGACAGTCTCACTCTGTTGCCCAGGCTGCAGTGCAGTGGTGTAATCTCAACTCACTGCAACCTCCGCCTCCCAGGTTCAAGTGATTCTCCTGCCTCAGCATCCCAAGTAGCTGGGACTACAGACATGCGCCACTGTGCCTGGCTACTTTTCATATTTTTAATAGAGGTGGGGTTTCACCATGTTGGCCAGGCTAGCCTCGAAATCCTGGCCCCAAGTGATCCACCTGCCTTGGCCTCCCAAAGTGGTGGGATTACAGATGTGAGCTGCTGCGCCCAGCCACTCCTTCCATTTCTGCTGAGGGAAACTGATTGTATATACTGACCGAAGAGACAGGTCCTGCAATCCATGTGAAATGGTCATCTGATAGAATCTTGACATGTATGATAATCACCAACATGTGTGGGGTGGAGATTATCTGTCAATAAAACTGCAGAAGATCCAAGAGCAATATGTAATTCTTGTTGATTTGTTTCAGGAAATTGACTATTTTCAAGCAGCTGTGAATAATCACAGCTAACTTAGGAGAAAAAAATAGAGATTGTACACCTGGATGGTGTCTGCATATTTATTACATATTTGTAGAATTAAGGAATCAAGGAATTACATCAGCTTTTAAAAACTTTTTCCTTTTGTTAAATCAGAAAAATCCCACTTTATGTCAGATAATTTTCTAGAAGTGTCTATATGTCTTTTCAATCAAATTGGAGGAAAAGATCGACTGGTATGATGGAAGGTTTATTTACTCAAATCAATATAGAGTAATTATTATATCCAGATCAAGTTTGAGAGCTAGCTGAAGTGTATTGACCAGTCAGTCTTGCTCTTTGAATAAGTGATGGGTGCTGGGAAGAAGCCGGTATAACAGCCCAGTCATCATGTGTCCAAGCTATAGGCAGGTGGGCAGAGTAATGGGCAGATCAGGGAGGGCACAGGGGGTAGGCCTTGTTCACAGATTAACAGCAGGGAGCCCTGATGTGTTCCTCAGTTAGAAGTCCAAACCAGCAAGGGGTTGTATCAAGGGGCTTTGGTCATTCCCTGCACAAAATTTGAAAATACAGATGCTAACTGCCTCCTCCACTTCCCCTATCATCTGGAGCCTCTGCTTCTGAGGGTGGGGGTGGGTCAAAACATGCCTATTCAAAATTTTATGTTTTTATTGAATCTTCTCTGATTTATATCTCTCAGAAACCTATTATTATCATCATTTGCTTACAAAATGCAAATACACTCTGCTTTCCCCACAAACATTTTGGAATAAACACAACCAAACTGCCAGAAGGCTTTATTCCCCAAAAGCACCCCATGCATGCAAAATTTGACTGTCTCCCAGTTCCATTCGTTAAGGTCTCCTTCAGTTGTGCCACTTCTCTTTCTAACCTATAATCTGCTTTCACTGGAAGCAGGAACCTGACGGGTCTTATGGGCTCAACAATTGGAATGGCATCTCCTCATTTTCTCCTCACCTCTCCCAGCTTGTGAAATGCCCACTGACATAAGCTGGCAGTCAAATAAAAATAAAAATCCTATTCAATATTCCACTCATTGTTGTACATATGCAGTATTGGCATTTTGCATGTCAATATCTGACACTGTTTTTTAATTTGTTCTAAACTGCCAGCTCATTTGCATCATCATTCTGTGATCTTCCACCTGTGCAGCAATTTGGGGGGAAAACATAACCATTTATGTACCTGCTAAAACTTGACATAGTCACAGAACCTGATCCAAGGAGAATTCATTTATTTTCTAAGCACTCTTTATTTTGTCTTTGAACTGGGTTCTTAATCTGCTTACTCAGAGCACTGCTCGCGGTCTCTGAAAACCAAGCGAAGCTTTGAAAAATGCTCATACTCTTGGGCTAAACGGAGCAGCTTGATGGTGTTCACGACATGGCGTGGTGATGTGTACACTGTCAGGCACATCCTATCTCAATGCTCAGGCCACGCCACACTATTCATCGTAAGTCATCTACTTGAATTATGGGATGAGAGAACAAAGATCTGAGCTAAGCTTATTATAGGAGAAAAGAAAAAAAGAAAATATGGATGCCATAAGTACAGAGACCACAAAACAATTGCGTTTCAGCAGGTTTGACAACTAGGATGTAGCTGTCTCATGGAAATTATTGAGTTTGTTTATCCAAGAACTCATAATCTAGGAAGGAAAATAGTGTCCTCTTTTGTAATCTGTATTATAAACTGAGTATCTTGAAGAACTGATCTTTGCTTTAATCATCACTAAATCAAGTTAGCCAAGAATCCATGATCTGGCATAGGAAGTTGCTGGTTTTGAAATGAATTGAATTCAGATACTATTGCCTCTTGTCCAAGACCTGTATACCTGTAATACATAGGCTAATTACTTATTTATTATGTTTGTTGTTTATTTTCTGTCTCTTCCCAATGAGAAGATAAGCTTGATGACAGTAGGGATTTTAATTGGATATTCTGGTAACTGATGGATCTTCAATGTCTAGAACAGTGCCTGGCGCTTGGTAGATGCTCATAAATATTTATTAGGTGAACATATGAATGAAAAATCTCTGCTCCCTTTGTGCGTCTGAAGAATCACAATACTCTTCCTAGAAAGTGGTTCCTAATCTGAAATTTTACAGATAAAATACATTTTTAAAAAAAGCTAAGAGAGATACAACTAGTGCTGCCATTTTGTAATTGTTAAATCTAAGATTTTGAAAAATAACAATAAAAATCCAAATGTTATTTCCACTAAAATTTTTTAATAAAAGGAAAGGTTCTTAATTAAAAAAAAATGAGAAAAAAGAAAATAATCTAAAATAATGATTAGTTTTCCCCAGAAAAGACTCAGCTAGCTTAAGTCACAAACCAGCGTCCAACTGTTGGCAAATTTTTGAGAGCTCCTGGCTTAGATAACCACAGCGACAAGCTCTGCTGAATTGAAACAGATTCTACAAAGATGGGCCAGGCCTGAGGACATGCTGGATTCCAGGCTAAACAACTCGGTAACTATAGAAGCAGAGCCTTAAAGGGAATTTGAGAGATGAACCAGTCCAGCAACTTCAGGCGAGTGAAATTCTAAACCATGTAGTTTTGTTGGGTGGCTTCCAGTAGAGTTAGTCCCTCTTGAGTGTCCCGATGTTTCTAGTGCTTAGAGGAGGCTTTTTCCAGCCAGCTGGCCTTGTGAAAACTTCCCACTTCCATCTTACTCCCCCATGGAAGCCTGCTATCTAAAGAACAAAACCCAGAAAATAGCTCCTGATTGTCTCTTTCTCTCTCTTTGTTGATGTCTTTTTAGCAAATATTTGTTTCCTCAACTCATGTAGATAGATAATAATAGGAACAATCCAAAAGTGATTTATGAACATCTAATACTCTCAGCCAAATGAAGGGATTTGCATCTGTAAATACATTGCTAAAATACATGCAGTTTGATGTATTAAAGAAGAAGAACCAGTCCAAAAGTCCATCTTAAAATTTTACCATGGGCTCAGGACCCTCTCCAAACTTGTATGTTCCAAGCCTCTCCATACCTCCTCTTCCTCGCAGCTGGGGTTTCTGGATTCTTGCCTGGCAGTAGGCTCAGTTCTCAACTTCCCAACACCATGTTGCCCATCAGAGGGTGTGAACCTGAGGTTATTCAGACATCACAGCTCCTTCCTTCTTCTTAAGCTCCGATTTCCCTCCCTGAGAGCTTCATCTACCATGTGCTTTAGAAATAGGTAGCAAATACCAGCCTGGTTTGAATTATTGAGTTTTGCTTCTGGTAACTTGACTGTTTCCTCAGTGTTCTACTCTTCAAATCCTGAGTTCCTCTTGAGAGTGCCTACAGCATGAACTGGAGACCTGGTCTGATCTCAGGCTTGGTTGGTGACAGATGAGGAGATTCAGAACTTCAGACAGGCACCAATAGGAAGGTCTAAGATTTTCCTCCCAAGATGACAATGACGATGGTGGTGATGATGATGATTTTTACATTTTTATCTATAAAAGTGTCCAAATAATATCTCAGTATAAGGCACATTTTAGGGTTGACTTCTTTTTCTGAATTCTTCTTCATAAGAGCAGGTGGCAACAGAATAGTGAGAAGCTAGAATAAAGAAGCCTTTTTAGTAGTGAATAAAACATCTTGAAATTAATAGTTTATTAAACTTTCTGGAATAAGAATGCAGTTTTTCAAGATTTTGTTTCTTGTGTCTATAGGTTTTTCTGTAGTGATTTTACAAAAGAAAAAAACGTGTCCATCCTGTATTCACCTTTTTATTTCCCTTTGCAAGTATAAACTTAAAAAAAAAAGTTTTTGGTGGATGTTTTCAGAATATAATGATTTTCCCCCTAGTTTGGGAAACCATAAAGGACAGAGAGGCAAGGTTACTGATCAACATCTATGATGAAAAGAACTATCAACTTTTCCTAGTAGAGCTATATTATCAATAGTACAGTGCATAACCAAGTCGAACCTGTGCAGCACTCTTGTTATAAAGAATTATTTCCTGCAACTAGATCACCAAACATTTTCTTTATTAATGTAGGTGAACACTAATGCATGAAATACTATCGTTAGAACAGATGTGACAGTTTTAATTCCAGCATGAAAATGCTGTTTTATGGATTTTGATTTCTATTTAAATCTTCTTATTCCTTAAAAAAAGTCTATAAAGTGATTTGAAGTCTATAAAGATGGTTGCTTTAAAATATATTTATAATAGTGTTACTTTCCATTTGGATACGCTGTTAACATTTATGTGGCAGATGCAAAAATGAAAGATCATTCATTCGTAAGAATGAATTCATTAAAAAATGAAAGATCATTCATTAATTCACTCATTCATTGCATAATCTCAAAATGAAACTGAAATTCAGGCCACAGCACATTTACCCACTAGATCTTACATGAAATGTAAAATCATTTAAATATTCTTAGGGATTAACATAGCTTACTGGGGGTTTTTTTTTTTTTTTTGAAAGGGTTGATAGAAAGTGGAGTTTATCAACATCTTATAGTGGAAAAACGTTTAGAAAGTTTATTCCCTTTCTGCCTCTAACTTCTTTTTTCTCTCTCAAACAGTACCCAAATACCATGTAAAACACCACTGAGTTTTAAAAACAAAACGTCCAAACATATTTTTGCTTTCTCACAATTATTTAATTGTCTTCCTAATTAATTCCACAGTCTGAAATAAATTATTGACTTACCAGACTTTCTTGTTTTCTGTGACAGCTTCAGCAGTAAACAGGCCATTAACAATTCATAATGAGCAAGACACGTTTGCTTTTTCCATGTGCTAATTTGGTACCCCATTAGAGACATCTTTTGACTCTTCTCTTTCCTGTGGGTTCATTTTGAAAGAGGGTGACAGACTGCTGGGCCCTAATATGTTTGAATAAAAAGGTACTAAAAAAATAAAACTTTCTTTTGGCTGATGCAATTACTTATGTAGAGATAATTCATTAGAACTTTTCTTTAATCCTTTTGTCTGTTTCTTTTTTTCTGCTGTATAGAGGAATACCAATATTCTATACAGAGTCTAAAACTTTCTTGACGTGGGCTACTTATCAGTACCCAGTGAGTGTTTCTAGCCAAGGTTCAAATGGATTTTCTATTAAAAAAAAAGTCTAGTCTATACTATGAAAATGGATCCCAGTATTCCTGGTAAAATGTGTCTTGAAATGTAGGGAGGAATTGCTGTAGCATGGTTCCTGATTGAAGAAAAAATATGGGCAAAAAGATATCCAAAAAGGATCATGACTGGTTGGTCAGTGGTATGAAGTAAAATAAAATCCTAATGTGTATTATTTAGCTTGGAGCACAGGTACAGGAGAGATTGGTAGATAAGATACATTATTTTTGTGAAAAAATAAGAATGCCTTAAGTTTGGAACTAAAGTGTGGGAGCTAATGATTCATTCTTGGATCAAATGCAAGGACCACTTATGAGAAATAGTACTTGTCTAGTAGCAGTCTATGAGTTGTTATGTTGGATTAGAAGAGGGAAAGCCAAAATGAAGAAAAAGGGATGACATTGCCCAAACTTTAATGTTGAGGGAATCTGGTGGTGACAAGAGACAAAAAAAAAAAAAGCATATTGACTAGAGAAGTTACTTTGAAAATTGGCAGTTTTGATTTCAAATTTAGCTTTGGGTTGTCTGGGCATGGTGGCTTACACCTGTAATCCCAGCAGTTTGGGAGGCCGAGGTGGGTGGATCATCTGAGGTCAGGAGTTCAAGACCAGCCTGGCCAACATGGTGAAACCCCGTTTCGACTAAAAATACAAAAATCAGCTGGGCGCAGTGGTGTGTGCCTGTAATCCCAGCTACTCAGGAGAGTAGCTGAGGAAGGAGAATCCCTTGAACCCAGGGGACAGAGATTGCAGGGAGCCGAGATCGCACCACTGCACTCCAGCCTGGGTGACAGAGTGAGACTCTGTCTCGAAAAACAAAACAAAACAAATTTAGTTTTGGGTATCAGTGTTCTTATTTATAAAATTGGGATAATGTATACTTCAATAAATAAAAAATGTAATTAAATGTAGAGGTTGGCATTTAGTAATAACAAATTATAAGAAATATTATAAGTATTATTCAACATAAATATTCATAAAACATTTATATTCTTAATATTACTCTTTATATACATTGTATTATGCTGTAGAAAACATTGTAATTCAAGAATCTCAAAAGTTTAGTACTGAACCTTTGGTTTAATTTCTTGAGAAAGAGAGAACAGAGAATGATGTTTCCATGATAATAAATCAAAACTTTGGTAGATAATTTCAGTTAAACTCTGGTCAGTGGAATGACAGAGTCCATAGTGTTTTCTTTAGTTTATTTTTGTATCTGCTATATTTGAGCACAGAAAAATAATATTTCCTCAGTTAAACCAGTACATGAAACCTAGGACGTGTGTACCCTTCTGGTGGAAAGTTCATTTTAGCTCTAGTGGTAGATCGATTAAGTTAATTGTTCCAATTTTTCTCTCTTCTCTACATTCATGGTCATTACAACCTGACTTTGCAGCTCCTTTGATCAAGAGATGGGTTCTTTCCCCACCCCTTGACTCTGAGGGTGGCAGGTAACTTGCTTTGGCCAACAGGATGTTAACAGTTGCAACTCAAGCAAGGGCTTGAAAAAGTGCTTGCACATTCTCACTTCTGCTCCTGCTCCCTGCCTGAGCAAGAAAATGTCAAGTCAGCTTGTGAGAGGATGAATCACAAGGAATAGAGCCAGGTCATCCCCAACATCCTAGACAAGGTCATCCTAAGCGAGCTGACCCTCAGCAAACTTCCAAACATGGGAGGAAGCCCAGCCAAACCTAGTGGAAATCACTGACCCACAGCTCAGGTTTGAGCTTAGTAACTGCTTATTATTTTAGGCCACTGAATTTCAGAGAGGTTTGTGGTAACGATAAAGAGCTGATATGCTCCTTCAAGAGTGTAAGAATGAGATGAACAAGAAAAGCATTACAAAATATGTAAATATTTTTTATTGGGAAATAAATGGCCTTGAGCCCACTGAAAATAATACTGGATCCTTGGGCTTCATTTTAGGGTCTGTACCTCACTCTCGAAGCTCTGGTCTCCTCTGCCTGTCCTCCCTATAAATGCTCCCCTAGCCCTAATCAGAATCAACTTAACTAGAAAACCTTTGACAAATAACCAGGAAGAACATGATGGTGTGTTCTAGCGAAGAAAAGACAGAAAAAAGTAATCACCTGCAATTTTTATTAGAGGACAACACAAAGTAATGGAAATAGTAATGATGTTGGATTAATACATTTTCATATTTGGATCCCACTGTGGCATTTATTAGATGTGCAACGTTAGAAAATTTATTTTCATTCTCATGTATAAACTGGAATAATATCTACCTTATCTCTCTCTCTCTTTCTCTTTCTTTTTTTGGTTAGGAATAAATAGGAAGGACAATTGGAACAGAGTAGTTAGAATTCCATCAGTTGTCTTCGTCTGATGGCCACAGTACACTGCCTCTTTCTGAACACGTCTTAATCTTGATCATGGATCATGTCTCTTTTACATGATCTGTTCATGAGAGATAACCCACTGTCTTTTATCTCTCCATTCCCAGAAGTTAGCATAGAACCCAGTAAAATATCTGCATTAGTCAGGGTTCTCCAGAGGGACAGACCTAATAGGAGATATGTACATAAAAAAGGGAATTTATTACACAGAATTGACTCAGATGATCACAAGGTGAAGTCCCATGATAGACCATCTTCAAGCTGATGAAGGCTGGAAGACTCAGCAAGTTGACTCACTCCACCTTGGGCTGCCTACTTTTTCTAGCCCTGCTGGCAACCAAATGGATGGTGCCCACCCAGATTGAGGGTAGGTTTGCCTCTCCCAGTTCACTGACCCAAATGTTAATCTCCTCTGGCAACACCCTCACAGACACACCCAGAAACAATACATTGCATCCTTCAATCCAATCAAGTTGACACTTAACATTAACCGTCACAATATCTTTAACATCTATTAAATATATAAATAATAATAAGCCGTGAAATAGATGTTTGCTGCTGCTGCATCAGCTCCTGTTTTTTCATTGCTGTTTCAAAGCAAAAGCATGAAAAAGGCTTCCTTATTTAGAATTCAGCAGTATTAGCCATCACATTTCCTGCCTATATCACAGGGCTGGGGCAGAGGTTTGGAGAAGAAATGCTGATTATGCGAAGAACCTGGAGGTAAAAATGGGATGGTGACAAGAGCCTGGGTTTATTTCAATCTGTTCCTTATGCCTGCTCTGAGGTGAAGACTCTAAATGAGAGACTCTTAGCTGAGGCAAGACAGTGGTTGAGGATTTCACTCTATAGGAGACATCTCAATATATAACCATTGGAAATGTGAGCTCCAAGAAGATGAAAAATTTTAATTGTAAGGGCCCATGTTATTAGTGCAGTCAAGTGGAGGAGCAATGAAGAGCTGCATAAAATTAGTGGAATATCATGTAAATTGATCAAAAATTACTGGTAGTTACACTATTTTCAACGAAATGATTCATGCTAATTCAAGGAAACGTTTCTTTCCTCCATTAACAGCTTTGATGCTCTGAGCATCAGGGAAGTTATGAAGCTGAAGAAAAAGAGCAGGCCTTGCACACTCACCTGCTCCTAGAAAGGACAAAACTGCCACATAGCTCCTTAAAGACTTTGGTGTGCCACAGGGAAATAAATTCTGTGGAGTCCCAGCCAGGTCTTCTGTCTCCCTTCTCCCTCCCCCCTCCCCTTCTTGGTGTCTAGCATGGCATAGAATTGTCTAAAATGTTTGCTCAGGTCCTGGAGATAAATACACAGCTGCACGTCCATTTATTTTTTTAAATGAAGTCAGTAGTAGTTGGAAGGCTGTTTTTGTTGACCGAGAAGTCTTAACTACTCTTTTGTTTTAATAAGTTTGCATGTGAGTGTGTGTTGGTGTCTGTGTACATACATGTACTGTGGTATGTGCAACAAATAATTTATTTTTCACTTTTACACGATAGTTATTATCTACTTTGTGTATTCTGTTCCACTTAAAACCAGCTCAGCGGCAGGGAGTGGTGGCTCACGCCTGTAATCCCAGCACTTTGGGAGGCCGAGGCAGGCAGATCATGAGGTCAGGAGTTCGAGACCAGCCTGACCAATATGGTGAAACCCCGTCTCTACTAAAAATAAAAAAATTAGCCAGGCATGGTGGTACATGCCTGTGGTCCCAGCTACTCAGGAGGCTGAGGCAGGAGAATGGTGAATGGCATGAACCTAGGAGGCGGAGGTTGCAGTGAGCCGAGATTGCGCCACTGCACTCCAGCCTGGGCGACAGAGCTAGATTCCGTCTCAAAAAAACAAAACAAAACAAAACAAAACAAAAAAAAACAGCTCAGCATAGGCTACTGAGCTAACAGAAAACTGAAGAACCCAGATATGTAACATTTTCTTATTTCCTTTTTTTTTTAATCTGCTGAAGTTTGACAAAAAATTGAATTACAGTGCTTCCCTCTGCTTTATCATTCATCTTAAATTGCCCCTTTCTGAATTTTAGTTTTTGCCACCCATATATGAGGGGTCACATTTATAGATGCTTAGAATTGGGCAGAAGTCTGCATATAGAAATCAACTATGTGAAAACAGCATGCAGAATTTATAATCTTATATTTATTCTTATCACTGTATTTGATTTATTCTAGGAATTTTGATAATCATACTCTTAAATCATTTCTATAACTGTCAGTAATTTGCATCATGGTTGGGCCAAGAGATCTCAAAATTGAATGTTCACACAAGTGCAAATCATTTCATTTCTGCTTCTCTATAGACCTGGAGCAAATGAACTTTAGTTTAAATTTTCATCAACACAGATACTAGGTAGTTGCCCTTGCACATTTGCAGAACAGCCACCTACTACGTTGTGTTTCAGTTTATAATTCAAATTTGTTTAACATCTTTTATAAAATATTTTCTAATGTCTTCCTAAAGATCCCTTTTTGTGATTTACAATAATTACCCCAGAAGATTACAATCGGTTAATTTGCATTTATTAAGCACTTGTTTTGTACCCAGTACTGTGTTGTGTGCTTGGGGGATACTAAAAATTATTAGAGAATCTCTGCTGACCAAGAGCTCAGAATTCACAGGTTAGTTCTGTGATTCCCAACCAGACTACATCTTATTGTTTCTATATCAATTTATGCCTTGAAAGAAGAAAACAGTATGCCATAGAATACTTGGAAAACACTCTATGAAAATGGTGGGCTGAACTGGTGAGAGATGATGAAGAGAAACACCCCAAATGATCATGCAGGTTCCACATAAGTTTGTACAGGCTACATGCTGCCCAGCTTTTGGGAGTATCATTCACAAAGCAAATGATGCACCCTAGAGTTGTGCAGTATACAACTTGTGCAACTGTACATTGTGGCTCTGGTAAACAGCATAATTAAATGAGAGTGGGAGGCTGTTATGGTGGTGGTAAAGAGCTTGAGCTGTGGTGTCACATGACTCACACTTCTGCCATTTCACAGCTATGGAACCTTGTGAAAATGGCTTAACTTTCTCTATACCTTAGTTCTCGCCAGAAAAATCAGTTTTATAAAATAGTTCCTCACTCCTACGATTGACGTGAGGATCGAAGAGGATAATGACAGTAAAATATTCAGTACACAATAAGTCACAGTAGTAAATTTTAGTTTTTGGTTATTATTACTTTTTTAAAATTAAAATATTGGGAGAGTCATTAGGGTTTTAAGAATGGCATATAAGAAGTTGGAAGTCACTACTCCCTTGCAACAGTAAGTAAAAAGCTGAACAAACTGAAACATCAACATATTTTCTTAGATAAAGCATGGAAGTGAGGTCACATGGAAACTGCTACCTTAACATGAAGGAGACAGGCAGATACTGAGAAGGACTCCTTGCTAGAACAGAAACCCATGAGCAGCAACCTCCTTGGGAACCAGGGCCAGGGTAGAGCATCCTGAACTGTAATTGACAAATTGCTAGAGACTCAGCGTGGACCAGTCCAAGAGTTAAATCTCCAGGGAAACTTAGTCATAGGGAAGTCCCAAACACTTGTGAGTTTTACCTTGAGGAGCTCACCAGATTCTCACAGTGAATATTGGAGAAAAGTCTTTTCGTGCTTTCTTCATAGGAAGGGGGAAAGGAACCATATTGAAATATGCCAGAATATTCTGTTTTTCTTAGCAAGGTCTGCCCTCAAGAGAAACTGTTTTACCAGAGCCTAACATGCTGGGGTTTTACCAGAGCTGAACTGACTTGGGGAAATGAAATACCACCTTCCATCTGGCTCTTGCTTTCCATGTGGAACAGGCAACTGTTCAACACTAGCCCCTTCATCCTTCCATATGGGAGATGGGAAATACCCAACTCTGGCCTATGATAGCTATCTTGTCTCATCTAAGGGGATGATGAGCATGTGTGAAGTTCATAATACAGAGGTTCAGGCTCACGAAAATCGTGAGACCTAACATAAAACAATAGAACACCCTCCTCCCCTATAACCTACTACCACATTACTAACGGCCTATTTACAGCAGTTCCTTTTATCCAGCACATCATATCTAGCTATCAAGAAAAAATTGTAAGTCCTACTAAGAGGCAAAAGATCCAGTTTCCAGAGACAGAACAAGCATCAAAACCAGACTCAGATATGGCAGGAATGTTGGAATTATCAGACTGGGAATTTAAATGACTATAATTAATATGCTTAGGGCTCTAATGGATAAAATAGAACAGATAGACAATGTAAGCAAAGACATGTGAATCTTAACAAAAAGCTGGAAAAGAAAAACCAGATAACAAAAACAGTGTAACATAAATGAAGAATGCCTTTGGTGGTCATATGAATAGACTGGCCATAACTGAGTAGAGACTCTGATCTTGAGAGTATCTTGATAGAAACCTCCAAAACTGAAAATCAAAGAGAAAAAAAATGAAAACAAAACATCCTACAACAGAACAGAATATCCAAGAGTTGTGGGACAACTACAGAAAGAGTACCATGCATGTAATGACAATAAGAGAAAAAAGAAAGAGAAGAAAGAGCAGAAGAAATATTTGAAATAATAATGACTGAGAATTCTCCTAAATTAATGTGAGACACCAAACCGAAAATCCAGGAGGCACAGAGAACACCAAGCAGAGTAAATGCCAGAAAAATGACACCTAGGCATTGTTTTTGAATTACATAAAATCAAAGATAAAGTCAAAATCCTGCAGGAAGCCAAAGAAGAAAATACCTTACTTACAGAGGAGCAAGGATAAAAATTACTGACTTCTCTTCAGAAATCATGCAAGCAAGAAGAGAGTGGAGTGAAATATTTAAAGTGTTAACATAAAAACATAAAACCTAATAACCTAGAATTCTGTACCCTGTGAAATTATCCTTGAAAAATGGAGGAGAAATTAAGACTTTCATAATCAAACAAAAGTTGAAGGAATTTGTTGCCGGTTAAGGTGCCTTGCAAGAAATGTTAAAAAAAAAAAAAAAAGGTTATTTAGAGAGAAAGAAAATGATACAGATTAGAAACTCAGAGCATTGCAGAAAGAATGACTGAAGATAAAAAAACAAAACAAAACAAAAAACAAAAAAAAACCCTTTTTTATTTTTAAATAATGTAGCAGAAAATGGTGTGTTCAATATAATAATAGAGGCAATGCATTTTATTATGTATGTATACTGATGTATGCTTATGTATAAGTAAAATGAATGATGGCAATAATACAAGGGATGGGAAAGAGGAATTAAGGTTATTTTACTACTATAAGGTACTCTACCCATAAAGCATTATATTTTATTTTAATGTGAGCTTGGATTAGTTGTAAATGTATGTTGCAAACACTAGGGCAAACACACACACAAAAAAGTGAAAAAAAGAGATTCAAATAATATGCTGAGAAGTAAAAGAAAGTGGAACCATACGTATTGCTCAATTAAAAACACAAAAAGCAGAAAAGAGTGGAACACAAAATAAAAACAAAGAACAAAGTCAGCAAATAGAAAACAATAACAAATATGGTAGATATTAATCCTACATCAATAGTTACCTTGAATATCAATAGTCTAAATGCACCAATTTAAAGACAGATATTGTTAGAGTGGATCAAAAAACAATATACAAGTATATGTTTTCTACAATAAATGTCCTGTAAATATAAAGAGACATTCAGTTTAAAAGTAAAGGCATGAAGAAAGATATACCATACTAACATTAATGCAAATGAAGTGGTAATACTACATTAGTTTCAGAAAAAGCAGACTTTAGGGCAAGCAAATTTATCAGTAAGCAAGAGGGACATTACATAAAGATAAAGGGGTAAGTTATTTAGGTAGATAAAACAATCCTTAACATGTATGTGCCTAATAAGAGAGCAGCAAAATATATGAAGCAAAAACTGATAGAACTTCAAGGAGAAATAGATGAATCCATTATTATAGTTGGAGACATGAACATTCATCTATTGGAAATGGACAGATCCAGCAGACAGAATATTAGTAAGGACGTAGTTGAACTGAAAAACACCATCAGTCAGCTGGATATAACAAACATCTATAGACTACTTTATTCAACAACAGCAGAATACACATTCTTCTTAATTGTATATGGAACATTCACCAAGATAGATGATATTTGGGGCCATAAAACATACCTTAACAAATTTAAAAAATATTAATCATACAATGTCTGCTTTCAGACCACAATGAAATTAAACTAGAAATCACCAATAGAAAGATAGCTGAAAAATCCTCAAACACTTGGAAATGAAACAACACACTTCCAAACAACATATGGGTTAAACAAGATATTTCAAGAGAAATAAATTGATCTAAATGCAAATCAAAATACAACTTATCAAAATTTGTGAGATACTGAGTAATCAGTGCTTAGAGTGGAATCATTAGCATTGAATGCATATATCACTAGAAAAGAAGGATCTACAATCGATCATATGGGCCAAAGATCTTAACAAATATTTCATCAAAGAAGATATACAGATGGCAAATAAGCATATGAAAAGATGCTCTACATCGTATGTCACCAGGGAAATACAAATTAAAACAATAATGAGTTAGCACCACACATCTATTAGAATGTCCAAAATCCAGAGCACTGGCAACTCCAAATGCTTGTGAGGATGTGGAGCAATAGGAACGTTCATTCATTGTTGGTAGAAATGCGAAATGGTACAGCCGCTCTGTTAGATTGTTTGGCGTTTTCTTACAAAACTAAATGTTCTTCCATAGGATCAATCGATCACACACTTTGGTGTTTACTCAAAGGAGTTTTCCACACAAAAACCTGCACATGGATGTTTATAGCAGCTTTATTCATAATTGCCAGAACTTGGAAGAAACCAAGATGCCTTTCAGTAGATGAATGGATAAACGGTGGAATATCCAGACAGTGGAATATTATTTAGTGCTAAAAGTAAATGAGCTATCAAGTCATGAAGAAACATGGAGCAAACTTAAATGCATATTACTAAGAGATATGCTAGTTTGAAAAGGCTACATACTGTGTAATTTCAATTACATGACCTGGAAAAGGCAAAACTATGGAGGCATTAAAAAGATCAGTGATTGCCGGGGATTACAGGGGAAGTGGAGATGAATAAGAAGCACACAGAGGATTTTTGGGGCAACTAGTCTCTATCACACTACAATAGAGAACATATGTCTTTATACATCTGTCCAAATCCATTACATTTGCAGTACTGAGTGAACCTGGATGTAAACTCTGTTAATGACTTTATCTTGGACTTTTCAGCCTTCAGAACTCTGAGAAATACATTTCTGTTGTCTGTAACCTACCCAGTCTATGATATGCTTTTTTAGTAGCCCAAACAGACTAAGGTATAAACTGTAGACTTTGGATGATAAGGATATATCTGTATAGGTTCAGCAATTGTATTAACTCTACCAATCTGGCAGAGGATGTTAATAGTTGGAGAGGCTATGCATATGTGCTGGCAGGGGTATGTAAAAAGATCTCTGTACCTTCTGCTCAATTTTGCTATGAAATTAAAACTGCTCTAAAAAATAAAGTCTATTAAAAAAAACTTAGGGAATGCCTCCACACTTTCCTTAGTCACTTAGAAAGCCATTCAAGCTATTTAGAAAACTTTGAATGTGCACTGTATGTATGTGTGTGTGTGTGTATATATTTGTGTGCATGCATGTGTGTGCATGTTTGTGGGATGGCACTATGGTTTGAATGTGTCCTCTCCAAAATTCATGTTGTAACTTAGTCCCCCTTGTGGTGGTTTTCAGAGGTGAGGTCTTTTGGGAAGCGATAAACTCTTAAGGGCAGAGCCCTCATGAATGGATTAGTGCCTTGTAAAAGGACTGAAACAAAAGGGCCTGGAGGGAACTCAGCCTTCCTTCTTTGTGTTTCTGCCCTTTGGCTATGTGAGGACGCAGCTTTCGTTCCCTCTAAGTCTCAGCAACAAGGCACCATCTTGGAAGCAGAGACCTAGTGCTCACTAAATGCCAAACCTGCCAGTACCTCAATCTTGGACTTCCTAGCCTCCAGAACTATGAGGAATACATTTTAATTATACATACAGTACCCAGTTTCAGGCATTTTATTATAGCAGCATGAACAGACTAGGACAGATACTATGACATCTTTGTTAAATTTAATGGGCAAGTGATCACCTTTTGGGGGCATTTAAGCAACCTTAAAAACAATGGATTAATCTCTATAATCTTATAATCAATCCCCTACTTTTAGAAAAATTATTCAGGATCTGCTGGTAATAAAATGCCTGAGATGATCATATCTTGTTATTTATTTGGGGTATAAACGTAATGACGGTGTCACTTCAGATGTCTATAATGCTGGAGTTTGCCAAAAAGAGTGATGCAGAGAGAAATGATTGTTCTCTGAAAAAAGGAGGAGGGAAAAACAAGATCTCCCAACCTGGTGTTAAACCTGCTAGAAATTCACACAATGACTAGGAAAATACATGAACGTCTGCAACACCTGTCTTCTTTTTTAGGAAGTGTGTGTGCCTGTTGGGGTGTGTGTGTGTGTGTAATGGGAAGTGTGTGTGGTGTGTGTGTGTGAGAAAAGTGTAGGGAAAATGGGAATATGAAACTATAAATAGAGAAGATTATAGATTTAGTATAAGGATGTTTGGTCCTGACTCCTGCTTTCTGATTACCTAAGAGAAACTAACCATTTTAAAGAATATGTCTTATTAGTTTATAAAAGCTTTTAATCAGAAAGCATATAAATACTATAAAAATTTTTAAATGATTATGATATTTTCTTTTTCCTTTTAATATTTTATTTCTTTTTGGTCTATTTCCCATGCATCTCTTTTGCATTGCTTTAGCCACAGTGTATGTACTAATTTGCATCTTCTTTGCTCACTAATAATATAACCTTTTTCACGTTGCCAAATCATTTTCATTACCAGTCATTTTAATCTTTATATAGCACTGTAAGACCGAATCTACATATTTGTGAAATTCTCACCCTACTATCAGAGTCTAATGGATTTTCGTTTTTTACTACTATAAATACTGCCTGGTGGTCATCTTAGTGCACAATGCCTTTCCCACATTTTGTTTTCTTTTCTTTTAAGGATATTTACAGAATAAAATAACTGGCTAAAGGGGTATGAATACATACATGGTTAGATTTGTAGAGGCCTATTTCTTGAGAAGAAAGAGATGGTTAGGTTTTACCAGTGCACCCTTCTGAAGTCCCACTTCCCCAGGTCTTATCAACAATACTGTTTCCGAAAGATGTAGTACATCACTGCTGATTCATAAGTTGACGAACTCCTTTTAATTCCTGTGGCCAGCATAATTCCAACAGAGCTCTGAATCATCCTACTTCTTAAATAGAAGTAGAGCCTAAATTATAGCGAAAGCCAAGCATGTTCTGAATTTTATTTCCCTTGCTTCCAGATATGGACAGTAAAAATTTACCTTCTGGATGAGACTGATAGTGGCTTAGTAGCTCAGAATAGATATGGTGTTGGGGAGAGGGTGGGAATTGCAAGCAGCTCACCTATTTCTAGAGCAGTGCAGGAGAGTCCCAGAATGGAACCAAAGGGATGCATGAAAAATGGCTTAAATATTAGGCAGCTACCTCTTGTCATTCTGGTCCGAGTGAGTGAAGAAAATACATAAATAAAAATTAAATAAAAGAAAAGGGCTAAAAATAAAAATCACACAAAGCGAATGAAACTGAAACTTTGAATACAAATACAATTATATGTCTTTGGGTGAAATTCATAACCAATTTTCGGCAATACCCACCTGACTTGCTCACTGAATTGTGAAACGAGAGAATATAAATCAGAGTTGACAACGAGATCTTATTTTCCTCTTTAGAGGTTTTAACTGAATAATAAATCATACACATCCAGCATCATGGAACTCATAGGATACGGTTCCATTGTCTGTTTTGGTGCCTACAAACAATAATTCCTACTATGTGGTACATGTAGAGAGAGAACCTCCCTTCCTCTTGCTGTCACCTCCTGTTCTAATTAAGCAGATCCATAAGGATGGAGATTTGTTTACTCTACCTAGAAAGCAGAGAATCAGCTACTCCTCTGAAAAATATTCAGGCTTCAGTCTTCTCTGAACGTTACTATCAAATTATTTTTTTAAAACACAATTTTCTTACTTTAAATATTACATGTGATACATAAACATCTGCCAGTTAAAAACTAAAGGACTCAGATACATACAGAACAACAAATCATAATTTTTGCTTATCCTCTTCTTCAATCACCACAGCTGTCTCAGAATTAACTTCATTAATATAATTAGCTATAGAAGTATTTGATGTCTATCTCTTCACACTTTTCCTGTATGTTTTATATATGTATATGTTGCATATATACAGACTCGTATATGATTACACAGTATATTGTACATGTTATAAACATTGTTTTGTGAATAATTTTAATATGTTTTGGAGTATTTCTCTGTCACTATATATATGTGTACATATATACATACATACAATTATACACACACATATATACATGTGGCTACCTCATTCTATTTAAATGTTACATTACATTCCATTTATATCTGTACAATAATTTACTTAATATTTTATTATTAAAGAATACTTAGATGATTTCCATAGTTTGACTTTAAAAGGCAATGCTGCAGCAAAATGTGTGTGTGTGTGTGTGTGTGTGTGTGTGTGTGTGTGTATTTGTAAATATATCCTTAGGATAGATTTCAATAGATTTCAAGAGGTACAATAACTGTGTCAATTAGGTTTGGACATTTACAATTTTTATAAACCTTGTCAAATTGTTCTTCTATATATAGAAGAATAGTGTTCTCCCACAAACTTGCCAATAGTGGAGATTATCAATATATTTATTAAATTATGTTTGTAATATTAGTATGTACTATTATATATATATTTATAATATTCAACTATAACATAGTTGAAAAATGTTGCCTCTTGTTATTGATGTTATATCTCTAAATACTAGTGAGATTGAATATATTTTAAATGTTTCTTGCCTAAATTGTATTTCTTTTTTTGTGAATTTCTATTTAAATTCTGTGAATTTCTATTTTCTCATTTTTTCTTCTTTCTTTGTTTTTTTAATTGATTCCTGGGAAAATATACATATATATATATATATATATATATATATTTGTTTTTGAGGGGGGAGATCAAAAGCATTTATCTTAGGTGTTTACTGACTGATTTTCTAGGAAGAGGGTGGTAGGAGTGGGAATTGAGAAAAGAAACACAACGTATTATTCTCTTATTACTAGTGTTGGTCTATAGAGACGGCTGTCCTTGTAGCTTAGAAAAATAGATGGCACTCTGTGATATTTAAGAAAGATTATGAAATATATTTTAATAATTGAATGAGTATATATGTAAAGCCACTGACATCCAGTATGCTCCCCACTCATTTCTGTGTTTTAGTTTATATTTTCATCCAGTATGTTCCCCACTCATTTCTGTGTTTTAGTTTATATTTTCATCCAGCATTTACATGCAGGTTTCTTTTTTTTTAAAAAAAAAAAAAAAGCTTATTTCAATAGTTGTTGGGGTACAGGTGATTTTTGGTTACATGGATGAATTCTTCAGTGGTGAATTCTGAAATTTTTGTGTACCTGTCACCCAAGCGGTGTACACTGCACCCAATATGTAGTCTTTTATTTCTTACCTATTTCCCAACCTCCCCCCACCTGGTCCCCAAAATTGATTATATCACTGTATGATTTTGCATCTTCATGGCTCAGTTCCCAATTGTAAGTGAGAAAATCCACTCCTGTGTTACTTCACTTAGAACAATGGCCTCCAGTTCCACCCAAGTTGCTGCAAAAGAGATTATTTTGTTCCTTTTATGGTTGAGTAGTATTCTGTGCTGTATATATACAACCTTTTTTAATCCACTTGTTGATTGATGGGCACTTAGATTGGCTCCATATCCTTGTGATTGTGAATTGTGCTGCTATAAACATGTGTGTTCATGTGTCTTTTTCATATAATAACTTATTTTCCTTTAAGTAGATACCCAGTAGTGGGATTGCTGGATTGGATGGTGGATCTACTTTTAGTTCCTTAAGGAATCTCCATACTGTTTTCCGTGGAAATGAATGCATAAATAAATAAATGCAGGTTTCTAACTGAATTCAATTCAATTCATTTATGCTAAACAAGTGGTAAGAAATTACATTTAAAAATTTTGTTCTTGATATAATTGTTCATCAACACACTTTTTTTGTAGAAAAGACAGATCTCTATTCCTCCTCAAGAACAGATAGGTGTAAATGGTTAAATCTGCAATTTCCTGAATTTAAACTACTCTTGTAACCTGATGTCCAGTTCCAGAATAAATTATATTGATAAAATTTGTGTCAACATACAGATGTTTGAAATAAAATCAAATTTCTTGCTTACCTGCATATTCCACTTTGTCTTCCATAATGTGAAATGTGTGAATTCATAATTTAAATGCCTACACCACTCTCATTTCTCTTTATGGGTCTTTAGGACACTTTGCTGCTACATAGAGAATGTTATTCTCTTGTGATAGAGGAGCTATGGCAACACACTCTAAAACAGCTTCTAATTATCTCCATGTTTTGGTGTACATGCGTTGCATAATCCCTCCCCTTGAGCACAGGCCAGACCCGTTACTTTGTTCTAGCAATAGAATACAGTAGAGGTAATGGGATGCCATTTCTGTGACTACATTACACAAGATTGTAACTCCCATCTTGTTAGTAGACTCTGTATGTTGACTCTTTCCCTTGCTAGCTTTGATGAAGTAAGCTGCCATATGGTAAGGCCCACGTAGCAAGGAATTGAGGCTAGCCTCTGACCAACAGCCACTAAAGAGCTGAGGCCTTCAGTCAGGCAACATGCCAGGAACTGCATCCTGCCAAAAACCACATGCAGACCATTGGAAGCAGACCCTTCCCTAGTTAACCCCAGATGAGATCCTAAGGATGGCTGACACCTTGATTGCAGCCTTGTGAGAAATCCAGAAACAGGACCCAGGTAAATTGTGCGTGGATTCTTGACACACAGAAATTGTGGAATAATAAATGTGTTGTTTTTAGCTGTTAGGTTTGTGGTAATTTGTTATGCAGCAATAGAAACAACAGGAATTGTGACAAAAAAAGAGCTAATACTGTTGTTTCTCTGACTTGCAGAGAAACAAAGATTTGCAACACAGATGCAAGAAGGTTTTTTTGGATTTTTTCTTAAGGGAAGTCTGATACGGGCTTTAAAAGAAAAGTTCTCTGAAGATGCTAAGGGGAAAACACGAGAAGACAAACAAACCACAAAACTTTAGGGATTCAGGGCATGGCATATCGATTCTATATCTGTTGTGCTCCACCTGGAGAGTGCACTCAGAGTCTCAAATGAATGCCTCCTGAGGGTACTTGACGCTGCTCTGTTCTCACTTCAAAGACTACTTTAAACCTTTATTGAGGACCTCAAGCTCCAACTCCTGATTCTTACTTCATCTCTTTGCAGGTAGTCTTGACTCTTACATAATTAAGGTCAAAGTTTCTTGATATGCATTCTTTCAACTTTCTTCTCTGTATCAAAATCTTCTATTATCTTCACAGAATCTTTCTTGTTTTCCCTTGTTCCCTCTCCTCAAAGCTAAATACCTTTCCCTAAGCCTTTATTTCATTCTTTCTAGCTAGCTCTCCTGCTGTCCTTAATGCATCAGTTATCCACTCTCTTTAATACTTCCTCCTTCCTCTTTGTCTTCAAAAACTAATAATAAGGGTCGAGTATGGTGGCTCGTGCCTGTAATCCAAGCACTTTGGGAGGCTGAGGTGGGCGGATCACCTGAGGTCAGGAATTCGAGACCAGCCTGGCCAACATGGTGAAACCCCGTCTCTACTAAAAATACAAAATTTATCCAGGTATGATACTGTGTGTCTATAATCCCAGCTACTCAGGAGGTTGAGGCAGGAGAATTGTTTGAACCTGGGAGGTGGAGGTTGCAGTGAGCCGAGATGGCACCACTGCACTCCAGCCTGGGCGACAGAGTGAGACTCTGTCTCAAAAACAAACAAACAAATAAACAAAAACTAATAAGGAAATTCCAACCTCAAACAACAACAAAACAAAGACAAATAAACAGCAACAGAGCAAAACACTTAATTCATCACAACATTGAACTACTCAGAAAAGAAAATCTGTGGTTGGGCCATCAAAGCTATTCATCAGGGACCCAAAATTTGGAGGGGACAAAGATTTAAAAATAGGGTTGAAAATAAAATGCAAATAGTAAGTATCTCTTCTCTAGCTAAAGTTCTCCACTTCTTCTCTAACTTCCATCTGACCCTAGGATCAGCCACTTTTCAGTGGTGGCATCAGGACCAGGTCATGAACAGGCGGCCTTTCTGCATTGGCTGCCTTTCTTCCACTAATATCCAATAGTATGAAAGCAAGTCTGGTATTTCTTTTTTGCTGAATGTCTTAAGAAAGTTTCCCAGTAAGTGCAGTTTGGGGCAATTTTTCTGTCAATCTTTTATTGCACTAAAGAGCAGCTGTTTTTTTTTGTTTGTTTGTTTTGTTTTGTTTTTACCACCACTGCCTCTTTAATCCTTTGCAATTGGGCTCCCATGTGTTCTACTGAAACTACCTTCCTAAAGGTCATTCATGATTCTGTACTCACTAAATTAAACAACCCAAATCCTATGTATCTGACCTCTCCATAATATTTAAAATTTTTTTCATTCCTTGCTTGAAGCTCACTTGGTTGTTTTTCAGAAAACACTAAACTTTGTTGATTTTTATTCCTATCACCATCTATTCTTGTTTTGGTTTCTGTTCTCAGCTTGTTCTGTCTGCAAGATCTCCCTTAATGATATCATTCCACATTTATACCTTTAACTGTGATACTCAAATAGAGCTCTGCACTCTTAACTCCCTCCTAAACTGTACATCCACATTTCCAAATGTCCCATGGAAATCCCTGAGTGAAAGTCTTGCCTCTAACTCAACACTACCCTCAAGTAAACCCTTCCATCATCTCCACCATATCTGTCCTTTTCTGAGATTCAATTTTCCCCACCCCTCAGACTTTCTAGCTTTTATGTGATCTCGCGACACTCACAGTTGGTTTCAAATACTTTTGCTTTTTCCTACAGTCTCAAACCTATTTCCTTATTTCAATTCCCACTTCTATTTGATTAGTGCAAAAGTCATTGCTGTTTTTGCCATTAAAAGTAATGACATTTGCACCAACCTAATACCACTTTACCTCTTCCTCAGCCCTCCTTGAATCTTCTGAGCTTTGTGATAAAACACTGGTGCCTAGGCCACCAATCCTTGATCTATGCTACCTTTTTCACATATTGTGGCCAGGTTCAAATGACTGTCTTGTTCAAAAGCCTTCAACATTTCCAGACAGATTTAGCAGAGCTTTTCCCTATGCTGTTAATTGCAACTTCTGTTTATGTTCATTATGGGAATTTCCCAGAGAAGTAGTATAGATATTTCTATATATGTCTCTACACCATTTTGTTAGCATCGTCGTAGCAAAAATCAAGGTTTTTTTTTTCCCCTCTGTGTCTTTACTGCCTAAAATAATTTCTAAAATATAGTAGGTTTTCCAACAAACATTAGCTTTGTATATTTGTGGACTGGATAGCTCTCCTTTGATCACCAGATTAAGTTAAATGTACCCTTGTGGTTTGGTTGTGATCTGTCATTCCAGGCTCCTTCAATTCTCTAAATTGTCCACATGTTAGAAATCACTGTGTCTTTGATAATTCAGTTTCTTCTATCAGAAGTAGCCTGATTGCTTTCTGGTTCCTCTCCCACATTTTCATTTTCCTAAAAGGCCACTGTGGTTTAATGGAAAGAATGGGTTCTGGAGTTTAGCTTTGGATTTAAATCTAACCTCTGTTTTCCCCTCACCCCATGAGCTTGGTAACAACTCTCCTTATTTTACAGGTAAATTTAAAAAATACTACCATCCTTTAAGTGGGCATGTTGGCTCACACCTATAATCTCAGCCCTTTGGGAGGCCAAGGCAAGAGGATCAGTTAAGGTCAGGAGTTCACGACAAACCTGGGCAACATAGCAAGACTGTGTCTCTACAAAATTTTTTTTAAATTAGCCTGACATGATGGCACATACCTGTAGTCCTGGCTGTTGGGAAAGATTGCTTGAGCCCAAGAGTTCCAGGCTGCAGTGAGCTATGGTCATTGCCATTGCACTCCTGCCTGGGTGACAGAACAAGATCAAGTCTCAAAAAAAAAAAAAAAAATACCATCCTATTTATCTTGCAAGGTTAAAGTGAAAATAAATTTGAGATAATGATGTGGAGCTATTTTATAAAGCATATTCTAGAATACAAATATCTGGCCCAACTTTCTAAAGTTTCCATCTAATGTTTCTGAAGCTTCTTCTTGAATTTCTCCTGTTAACCACTCTCCTTCCTAAACTTTTCTATTGTAAATAAGATGAGAGTAACAAGGTATTATCTTAAAGTACAGGAACTTAGTTGTGTACCATTGTTATTTGTTGCTATATGAGTTCCTTTAGGACCAATATAAGATAAGGTACTATTCATCTTTGAGCCCACAGCACTTATAAAAATAGTTTGCATAAACATTTGTGATGATTGGTGGTATAGGAACGCAAGATCAGTGTAGCTCTTACTTTACGATACACTGTCTCCTTCCAAATAGCAGAATAAAAGTGGAAAAAAGACTCCTCTGCTGTTATAAGTTTCACAAGTAAATGTTAATTATTTTGGAGGAAGAATTTAAAAAGTAATGGAACAGTCTTCTGCGTCTCATGGAAAAACTGAATGGCTATTCTGCTGAGATTACATACCACTGTTTTGCTGCTATTCTTTTTTTTTTTCTTTCCCAGGAAACGAGCTCAATTATTTAAGAGCCTAATCCTTAAGTTTTGTTTGTGTTTGAAGGAAATTTTTTTTTATTTGAGTTTCTGGAAATTCTGGAATTGTAGAGAATTTCTATCGATTTATATAAAAATAAGGACTGTTTCTGCTAGGGGTTAAGCTTTGACTACTGCCTCTTGGATGTCATCCTGAAAGCTGGCAGGTCATAGCTTCTCACTTATGTGCTAGTCACTCCCAGAATCATGTCATGTGCCTTGTCAACAATCATTTCCATAAAAGAATAGCTTGCACATCTCAGATAAATGGACAGATATTTATTGTTCTTGTCTTCCTGAGACCTGAGGTCTTTCCAAGACTTCAATTTACCTCTGAAATGAATAGCCCTACTACCATGTAATATATAGTCGCATGAATATAACTGTAAAATATGCAAATTCAAAGTTGTGCAATTAAAATATGAATGGATTCTGATTTTTATGAACATAGTACAAAGTTATGCAAATGCCTGAATTTAATTTTTTTTCAAGAATCACAGAATCCCAAAGTTGGCAGGCGAAATGAGCTGTGTTGACATTGTTACTGCCACATGGCAGTGCCACTTTAGCTGGTAAACAGAGATATCTCTCATCATTTGACAGGATTCATTTTACAAATGCATACTTCAAACTGAATGGCCTTCAGGATCCCAGTCCTCAAATAAAATGCA
Organism: Homo sapiens; assembly: GCF_000001405.40. Classification (NCBI taxonomy): domain Eukaryota; kingdom Metazoa; phylum Chordata; class Mammalia; order Primates; family Hominidae; genus Homo; species Homo sapiens. The sequence continues at coordinate 34,289,731 of NC_000008.11, forward strand.
ACCATTTTGCATGTAAATGATAAAAAAAAATTGTTACACAGAAGTTCTGCATAATTGGTAATCTGTACTAAGCAAGAAATTTGTATGTATGGATAAGAAGAGTGGAAGAAAAGTCAGAATCTATGAATAAATGGTGGTGGGAGGGATGAAAAAAGCCAGGATGAGGGCATTCAGAACAGAACAAGCAGAGGATGGACAAGGGAACGCAGAGCATGGGTGAGTGCAGAGGGAGGGAGGTGGGGGCGTGGTAGGGCTCTACGTGGCCCAAAAGGAACTAAATGAAGCCAAAGAAGACCAGAAAGGGTAAGAACAGACTCTGCTCAGAGCTTCAGCTCAGCTGTGTCCCCCTCATCACCTAGCAGCATAACTTTGGGAGCAAGATATCCCACTGGCTTCTGTTTATGCTACAGTCTTTCTCTCACATTAACTGAGGCTCTTCCCTGGCTCTGGTCTTGGCTTCTGTTTTCTCTTTTGTTATGTACCAGATCGCTTTCTTTCCACTTGGATAGACCTGTAGGTGTATTAATTCTACAAACACAGTGCTGCTAGCTACTATGAGTGAGTACTTTACACCAGCCATTGCCTCAAGCACTTTATCCAACAATACAAGATGCCTATCTCCTCCCACAAAGGAATACCATCCTCATAAGTTTCACTTTGTATACAGCATGGAACATGTACACCCACTTTTGCTTTGTGTACATATTTTTTTGTCTTTGAGGGGAGCACCTATTAATTATGGCTACTATCAAGCACTTCAAAGAACTTCCACTATGCTTTTACACTGAACATTGATGTGGTGTACAGCTCTCGAATTGCTATGTTCTTATAACCTAAGGGCTTGCATGGACATTTAGTGTTTAATCTAAAAATATACCATAATTTTATGCAAAAATAGCATCCTGACACTTTGTGTTACTCCTTTTACACGTTAATTTGCACAGCCTGTAAAAAACTGTAAAAGGCAAATGCTGATGTTGCAGCTGCCCCAAGTTCCTGGTAGGTTAAGGAGTTTCATACATTTTATTAGTGCAATAATAGATTTTATGGTTAACTGAAATATGTAATTATAAATGCATATTATCACTATTACCAGCTTGATACTTGGGCTTAGTTTTGCATTGATTGAAAACTGAAGTTTTAAAATTAATTAGGAAGAGAGTTAATGGTCACTTAAGTTTTCCCACATGAGAGAAAGCATTGGAAAAAAGTACACTTGGGTAGTGAATGATAATATATTATATGATAAATGCTTTATTAGAGGCTTATTAACATGAGAGTGATCCCTTAAAGATTTGTCTGCAGTGGAAAAATATACAAACACCAGAAAATCTACAAGATAAAATATGGGTAAAATTAAAATGTGATGGACAAAGAGAGGGAATGAGTCCTGTGGTCTGAGCACTGGGGATTTTTTTCTTTTTAGTTGGGGAATTGAGCAAGTGGCCCTGCCACTGCTTTGGGGAATGAGAGGCTAAGTTCGTCCAGCATAGAGGCTTTGGAGGATTGTGGATTATTAACTGCATCTGCTTTTGTGTTCTTCACAAGTCACAAGTAAAAAATAGAGTTTGTTTTTAATTACTTTTGGTTGCTGGGTTGTTTTGTTTTTTTTTCTTATGATCCTCCTTGCAGAGATTGAATCACATGGGCCTCTGGGAAGTTGTTCAGGTTACATATACAATGTGATCAGATAACATGTATAAGGGGTACAAAAATCAGACTGAAGGCAGAGGGAAGAGAGACAGGAAATTTGAAATGAGAGGAAACATTTTCCTTTTTTTTTTTTTTTTTTTTTGAGACAGGATCTCACTCTGTCACACAGGCTGGAATGCCGTGGCCTGTTGATAGCTCCTTGCAGCCTCAAACTACTGGGCTCAAGCAATCTTTCTACCTCAGCCTCCCGAGTAGCTGGGGCTATAGGCATGCACCTCCATGCCTGACTAATTTTTAAAATTTCTTAGAGAGACAGGGTCTCAGTATTTTTCTTTTGATGGCCTCTTCACCAATCTACCTGAAAGACCATATAACATAGTTTTAAGAGCAAGACCTTTGGCTCCAGGCTGTCTGGGTCCTCTCCTACGTCTACTGTGTGCTACTCATGTGGAAATTTGCTTAATTTCTCTGGTCTTAATTTCCTTCTATGCAACATGGGAGTAAATGAAATTACCTACCTCATAGTGTTATAAAAATTAATGTATTATCCATGTGCCTGATACATAGCAGTGTGATATAAACATCAGCTATCATTATTGTGACATGCAATAAAGCAAGAGGGAATACAATATATACAAGGCAGCAGTAAGCAGTTGTGTAAAACTGGAATTTAGAGTGTGGGTGGAGATGATACTAGAGAAAAAGAAAGGGCCACATCATAAAATGCCATGTATTCCAGCTTTGTATTTTATCTTAAACACAATGGGAGCCATCGAAGGATTTTGCCTGGGAAAAAATATTGAATTGTGTACACCAAACAAAAATTTGTTGAATTTCTAACTCCTAGTGAGTCAGAATGTGACCTTATTTGGATATAGGGTTGTTGCAGATGTGCTTTGTTGTGATGAGGTCATACTGGAGTAGGGTGAGTCCTACTCCAGCATGATGTGATGTCCTTATAAGAGGACAGCTATGTGAAGATATGGGGGGAAACCCAAGTGAAGTTGGAGGGAGATTGAAGTGATGCATCCACAAGCCAAGGAATGCAAAGCATGTTTGTAGTCATCAGAAGTTGGGAAAGAGGCATGAAATGGATTGTTCACCACAGACCTCAGAAGGAACCAACCCTGCTGACATCTTGATTTCAGACTTCTACTCTTCAGAACTGTGAGAGAATAAATTACTGTTATTTTGAGCCATCAAGTTTGTGCTGCTTTGTTAGGGCAGCTCTAGCAACTTAATATGGGGCTGGGAAGTGGGGAAATGGAATTCTGTTAAAAGCTAACTCTGGTTTTTATGAGGAATATGGAGTAGAGGGGAACAAAATTAAAAGGAGGGAGGCCAGTCAGGAGGAAATTAAGGCTTCATGTATAGTTGGGACCCTGTCTCTTTGCTTCTAGGTGTTTCCAGTTTCCTGTTTTCCAGTTGGGTTTCATGAATGTGTCAGGTATAGCTCTCCTGGGGCTGCTGCTCCACTGCTTCTCTTAGTTCCCAGGGTCATGTTGCCACCTTCAGCAATAAAATACTGCTGGATTTTAGTCTCTGCACCCAGAACTTCCTCAGTACAGGGAAACTCCTCAGTATAGGAAAACTCCTCAGTATAACAAAACTATTAAAGAAAAACCTCAGCCTCATGACTGGGAGGCCATATAAAAAGAAAAGGGCTCTGTTGTGTTAGGATCTGTTAAACTTTAGGAAGCAAATAGCTCAAGCTGGTCTATGAAGTAATTGAAGCAAATTAACAAAATTAAGATATAAGAAAGATCTATTTTTCTGTAGGGCTGTTTTCAAGGAATTGCAGGGATAAGCATTGGTAAGAGTCTAGTCTTGTTTTCCTTAGTGTTGGATACCTATACTGGACACCTGTGTGATCAAGTGAAAAATCCCTGGGTGAATATGTTTAATAACTGACTTATGCTTCATTTCTTTTTTAATTTAATTTTTAATTTATAATTGCATAAGAATGGTACATATTTATGGGTGATAATCTGATGCATGTATATGTAGTATAATGATCAAATTGAGGTAATTACCCTATCCATCAGCTTAAACATTTATCATTTCTTTGTGATGACAACATTCAAATCTTGTCTTCTGGTGATCTTGAAACATACACTATACTGTTGTTTGCTCTAGTCACCCTATTGGGTGAACAGGAAAGGTTGGTCAATGGGTACAAAGTTACAGCTAGACAAGAAGAATAAGTTGTGGACTTATGCTTTACTTCTAAACGAGGCTGTGGTACTAGGCAAGGAGAGATGCTGGAGGAGGCTAATCCTGCCAGGAAACCAGGCTGTTGGAGACTGTCGTCACTGGACTCAGACTAGGAATGAAGTTACTTGTTGGGTTGGATGAGCAGGCAGTTATTATTTAGAACACTTAAGACTTGGGATTTTTAGTTCCCCTTTTTGTGGACAATGGAAATAATTCCCCAGCAAGAGAGTGCATAAAACTATGCCCCAAACTACAAATTAAATCAAAATATACAAACTGTGCAATAATAAAGATGGAGGTGTGCTTTTTCTTGTAAATTTCGTTGGGTTAGACATCATTAATTTTCAAAGATAGAGTAAAAAGACATAACTTTTTAAAAGTTACTTGCTTATGAAGAATATCTACTAGCATTTCCAAATATTCTGTTGAGTATAGGTTGGGATACATTAAATCATAAATAATAGTCTTAGAAGGTAATTCCAGCTCATTCCTGTGCCTCTTGAATGAAATAATTTTAGAATTAGAGAGAAGTTTAATTATCGAATTTGTCTTTAGAGGAGGCAATTCCTTAAAAACTATCTTTATACTTTGAATTCTTTTCAGTCAGATTGTTTTCTGTCACAGAGGACTCTCATGAAAAGGCAGCTCCTTCCCTAATCCATGTAATTAACAAAAGCCAAATGGCCACCTGCTTCAGGATATCTTCTCTAAAGACCACTAGGGTCTAAACTTCCGAACATTCATTTTATGTTTGTGTGGGGTAAAAACACCTGAAAGCAATAAATCAAGCAGGTACTTAGAATGACCCTGTTTGGCAGACACACCTGAATGTATGCTCTGAGCTAGGGAGTCAGGGAGTGGCCAACCTGGAGATTCTTTTTTTCTCTATGAGGAACGTCTGAGCCCCTGGCCTGTCCAGTGGAACATGGGCTGTACAGGGGATTGAGGCCCTGAGTTTTGGGATAAATGATGGTTGCCAGGTGAAGGTCATTAAGGTCACTAAGTTGTTAAGTGAAAATGTTATGTAAACTTAATGCTATTTGCAAGCAGTTGTGATTTTCCTGCCCAGCCCACCCTACTGGGCCATAATATGTAAGGCATATCCCTTGTCCAGACTGCTGCCACTGGACTCCTTGTAAGGCAGATATGTTGTACAGCTTGCCGCCACTGGACCATTTCTGTGTGAAAGGGGGTTCTCCTGTCCAGCCCACCACCACTGGACTCTCTCTCTCCTGTATGAAAGTCCTTGATAAAAACCCATGTCTCATTTGCTGGCTCTGGGTCTCTTCTTCCGCCTCTTGAACATGGTCCCTTCCCTACTGAGGTTAATAGGGGTTCAGCACAGCAGCTTGTCATAGGGAATCATCTTCGGAAGCGTCTGCAAAAATTGAGCCAAATCTTGTAAAGAGTAGTCATACATTCAAGGAATTGGATTTATCAGAGATGTTTAGATCTTGGATGGCAGAAAAGGAATCCTAAGGAAAATAATGTAAAGATATAGTACATGGCACACTTCCCAAGAGAACAGTTAGTGAAGCTACGAAGCGTGTTTCTAACATTTCCCCTGGGCTCCTTGTAGGCAATGGGTCTTTGTGGGATAGTGAGGAGTTCCGCTAGAATGGAAAAGTAATAGCAGAAGGACATGAGAATGAATAATTTTCTTTGTGAACAATCCTGTCCCAAACAAGATCTATCAAGGCTTTCTAAACCCCTGAGGACAACAACCACCCAAACCAATACTATCAACAGAACTGAATCCACCACAATTCTCCAAACTTAGGGAGAGAAAAGGTGGCTTAAACAAGATTTCACTGTGGATTATATCTTTCTTGAGGCCTGGCTAAATTTGCAGCTTTATATAATTTCCACTCATATTTCATGAGGCTCAGGATTTAATATATTTTGATACTAGGATGTTTGACAGGTCTTCTCTGTCATTCCCCTTCATGTTTCCCTTTGTATTTTCAGCTCCAACAGGTGCAGATTTGCCAAAACGAATGTTAATTGCCTATTTACTGTCTCCCAGCTTGTTCAATTTACTCACAGATCATTTTCTATTCAGAGCCCGGCAGCAGTTTGTCTCTCATTTACTTCTCTAATCAGTTCACGTTCTAAGAAAACTACATTTTAAAAAATCTAGGCTTCCAAAACTTTGCCTTCATCCACAAAAGCCCCCATCATGCTCAGAGGAGAGCTAGTCCTATTGAGAGGCAGACAGCAAGAAGCCAAGGGAAGAAAAAGATCCCTTGACTACATTTCTCTTAGAGCAAGTCATTAAGAAACAAGGAAGTAATGTCATTGCAGATACATCTTTCAATAAGCTTAATTCAACTGTCTTAATTTATCATCCATTCAAGGGTTTTCCTGAAGTTCATCCCTTCTACTTAGCAGCTCAGCAGTATATTTTAGTTTCATCTCACTGATTTCATCACCCTGAATCTTTTATTCCATTTGTTCTGATGGTTAAGCACAGGAAGAAAGACAAGCAGAGAGCAAATACTCATCATGAGAGACTGCTTAAACGGTCTGATCAGTTTAAGCTGAGACACAAGATAAAAAGTAGTCTTGGAGATATGGGTGTTCCTGGACTGTTTGTTCCCAGATCACCAGACTATTTGCAGCGAATAATTCAGATCTGATTTAAGACTTCAATTTTACTTTTCAGATATAAAATTTCCATATATACATATCTATATATGTGTGTGTATATATGTATACAAATTTTATATTGTTCAGGAACCAAGAAATTTGTCAACATCTACAGTATTAATGAACCACTCTAGGAAATGAAAACAGTTTGTCAACATGTGTAGCATTAGTGAAACAACATGGAAAAGTAAGAAAAGATACCATAGTTCTGAAAATTTTTATTTTCAAACACAGAAGTTCTATGTGCAGAGTTGATGCATATCTAGGTTCCAGCATCATGAAACCTCTTGTGATAGGCACAATCATCATACTCTTCACACGTGCAAGTCTCATCAGGGGTAGCTGGTGGGCATGACTAGATTAATGCTATCACCATAGAATCTGGTTTGGTTGGAGCAGTGTATCTGGAATAACTTTGGCGTAGATCAGGGAAAGCTACAGCTTAAGTGACAGACCCAAAAACTTTGCTTATGTTGTACTATCTAACATGGTAGCCATTAGCCACATGTGGCTATTTAGATTTTAATTTTTAGCTTATTAAACTTAAATAAAATAAAAAATTTAATTCCTTAATATTGAAAGTGCTCAATAACTGGAAGTGGCTAGTGGTTAGTGGCTACTGTGTTGGGGAGTACAGATATAGACTAATTCCTTCATTGCAGAAAGTTTATTGGACAGCACTGGTGGAATGCCATTGTTTTATAGACATTTAGAGCACTTTGTTCTTAGAATAACCTGGTGTTTACATCCCAGAAGCAATTATATCATAAAAAATAAGTGACTTCATCTACATGGAAACTTCTCTTGTTATTATCTGAAGAAGTGCCCTGTCTTCCCACTGAATTGAGGTCTTGAAAAGGGAGAGGGTTTGTTTCTATTATTCCAAGGTATAAAAAGAGTAGGTCACAAACTTTTAGATATAAGAATTTCTCCTTATCATCAAGGGTCTTGTTTTTTATCACGTGAAGACCTAAGAGAAGCAAATATTGATAGCCCATTTTCTGTTTAAAAGAAATCATCTAGGATTCCCAGGCAAGATGGCTGAATAGGAACAGCTCCAGTCTGCAGCTCCCCACGAGACCAACGGACAAGGTGGGTGATTTCTGCATTTCCAACTGAGGTACCCGGTTCATCTCACTGGGACTGGTTAGACAGTGGGTGCAGCCCATGGAGGGCGAGGAGAAGCAGGGTGGGACGTTGTCTCACCCAGGAAGTTCAAGGGGTTGGAGAACTCCTTCCTCTAGCCAAAGGAAGCCATGGGGGACAGTGCCATGTGGGATGGTGCATTCCGGCCTAGATAGTACACTTTTCCCACCATCTTCACAACCAGCAGACCAGAAGATTCCCTCAGATGCCTACACCACCAGGGCCCTGGGTTTCAAGCACAAAACTGAAAGGCTGTTTGGGCAGACACTGAGCTAGCTGAAGGAGTTTTTATTTCATACCCCAGTGGCACCTGGAACTCCAGCGAGACAGAACCGTTCACTCCCCTGGAAAGGGAGCTGAAGACAGGGAGCCAAGTGGTCTAGCTCAGCAGATCTCAACCCCATGGAGCCTAGCAAGCTAAGATCCACTAGCTTGAATTCTTACTACCAGCACAGCAGTCTGAAGTCGACCTGGGATGCTTGAGCTTGGTGGGGCAGGGCGTCCACCATTACTGAGGCATGAGTAGGCGATTTTCCCCTCACAGTGTAAACAAAGCTACAGGGAAGTTTGAACTGGGCAGAGCCCACCACAGCACCTCAAAAGTACTATAGTCAGACCGCTTCTCTAGATTCCTCATCTCTGGGCAGGGCATCTCTGAAAGAAAGGCAGCAGCCCCAATCAGGGGCTTATAGAGAAAATTCCCATCTCCCTGGGACAGAGCACCTGGGGGAAAGGGTGGCTGTGGATGCATCTTCAGCAGACTTAAATGTTCCTGCCTGCCAGCTCTAAAGAGAGCAGTGGATCTCCCAGCATAGCACTCGAGCTCTGCTAAGGGACAGACTACCTCCTCCAGTGGGTCCCTGACCCCTGTGCCTCCTGACGGGGAGACATCTCCCAGCAGGGGTCGACAGAGACCTCATACAGGAGAGCTCCGGCTGGCATCTGGTGGTGCCTGTCTGGTACAAAGCTTCCAGAGGAAGGAGCAGGCAGCAATCTTTGCTGTTCTGCAGCCTCCACTGGTGATACCCAGGTAAACAGGGTCTGGAGTGGACCCCCAGCAAATTCTAGCAGACCTGCAAAAGAGAGGCCTGACTGTCAGAAGAAAACTAACAAACAGAAAGGAATAGCATCAACATCAATAAAAAGGATGACCATGCAAAAATTCCATCCAATGGTCACTAACAGCAAAGACCAAAGGTAGATAAATCCATAAAGATGAGGAAAAACCAGCACAAAAAGGCTGAAAATTCCAAAATCCAGTATGCCTCTTTTCCTCCAAAGGATCACAACTCCTCACCAGCAAGGGAAAAAACCTGGATGGAGAATGAGTTTGATGAATTGACAGAAGTAGGCTTCAGAAGGTGGGTAATAACAAACTCCTCCGAGCTAAAGGAGCATGTTCTAACCCAATGCAGGGAAACTAAGAACCTTGATAAAAGGTTAGAGGAATTGCCAACCAGAATAACCAGTTTAGAGAAGAACATAAATGACCTGATGGAGCTGAAAAACACAACACAAGAACTTCACAAAGCATACACAAGTATCAATAGCCAAATCGATCAAGGAGAAGAAAGGATATCAGAAATTGGAGATGAATTTAATGAAATAAAGCATGAAGACAATATTAGAGAAAAAAGAATGAGAAGTAATTAACAAAGCCTCCAAGAAATATGGGACTATGTGAAAAGACCAAACCTACGTTTGATTGGTGTACTTGAAAGTGACAGGGAGAATGGAACCAAGTTGGAAAACACACTTCAGGATATTATCCAGGAAAACTCCAACCTAGCAAGACAGACCAACATTCAAATTCAGGAAATACAGAGAACACTACAAAGATACTCCTTGAGAAGAGCAACCGCAAGACACATAATTGTCAGATTCACCAAGGTTGAAATGAAGGAAAAACTGTTAAGGGCAGCTAGAGAGAAAGGTTGGGTTACTCACAAAGGAAAGCCCATCAGACTACCAGTGGATCTCTCTGCAGAAACCCTACAAGCCAGAAGAGAGTGGGGGCCAATATTCAGCATTCTTAAAGAAAAGAATTTTCAACACAGAATTTCATATCCAGCCAAACTAAGCTTCATAAATGAAGGAGAAATAAAATCCTTTACAGACAAGCAAATGCTGAGGGATTTTGTCCCCACCAGGCCTGCCTTACAAGAGCTCCTGAAGGAAGCACTAAATATGGAAAGGAAAAACTGGTACCAACCACTGCAGAAACAAACCAAAATGTAAAGACCATCAACACTATGAAGAAACTGCATCAACTAATGGGCAAAATAACCAGCTAGCATCATGATGGGATCAAAATCACAAATAAAAATTTTAACCTTAAATGTAAATGGGCTAAATGCCCCAATTAAAAGGCACATATTGGCAAATAGGATAAAGAGTCAAAACCCATCAGTGTGTTGTATTCAGGTGACCCAACACACGTGCAAAGAAACATATAGGCTCAAAATAAAGGGATGGAGGAAGATTTGCCAAGCAAATGGAAAGAAAAAAAAGCAGGGGTTGCAATCCTAGTCTCAGATAAAACAGATTTTAAACCAACAAAGATCAAAAAAAAAAAAAAAAGAAGGGCATTACATAATGTTAAAGGGATCAATAAAACAAGAAGAGCTAACTATTCTAAATATATATGCACCCAATGTAGGAGCACCCAGATTCATAAAGCAAGTTCTTAGAGACCTACTATGAGACTTAGACTCCCACGCAATAATAGTGGGAGACTTTAACACCCCACTGTCAATATTAGACAGATCAACAAGACAGAAAATTAACAAGAATATTCAGGACTTGAACCCAGCTCTGGACCAAGCAGACCTAATAGACATCTACAGAACTCTCCACCCCAAATCAACAGAATATACATTCTTCTCAGCACCACATAGCACTTATTCTAAAACTGACCACATAATTGGAAGTAAAACACTCCTCAGCAAATGCAAAAGAATGGAAATTATAACAAACTGTCTCTCAGACCACAGTGCAATCAAATTTGAACTCAGGACTAAGAAACTCACTCAAAACCACACAACTACATGGAAACTGAACAACTTGCTCCTGAATGACTACTGGGTAAATAGCGAAATTAAGGCAGAAATAAAGATGTTATTTGAAACCAATGAGAACAGAGACATAATGTAACAGAATCTCTAGGACATAGCTAAAGCAGTGTTTAGAGGGAAATTTATAGCACTAAATGCCCACAGGAGAAAGTGGGAAAGATCTAAAATAGACACCCTAACATCACAATGAAAATAACTAGAGAAGGAAGCACAAACAAATTCAAAAGCTAGCAGAAGACAGGAAATAACTAAGAGCAGAGCAGAGCTGAAGGAGATAGAGATATGAAAAACCCTTCAAAAAATCAATGAATCCAGGAGCTGGTTTTTTGAAAAGATTAACAAAACAGATGGACCACTAGTCAGACTAATAAAGAAGAAAAGAGAGAAGAATCAAATAGACACAATAAAAAATGATAAAGGGGAGATCACCACTGATCCCACAGAAATGCAAACTACCATCAGAGAATACTATAAACACCGCTACACAAATAAACTAGAAAATCGAGAAGAAATGGATAAATTCCTGGACACATACAGCCTCCCAAGACTAAACCAGAAAGAAGTCAAATCCCTGAATAGACCAATAACAAGTTCTGAAATATTAATTACTATTAATAGCCTACCAACCAAAAAAAGACAAGGACCAGACGGATTCACAGCCAAATTCTACCAGAGGCACTAAGAGGAGCTGGTACTATTCTTCCCGAAACTATTCCAAACAATAGAAAAAGAGGGACACCTCCCTAACTCATTTTATGAGGCCAGCATGATCCAGATACTGAAATCTGGCAGAGACACAACATAAAAAGAAAATTTCTGGCTAATATCCCTGATGAACATCGACGTGGAAATCCTCAGTAAAATACAGGCAAACCAAATCCAGCAGCACATTAAAAAGCGTATCCATCATGGTCAAGCCAGCTTTATCCCTGGGATGCAAGGCTGGTTCAACATATGCAAATCAATAAATGTAATCCATCACATAAACAGAACCAATGACAAAAACCACATGATTATCTCAATAGATGCAGAAAAGGCCTTCAATAAAATGCAACACCCCTTCATGCTAAAAACACTCAATAAACTAGGTATTGATGGAACATATCTGAAAATAATAAGAGCTATTTGTGACAAACCCACAGCCAATATCATGCTGAATGGGCAAAAGCTGGAAGCATTTCCTTTAGAAACTGGCACAAAACAAAGATGCCCTCTCTCACCACTCCTATTCAACCTAGCATTGAAAGTTCTGGCCAGGGCAATCAGGCAAGAGAAAGAAATAAAAGATATTCAAATAGGAAGAGAGGAAGTCAAATTATCTGTTTGCAGATGACACAATTGTTTATTTAGAAAACCCCATTGTCTCAGCCCTAAAACTCCTTAAGCTGATAAGCAACTTTAGCAAAGACTCAGGATACAAAATCAATGTGCAAAAATCACAAGCATTCCTATATGCCAATAATAGACAAAGAGATAGCCAAATCATGAGCAAACTCCCACTCACAATTGCTATGAAGAGAATAAAATACCTAGGAATACAATTTACAAGGGATGTGAAGAACCTCTTCAAGGAGAACTATAAACCACTGCTCAAGGAAATAAGAGAGGACACAAACAAATGGAAAAACATTCCATGCTCATGGATGGGAAGAATCAATACTGTGAAAATGGCCATACTGCCCAAAGTAATTTATAGATTCAAAGCTATCCCCATCAAGCTACCATTGACTTTCTTCACAGAATTAGTAAAAACTATTTTAAATTTCATATGAAACCAAAAAAGAGCTTTTATAACCAAGACAAAAAGAACAAAGCTGGAGGCATCATGCTACCTGACTTCAAACTATACTACAAGGCTACAGTAACCAAAATAGCATGGAACTGGTACCAAAACAGATATATAGACCAGTGGAACAGAACAGAGGCCTCAGAAATAATGCCACACATCTACAACCATCTGATATTTGACAAACCTGACAAAAAAAAAAAAGCAATGGGGAAAGGATTCCCTATTTAATAAATGGTGTTAGGAAAACTGGCTAGCCATATGCAGAAAACTGAAACTGGATCCCTTCCTTACATCTTTTACAAAAATCAACTCAGGATGGATTAAAAATTTAAACAGAAGACCTAAAATCATAAAAACTCTAGAAGAAAACATAGGCAATATCATTTAGGACATAGGCATGGGCAAAAGACATCATGACCAAAATACCAAAAACAATGGAAACAAAAGCCAAAATAAACAAATGGGATCTAATTAAACTAAAGAGCTTCTGTACAGCAAAAGAAACTATCATCAGAGTGAACACGCAACCTAGAGAATGGGAGAAAATTTTTGCAATCTATCTATCTGACAAAGGGCTAATATTCAGAATCTACAAGAAATTTAAACAAATTTACAAGAATAAAACAACCCCATCAAAAAGTGGGCGAAGGATATGAACAGACACTTCTCAAAAGAAGACATTTATGCAGCCAACAAACATATGAAAAAAAGGTCAACATCACTGATCATTAGAGAAATGCAAATCAAAACCACAATGAGATACCATCTCATGCCAGTTAAAATGGCGATCATTAAAAAGTCAGGAAACAGATGCTGGAGATGATGTGGAGAAATAGGAACACTTTTACACTGTTGGTGGGAATGTAAATTAGTTCAACCATTGTAAAAGACAGTGTGGTGATTCTTCAAGGATCTAGAACTAAAAATACCATTTGACCCAGCAATACCATTACTGGGTATATACCGAAAGGATTATAAATTATTCTACTATAAAGACACATGGACACATATGTTTATTGCAGCACTATTTACAATAGCAAAGACTTGGAACCAACCAAAATGCCCATCAATGATAGACTGGATAAATAGAGCTACAATTTGATTCAGTAATTACACTTGTGGGTATTTACCCCCCAAAAGTTGAAATCAGGATCTTGAAGACATATTTGCACTCCATTGCAGCATCATTCCAATAACCAAAATACTGAAACAACCCAAATACCATAGCATATTTTACACTTGGGATACACAGATGTAAATATGATCATGTTCAGTGTCTTCTCCCTTTTTTCTTACCAAGGTCAGAGTAGTCTAGACAGCACTACAAACCCTATGGTTTGTTCTACCACCTTTCTTTAATGTCTTTTAGGAATCCTTTCTAAACTTCTTATTTTAACCAACTATTTGTTATCAATCATTCTATCTAACAAGTCTTAGGCTTAGTCATTGACAGTTTGCCTCCCAAAACAACAACAACAAAAAACAAGAAGCTGAAGAAAAAGTAAGTTTTTGAAAGAGGCTATCATTTCAATGAGCTAGATCCTTGTTTTTGGTCTCTAACCCCTTCTGAGAGCTTTGGTTCAACTTGCTCTGCTTTCAGTGCTACAGGTATCTTAGGTCAGGCTATGTGGGTTTAGTAATAAATTGTCATAAAGTTACTTAGATGAAAGATGTGGGAAAACTACAGAAAAAAATTGTAAAGATACAGTAATCTCAACAATATATTTTTAGAAAGGCATAACAAAGTTTGAAAATAATAGGCCATACATTAACAATTGTTATCTTTGGGTGGAAGAATTATTGATCATGTAATTTTTCTTCTTTATACCATTTTGCATTAAAAAAACTTTCTTATAGTAAATCATTTGAAAAGGAACTATAAGGCTCTGATTTTGCTGTAAGAATAATTTCCATTTTGTTTGTTCTCTTCTAACCTATATCAAAATATTGATACAATTTTATATAATTATATTTGTAATCTGCATACATTTGTTTTCTATTTTTCTTGAAGAAATACATTTTAAATGAGAAAACATGAATTGTATGTTTAAAAAAAAGACATAAATCTAGCTTCTGGGACTTTAAAGTCTAGAAAGGAAACAGATATATAAAACAATAAACATAATGTATCTTAATAAATGTTTGACTGGAGGGACAGGGTTCCATAAAATTATAAAGGGGAACAGAATTGGACAAGACAGAAAAAGTCATCATAAAAGAAAGACATTCAGATTAGCTCAGGATTTCACATAATTACACTGATTAATTTTTAACAGCTTCATTATATTCTAGTCAATTGATATGTCAGATTTTACTTAACCTAATTGTCTAATTATAATAATGTCCTTCTCTTGGTTACTTTCCTGCATTCACTATCTTAGGTAGTGCTGCTATGCTCAACCTTAATTCAAACATCTTACCCCTAGAAAATTAGCTGTAAGAAATTGTTTGAATGGAGAAAAAAAAAGCAGTATCTACACTGGTTATAAACATTTTCGTGACTATTGATGTATCTTACCAAATTATTATCTCTAACATGATTATGTAAATTTATAATTTCTGCATGCACATTGATCCTTGCTTTTTGTTTTAGATTCCCCTCACCCCCCCACACTGCCCTACTTTAGTCTTTTTCTTACTTGCTTTTCCAATCCACCATATGTCCTAGACAATCTTGGTGGGTATCTTGACTCAGATCAAGATACTTGAACCAGCAGTTCTCATCTGGGCTTCTAAGTGAGCCACTCCTAGTAGGCCATGATCTCTTTAGAGACTAGTAGGCTTTAATTATATTTCAATTTAAAGGAACCTAGTTTATATGTATTAACTACCTTTGTGTGGTGAATGCTATCAGAAAGTTAAGAATCAAATGAATCGTTAAAACTATATATGACGTGTAAAGCAAGCAGTGATATTCATTGTATATATGCACTCTAGGAAGTGTGTATAAAAATGATGGATAACTCTAGATGAAAATGGACAATGCCTATATACACATTTTGTTGAAGAAGAAATATGAATGAATAATAAGCATATGAAAAAACATTGCATGAAATTAGAAAAAAACGTGGGTCAAAGCAGTGAGATACCATTTTCTCCTGTGCAAGAAAAAAAATGATTGCTTTGCAGTTTTGGCAACAGTGTGGAAAAAAGTCACTCCCACACTGTTGGTGGACATGTATAGCTTTTTAGAAGCCAATTTTGTAGTAATTAGGAACATTTAAAATACATATACTATATCAGACAAGTTAGGCTAAGTTATGCTCTTATATCCAGGAACCCCCAAAAGGCAGTCTTTAACAAACACAAAGGCCTATTTTTTTGTCTTACTACATTCCATATTTATAGTGGGTCAGTTTGTAAATGATGAAGCAGCCTCTATAGGGAACACTTTGTGTCATGGGAAAAGGTAAAAAACATCCTAGTTCCTAAAGTGCCCTTTCACAGGGGCTCACGTCCCTTCTGCTGCCATTTTATTGGCTAAAGTACATCACGTGACCTAGCCTAAGGAACAGAAAAACAATCTCTCCTGAATGACACACTCTGTAGGGAGGGGACAAATGTTCTGAATAACAATACATGACCATGTGTACCTTTACCTTTTTACTAAGCAGTTTCTTTCTGCAGTCATACATCTCACTAAACCATGTATACAAATGCTCAATAACATATGTCTTGGGATGTGCACTGGAATTTCTTGTATCATAATATAAAAGGTAGTCACACTGATGTTCTAGGCAACTTCTAAAAAGAATAGAGTAGCACCACATGTACTAATGTACTATCATGGAAGGATGCACAGGTTACACTTAAAAAAAAGTTATAGAATAGTATACCGGTTTCCTATTGCTACTGTAACAAATTACCAGAAATTTACTGGCTCAAAAGCAACAAACATTTATTTTCTTACTCTGGATATCATAAATATAAAATTAAGGTGTCAGTAGGGCTGTATTCCTTCTGGAGGCTTCGGGGATGAATAAGTCTTCTTGCTTGTTTTAGTTTCTGGAGGCTGCCTGCATTCCTTGGTTTGTGATCCACCATTGAATTACTCCAACCTTTTGATTCCATCATCATGTTTCCTACTACTATCTCTGATCTGCTTGCCTTCTTCTTCTAAGGACCCTGTGATTACATTGAGGCCACTCTAATCATCTAAAATAATCTCTCCATCTTAAGATCCTTAGTTAAATCACATCTACAAAGATCTTTTTACATGTAACATGCTCACAGGGCCCAGGGATTAGGATGTGAACATCTTTGGGAGTCATTATTCAGCCCATCACAAATAGTATGGAAGTCAATTTCTGTACACACATGCACGTACACACACAACACACGTACGGACACATGAAGAAATGTTTGGAGAGACATTATGCAAATAATCAACATAGTTATTCATAGGGAACAAGAGTAGAAGCAGGGCAGGAAGTGAGAGAATATGGCACTTTTAGTTATTGTGCTATTCTGTACTATTTTAATATTTTGAAGACAACTAATACAAATGTGTAATTAATGTGTAATTAAGTATGCTAAAATTTGTTTACTGCTTTTGATATAAATAGAGTAATTGAACATTGCTTTGAACTTCATATTTAACATATTTTTACTGAAAACTCTGCTTACATTTTAGTGTTCATAAAATAATCAGTTTTAATTACATGAACCAATTTGATAGTTTGGCTTCGTCTTCTGAACAACAATGTGTACATTTTAAAATTAGAGCAGGTGTAAGTAACTTAGGTATATTCCTTCTATTTATTTATTGATATATTTTTAATTTTGTGACACATGGTTCTCTTTCAAAGTCCAAAGGTATGTATGAATTTTCTCCCTAGAAAAATACACTTCAAACTTAATGTGATTATCACAGAATGTGAGATGTTCATGAAGCCCATTAATTTTATTTTAACAACCTCCTGCCATAAAGATGTTTGCAGAAAAAAAAGGGTCTTTCTTAAAAAGTTATTGTTGAAAAAAGATTTATCTATAGACTTATCTATGAGGCTGCCCTATTGGAGCCAAATTCTATTCTAGTGCTTTGCCATACTATATGGTAGCCTCTAACTACACGTCTCTTTGAATTTAAATGTTAATTAATTAATCACATATTCATGGATTGGAAGAATTAATATTGTTAAAATGCCTATACCATTCTAAGCACTCTACAGATTCAATGCAATCCTTATCAAAATTCCAGTGGCAGTTTTTATAGAAATAGAAAAACAGTCACAAAATTCACATAAAATCACAAAAGACTCTAACTAGTCAAAGTGTTCTTGAGAAAGAAGAAAAAAGTTGGAGGAATGTAACTCCTTATTTCAAATTATAATCCAAACTTATACTAATCAAAACAGTATTGAACTGGCATAAAAGTAGACATATAGTCAAATAGAACAGAATAGAGAGCTGAGATATAAACCCATGCATGTAAGATCTAACTTATCTTTGACCAGAGCACCAAGAATACACAATGGAGAAAAGATAATCCCTTCAACAAATGGTGTTGGGAAAACTGGATACCCACATGCAAAAACAAAAACAAAGATGAAATTATATCCTACTCTTTAATCACACAAGAAAAATCAATGCAAAATGGATTAAAGACATAAGCACAACATATGAAACTGTAAAAATCCTAGAAGAAAACATGATTTCTTGACATTGGTCTTTGCAATGATTTCTTGGCTATGACACCAAAAGCACATGCAATAAAGGCAAAAAATAGACAAGTGGGACTACATTCAACTTAAAGGATTCTGTATAGCAAAAGAAACAATCAAAGGAATAAACCTGAAGGATGGGAGAAAATATTTGCAAAACATACATCTGATAAGGGATTGCCATCTAAACATTAGGAACTCTTAAAACTCAGTAATAGAAAACCACATAACCCAAATAGAAAAATGGGCAAAGGACTTGAATAGACATTTCTCCAAAGAAGGCATATAAGTGGCCAACAGGCATATAAAAAAATTCAATATCATTAGTCATCAGAGAAATTTAAACCACAATGAGATATCACTTCACATCAGTTAGAATGTATGTCATTAAAAAAAGATAAGAAGTTGCTATTGTTTGAATATGTCCCCCAAAGCTCATGTGTTGGAAACTTAATCCCCAATGCAACAGTGTTGAGAGGTGGAATCTTTAAGAGGTGGGCCCTGCCCTCATAAATGGATTAATGCTGTTATCATAGATATAGGTTAGTTATCACGGGAGAGGCATCCTTATAAAGGATGAGTTTGGCTCCCTTCCCTTTTGCTCTCATGGCAGTGTTCTCTTGCTTTTTCACCTTCCTTCATGGAATGAGGCAGCAAGAAGGTCTTGATAGACATAGGTCCCTCGACCTTGGACTACCCAGACCCCAGAACTGTAAGCAATAAATCTCTGTTCCTTATAAACTACCCAGTCTCAGGTATGCTGTTGTAGCAGCACAAAATGAACTAAAACATATGTGTTGGCAAGAATGTGGAGAAAAAGAAATCCTTCCACTTTGTTTTTGGGAATGTAAAATCATGTAGCCAGTCTCAAAAACAGTATGGAGGTTTCTAAAAAATAAAAATAGAACTACTATACGATTGAGCAATTCCATTTCTGGGTATATATCCAAAGGAAATGAAATCAGGATCTTTAAGAGATAACTGCACTCCTATGTTCACAGTGGCATTATTCACAATAGCCAGGATATGGGAACAACTTAAATACCCATCAGTGAATAAATGGATAAAGAAAATGTGCTACATACATACAATGAAATATTATTCAGCCTTTCAAAAGGAAATTCTGGTATTTGTGACAACATGGGTGGACCTGGAGGACATTATGTTCATTAAGTGAAATAAACCAGACACAGGAACACAAATTTTGCATGTTTTCACTCGCATGTGGAATCTAACATAGTCAAACTGATAGAAGTAGAGAGTAAAGTGGTGGTTGCCAGGGGCTGGCTGGGAGGAGGGAAAAATGGAGAGGTGATGGGTAAAAGGTACAAAGTTTCAGTTATACAAGATAAATAATAACTGGATTTCTATTTCACAGCACACTGACTATAGCTAATACCCTATATTGTATACTGAAAATTGCTGAGAGAGTAGATTTTATGTTGTTTTCTTACCAAAAATAAAACCAATAATAATAATAATAAAGGGGATGGGAGGAAACATTGGGAGATAATATGTTTATGGCCTCGATAATGGTTTCAAGGGGTATATTTTTCCCCAAATTCAATGAGATGCATACATTACATACGTGCAGCTTTTGTAAGTCAATCATGCCTCCTTAAAGTGGTTTTTTAAAAAACTAAATTAAGGTCAGGAGATCGAGACCATCCTGGCCAACATAGTGAAACCCCGTCTCTACTAAAAATACAAAAATTAGCTGGGCATGGTGGCACATGCCTGTAATCTCAGCTACTCCAGAGGCTGAGGCAGGAGAATCGGTTGAACGAGGGAGTCGGAGGTTGCAGTGAGCTGAGATTGAGCCACTGCACTCCAGCCTGGTGATACAGTGAGATAAGTCTCAAAACAAAAGCGGAAACAACAACAAAAAACCCTAAATTAATTAAAAATAAGCAATTAAAAAATTCAGTTTCTTAGTCACATTAAACACTTTTCATATGCTCAACAGCCACGTGCAGCTAAGGGCTACCATATTGGAAAGCACAAACATAGACTATTCCCATCACTGTGGAAATTTCTATTTGACAGCCCTGTTTCAGAGCATGTGTTCCAGAAGTAATCCATTATTTTAAAAGAAGTAATATTTCTTCAGCTGTAGGCACTGTCATATAGGGTATCTTAGTTATTTCCATTAACAATAGTTTGAAGATAATATTATCTTCATCCGGAAAACACTGAGGCACAAGCAATTTGCATTCAAATGGCTAATCTTGGCATAACCTGTGTTTTAAACCTAGGCCTTGATCATGCTTAGTGAGTCCAGTTAAATACTGTAAGCTGCCTTTCCTGATTTCAATGCCTCAGGCTCACACACCTCTGGAGAATATAATTTTAAAGCTTTCCACTATCAAAAGTTCCATATTCATATGTTATACATAGAGTAACCTTTTTTTTGACTAATTTTGTCATCTGTTTATACCTACAGTAATGGAACATCTTGCCTATAGGTTTGCCTAAAGAGAGCAATGCTCAACAACTTTAAAGCTTATTTCTGTGAAGCCGAGTTAGCTTCAGGAAATGTATTTCTCTCTTCCTGCCTGATTGCTTTAGCCTCTGGACCAAGGCATTGTTCGGAATTGGAAGTGATACTACTCAGAATATTTTAGAAGAAAAAAAACTGATGCATAAGAAAGTCTCTACTATAGTCATCAAGTGACAGAAAGATAGCTTTAAAATATTGCCTATGCTTAGAATTCTCTTAAAAGCGAGACTTTCAACAGGACCAAGAATAATTTCAACCCATTTTTGTTTCTAAAACATCTCTTGATGAATTAGAGTTTGAACTGAAAATAATAATATATAAATAAGAGCCAGATGAGGGTTTAAATCTACTCATTGCTCAGCCTACACATAGCTTAGGTCTGAATTTGCTCAGAGAAAGGGCTGACTTTTTCTAATTTTTATAACAATGCCATTGACTTATCAAGCCACATTCTCAAGGGTCCTCTTTCACCCAGAAGTCCACACACAGGGGAAAGTTTTTCTAATTTGCTTGAAGGTATTGTGCATTTAAATGCAGTTAAACATTTTTGAATGATACTTTATCACAATTACTAACTTAGGGAACATAAAGTAGGAGAGATTGAAACACATCATGGGATTTAAGTGACCCATTATGCACTATTAAAGAAAGAACAATGCTTCCAATGCTGATGCCTAGAACTGATACAAAGGAAAACAAACACTAGAGAAACGAACTCTGGATAAAGATCAGTTTGTTTGTTTATTCAATAATTTATTTGGAAGGAAGGTTTGATTGGCTGAGCCCTTTAGAGGTTACCTGGGTCGAAGGTGGGATTGGGAGAAAGCAAGACCACGCAGGTTCTAGGCACCTAAATTTTATATCTCAGTTAATTCATTTATATATGGGGCTTCTAACACTTAAAGAAACTTCCATGGCTAAGTCACATTTATTATAGTTATATAATTACAATTATATAGTTATATAGTTATATTTGAAAACAACTATCTTAGAAACTTGATTATAGCTATATTCATTGAGTATTCGCTATATGACAGGTAGTCACAGGCATTACCAATTAGATCTTCACAACAGCCTCATGTAGTCTTAACATCCTCTCTCTGTACATGAAACAGGCTTAGAAAAGTTAAGTAACTTGCTTAATGTTACCTAGTCAATGACAAGGCTGACATTTTCATGACATCTGACTTTTTTCAAAAGAGTTACTACCAAGAAATTCCATATAGTAGTTTAGCTTGATTGTAATAAAAAATACTGAATTAAGAATCTATTTTTATAAAAATAATAGTATTCTTATTGAAAAACACAATTACAAGAAATAATTTGATGTCAATATAATCTCAATTTGACTATAAGAGCTTTTTTATAGCTTCATGTGGAGATTATTGATCCACATTTGTTGCCCAGACCGAGGTGCAGTGGCATGATCTCAGCTCACGGCAACCTCCACCTCCCGGGTTCAAGTTATTCTCCTGCCTCAGCCTCCCGAGTAGCTGGGGTTACAGGCACACACCATTGCACCCAGCTATTTTTTGTATTTTTAGTAGAGACAGGATTTCACCATGTTGGCCATGGTTGGCCAAGCTGGTCTTGGACTCCTGACCTCAGGTGATCTGCCCACCTTGGCCTTCCAAAGTGCTGGTGTTACAGGCGTGAGCCACTGTGCCCAGTCTCTAGCTGTGCCTTCGCCACATCACATGCAAACGTGACCCTCTGATCCCGTTGAAAAACTCAATAATCTTGAAACAAGCATTTCATTTCACAAGGGTGCATTTTTGCAGTATGTTTCCTACAATAATCTCTCTACTGCCTCTCATCTAGAGAACTTTCTTAACTTCACTGACATCTCTATCAAGCCTATTTAGTTTCCTCCTCTTATGTCTCTGTAGCATTTTGAATGAAAATTTTAATTATTTAGCTATATAGGTACAAATATAAAAATAAGACACAATTATCGCTTTCTGTGTCTGTTAGGGCATGAATTATATATGATTCACCATATATACCCCAACATGTATTGGACCTGCAGTAAAAGTTGCTTCAGTAAATGAATAAATGAATGAATAGCAACTACTGAAAATTTCCACAGCTTGAAAGGGTAAGGAATTAAATGTGGTTTAAAAACCGTCTCCCCACATCGCCCATTCTTCTGTTTCCAGATCCAAGAGGACACTTTACCAACAAGTAACACCCCAGGAGATGACTGAAGGCCAGTCCCACTTATCTCTCTTTAGTCCATTCTTCAGCAGGTTCATCCCTTCATTCTTCAGGCCTTAGCATCAGGAAGGTTTTGGTCTTTGGAGCTTGGAATGGCTTTCTATTGTTGATTGACATTTACCCCTGCACTGTTCCAATTGGAATATTAGCACAAAGGAAGCACTGGAAGTTGCCAGAGAGATTCTGTACTTCTTTCCTTTCCCAATATTATTCATTTCCTTACATTATTTATATTTGCATGATTTTTGTGTCTGTCTTACTATATAATAAGCTTCTTTGGTGATGGGTACAATATTATGATTTAGTCCTTATTTTCTAACATCACCATTCCTTACCAGCACCTTAATGCAGGACTCAGCAAGATGTTTTGTTCACAGTGCATCCCTGAGGCTATTAACTAAATGACTATCTTTGGTAAATATCCTTACAATATGCAATAGTGCTTACCAGTGCATTGCATTCCCCGTGGTACATCAGGCAGGACTGTGTAAGCAATAATTCTCAATCTCTATTGTTAGAAGGTTTTCTTCAAGTTAGTGAGGAGGTTTTTTTGTTTAGTTTAGTTTTGTTTCACCAGGCACTTGATTGCATAATGTGCTTTTCACACGGATGACCTCACTTGAGATAAGTGGTCATGGTCATTTGCTTGCACATGGGGTGTCATACTCAGTCATGTGATGCTGTTATTTCTAACCCCAGTTTTTTGGATGAGGAGATCTAGGGTATACTGAAAAGTTCAATCAGTTATCTATGAGACAATGTGGCCAGATAATTTCAACCAATAGTACTGAATAGTGACTACTTGATTCAATTCGGTCTCTCTTTTTTCTTTTACAGAATTTTGAATACAAGTAACAGACAGAGAAAAATGGTACAAAGGGTTAAAAGCAGTCTTAGTAACATTGGAGATGTGGAGAGAAAATTAGAAGAGAGAAGCAGAAATAAGGAGGCCCTGAGTCACAAGTAAGGAGAACCTCTGGAATGAAAGTAATGAAAACCAGCATTTGAATGGGCAAGATGAAAAACAGAGGGATTCTCAGTCCTTAGCGTGATGGTTGGGTTTTGGACAGTAATGACAGACATTCCAGTTCTCCATGAGGTTTGCCCAGATGTTCCCATTATACTCTATTTTCTCCTATTTTTGTAGTTCATGGATTTGTTTCTCACTAGGTTACCTAAATGCCTTAGGCTTTTTCAGGTTTCTTTGTGAAATGTGATTCTGTCAATGAGCTTTCAGTTCAACAACAACAACAAAATTAAAGTTAATAATTATTCTGTTAATTAAGAGCTCGCCTTCTAGTTGAAGACTTTGCATATGAGCTGAATTTGAGTTTAAACAGTTCAGTATGTTTTGTTAGTGTTTATGAATCAGGTAACTAACACTGAAGATGTGGGTAGAGATCCTCATTTCTATGTCTTGTCTCCTTATATCCTATGTGTTGCCATTTCTCTTAAGGTCAAATAATACAGTTTGTAGTTAGGGACCAAAGAATGTCCAAGGGGATTAAAGTCAATTAATATATTCATTGTAAAAAGTGTTAACAGAGTTGGGAAGTTTCAGTATTCAATCTCAAAAAGCAAAATCTATTATGTGACTTCGGTGTGATAAAGGAGGCATGAAATATTTTTTTCAGTTCCAACAAAGAAATAGATATATTCTTAGACATATGTATAACTTGCTCTTACTTACTCAGCTTATAGCAAAAGTTCTTGACAAAATGGTGATCAAGTGCCAAAACAGTCCATTTAAGGTGTTATGCAGAGTCCATGCCTTATGATTTTTTAAGTGAGAATTACAACCATATGTCTTTGATGGTTTGAATATGTAACTATTTAAGGCAGTGGACTGGATAAAATTACTTTTTTGGAGATCCTCTTCAAAGCTATAATTCTGTGATCATTTATACATTTTGTATAGCAGATATTATAATGTGAATACATGCAGCTTGAACAATGAAAATATTTTATCAATTGCCCTGTAGATTTGTGTTTTAATAGCTTTGTAACATGTAGGAAGCACTTTAGAGTATTAGCAAAAAAATGATACAGTATCATTAGAAAGTATAGTAATCATAGATGTGATTAAGAAAGCCCTGTGTCATGGTTGACAATAATCATCTGAATAAGTTACTATTGCTGTAAATTCTCCGTTCTGTGCAATTATCCTGCTGGTTTCACTGAATCTGCAGATAGTTCAAATAATCTGCAACAACAAGCAGGACAAAGGTCACCTGAATGAAGGGCACTACAAGTACAGAAACTTCATAGAGAAAGATATAGTTGCCCTGGCTAAGGCATCATAGTATTTCCCCCACACAAAATCTCTTCTCCCAAACCACTTGGATGTCAACAAACTTTGGAAAATCCATTAGCAATGTAAATGCTTTATTACCTCTGAGTTTTGTGAAACAAAACAAAACTCATAGAAGCCTTTTTATTTCCTTCCTCAGTTTTCCAAAGGGGCACATACGCAAATAGTCGAGATGGTCTGAAGACATTTGAACCAGTAACTTGAGGTCCCTTGGGAATGTGCACTCACTCTAATTTACTTTCCTTTCAAATGAGAAGCAGGGGAAGATCTATTCCCATGAATGAGTTGTTAGTGACCACACCTGTTGCCTCAGCCTCACGGTTCATCTGATAATTCACTCACTCATTCATTCATTCATTCATTCATTCATTCAATGGATCCAGGTTGAGTGTATATGTCAGCCATAGTACCAGATACTGGACAACTCAGAACCAGAGGGACCTTTGAAAAGAGCAAAGGTGATCTTCTATAGAGAATCATCAGGAATTATCCTTGTAAATAATTGTTCATAAATCATCACTAAGGGCAATTGTTTAAAAAGTCAAACTCAAAGTGGTGAAGAACTTAGAGCCTGAAAGGAATGTTTCAAAGGAATATTTGAAGAAGTTCATGAAGTACCTAGACCAACAGAATATGTTCATTGAGCGGAAGACAAATGATATTCTGAGAAAACTCTGTCTGGGACCCCATGGGTAGAAAACAGAAGGCCAACATAATTTCGACTGAAATAGAAATGTCCTCTTTTCTAGAGTCTCATAGCATACTAACGAAGTTTAAATTTTAAGGACATTTTCTGAGTGTTTTTTTTTTTCTTTTGTTCCTCTGTGATGTCATCCCATGGGAGAAATATACATTATTAACAGTACATTTTTGCCACCGGATTCATCTTATAGATCACTGGTGCCCACACCACTAAAAGCCACTTCTTCTATACTTGTACTCAGTTAATAGTTCCCTAGTTTGTAGTTATAGTTCTGTGCCACAGGCACTAACCACCGTCTCTGAATCAGGAGCTGACAGATATGAGAAAGGTATGAACAAAACCTAAAACCTCATCTAGAAGAAAAACAGCTTCCCAGAGTCATTATAACAAAGTAATAGTCCTCACCAACAATAAATATCATTTATTTAAAACAAAATTCTATACAAAGCTTTTTGTTGGACAGTTTTCATAGATTATTTCACTGAATGCTTTTCCTCAGCCCACAAGGTAAAAAGTATTTTGCTTCTTTTATAGATGAGGAAACAAGCTTAAATTGAGTAGTTTGTTTTAAACTAACCACACAGCTAGTAAGTGGGTTTAAATGGAGATTTGTCTTACCCCTCAAACTTGAATTCTTACTGACTTATATGATGGTAAACATCTGCTGGTGGCTGAGTACAGAGCCAGGAGCACTGGAGTTATAGGTCAGAGGACAGAAAATACAAAATGGCAGCCAGGAGAGGCTCTAGATTCCTCTGGAACTAACTCAAGTCCTGTCCACAGCACTTACCAGCTGTGTCACCCTAAATAAACCCTCTGAACAATGGTTTTTTCTTGTTTAAATGGGGGCCCACAGTTGTGTATATCTCCCAGGGTCCTTGTAAATTTTAAATGAGGTGATGCATATTGCCTAAGTTTCCTGTTGGTGCTTTAACAAATTACCACAAGCTTAGTGGTTTAAAACAACACAAATTGATTACCTCACAGTTCTATAGTTCAGAACTCCAAAATGGACCTTGCTGGCTAAAATCAAGATTTCAGCAGAACTGCATTTCTTCTGGAGGCTTCAGGGAAGAATCTGTTTCCTCACTTTTCCAGCTTTTGGACAATTTCCACATTCCCTCCATCTTCAAAGCCAGCAATGGCCTGTTGAGTCTCTCTCACATCTTATCGCTTTGACATTGACTCTTCTTTTGCCTTCTGCTTTTGCTTTTAAGCACCCTTGAGATTACATTGGGTCTACCCAGATATTCCATAAACATCTTCCTGTTTTAAAGTCAGCCAGTTCTCCTTTAATGCAACCTAATTCCCCTTTGCCATGCATAGGGCATGGCATATTCAGATTCTAGCCATTCAAATGTGGACATCCTTTGTCTTTTTGTCCAGGGGTGGAGGCATTATTCTGCTTAGCAAAAATATGAAGTATCTTGTGCTTTTAGAGAACTCAATATATAATTTCTGATGTGATTATTGGTATTATTTTAATATGCAGATAATATAACATGAATTCATTATCCTTATGAAATGCTCAAACAGCTCAAATACACACATATAGTTATGTATATAGTTTTTTCTGTAACTATATACATGTAAATATATATAGTTATAGCTCCTAATTCCTGAATTCTACTCCCCTCCAAAAGTAACACTATTAAGAGTTTAGCATGCATCCTAATAGAGTTTTCATTATTTATTCCAGACATATAAGTATTCATATATATACATATATATATAAAAAACCTGCAATGGCATTATATGAGGTTGGTGCAAAAGTAATTGCGTTTTTTTGCTGTTACTTTTAATGCAAAAACCACAATTACTTTTGCACCAACCTAATATCATTTGTATTATTTAGTAACTTGCACTTATCGAACAATATTCCCCCTCAGTAAGTGTATCTCTACCTTATTCTTTACTCTATGGTGTCTTATAGTGGAAATATGCTATAATTTATTAAACCACTACCTTCATGGTTTATTTTAAGGTTTATATCATTTTTGGAATTATAAACAATGCTACAATGAGCATCTTTGTGTACCTTTGCAAATGTAATCCCTAGAAGAGATTTCTTGAGTAGAATGGATGTACTAGCTTAAAAATATTATGTAAGTTCTTTAAAACACACACACACACACACATTTCCATTGAATATATAAGTGCAATCAAATTGTACACCCCTCATCCTCTCTCCTCTGCTCATATCCACACTCTTAACTACCACATTACGTCTCCATGCTAGTAACATGTTCCATCTCCAGTCTGTTGCTAAGCTTGGGTATATAGAGTATAATATAATTCACTGTTACTTTGACTCATGATTCCTTGCTCATCAGCTATATTAAACCACTTTCCATATGTTTATTGGCCACTTAGTTTTGCTTTTTGGTGAATTATTCATACTGCTTACCTATCATTCTTTGAATTGGTTGTCTTTTCATTATCAATGTGTAAGTGCTTTTTATTAAGGAGACTAAGCCTGTGTTATCTGTGCTACTTAAACATTTTCTCAGTCTATTAATCTTCTACTGACCTAGTTTTTGATGTATCTTGCATTTTTTTTCTACTTTATGTTGTCCACCCTATCTTTCCTTTCTTACCGAGCTACTAGGTTTCTGGTCTTCATTAAGGAGGTCTCTTATGCAATTATATTGGTAATATAGCTTTCCAATTGCTCATGATATTTTAGTTTGTTTATAATATCAGAATCCTTTCTGGAACTTATTTTTATATGTGATGTAAAATAAAAATCCAAATACATTTTCTATGCAATGTACAAGTACCATTTATTAAATAATACACCACTAAGACTCTAAATTTAAACTATCACCATTACTGTACATTACATTTTAAAATATACTAAGATCTACTTTTGAATTTTGTTCTGTTCTGCTAGTATACTTCTCTATACCACTATGAATACTATAATTCTATTTTAATGGATTTATAGTATGTTCTGATATCTGATAAGATGACTTGACTTTTTTTTTCCTTTTTTTGACAGTTTACTTAGTTAATCTTAGACATTCATCCTTTTAAAAATATTATTTTTATTCAATTCAAAACAAACATAATATAGTAACAAAATAAAAAAATAATATACCAACATCTCATTGGGAGCACAAATGAAATTGCATTCAATTAATATATTTGTTTTAAGAAAGATACTTATTTTCCCTCTTCCTCAGCCACACAACCCTCAAATTTGAGCTGGGCACGTGGCTACTTGGAATAAAGTCTGTATTAATAGCCTTCTTTGCAGACGAGTGAGCTCTGTGCTTAATTTCTGGTAATGTTCTCTTTACTCTCGGCAAGCGTCTGGCCTAGATAGGATAAAATGGGTAGTGAGAAAAAGTAGCTATGACTATTAACTTAGACCTTGTGACTGGCTCGGGAAATGAGGACCTTTACAGCTATGGCTTATGTTCATTAATTATTTATTTCTTCCCTTTACTCCTACTAATTTATTTAAAATACAATAGTAGGCTTAGTTCAAATCTGTATCACTCTGCTGTTGAGACCTTATATAAAAGACATTTGTCACCTGGAAAAGGGAGAAAGACACTAACGGGCACACATCATTATCTGTGTAAATAAGTTCTGTCTCTTCGTATTCCATTCCATGTTTTTCCTTCCCAACAATTGCCCTGAGAAGCTCTCTCACCTGCAAAGAAGGCTATTAATACAGACTTTGTTCCAAGTAGCTATGTGCCCAGCTCAAATGTGAGGGTTGTTTGGCAAAGAAAGGAGGAAAATAAATATTTTTCCTAAAATAAATATATTAATTGAATGCAATTTCATTCATGCTTCCAATGAGATATATCAATGAACATCTCTTCTATTTTTTGTTTGGCTCACTCTGTGTAGACACTATCAGGAGATTAGAGGAAGGGAGAAGACATCTGCATTTATGTTGCTCAGATTTTTTTGATGATAGTTTTATCTTAAGTTGGCTGCAACCCTCTGCTGAAGTACACAGCTCCTGCCAAATAATAGCTTTTTCTGCACAGCTACTCTCTGAGTTCTAGTATCTACTCCACATCCTTTGCCCCTTCAGTCCTAGAAGTAGTAATGGCTCCTGCCATTGCTGATCCTGGAATACTACCCTATCCTTTATTTATTTCCTTAATGTTCATGCATTTTTTAAAATTTTTTTAATTTTTAATTTTTTTTATTTTTGAGATGGAGTCTCTCTCTGTCCCCCAGGCTGGAGTGCAGTGGTGCGATCTCGGCTCACTACAATTTCCGCCTCCCGGGTTCACGCCATTCTCCTGCCTCAGCCTCCCGAGTAGCTGGGACTACAGGCACCCACCACCACGACTGGCTAATTTTTTGTGTTTTTTTTTTTAGTAGAGACGGGGTTTCACCATGTTACCCAGGATGGTCTTGATCTCCTGACCTCGTTATCTGCCTGCCCCAGCCTCCCAAAGTGCTGGGATTACAAGCGTGAGCCACTGTGCCCGGCCAATGTTCATGCATTTTAATGGGCCATTTTATTAAAGTCTTCTTAATTATCTAGTTTGAGTGTGCCATTTTTTATTGCCAGGTTCCTGACAATACACCCAATCTGCTATAGACAGCACCCACGCTGTGTTGATCTTGGTGCCTCCAAATACAGGTCCCTGTAACTATCTCAGCCTCTCTTAAAGATCTTCCTTTGGTTGGTGTATAGTTAGTTTTTTATGGCTGAGTAACAAATTAAAACAATCATTGGGAAATAGTTTTCTGGGTAGCCTTGGAGAGACCCAACTCTTCTCTGTCTTTCTCACTTGTAGTTCTCAATGTAACTGTGGAATGTACTGGGAATGGAACATCTTGATGTAAGGAGGAGCTAGCAGGATCAGCCTAGACTCTGTTCCAGTTCCCCCCTAGAAACAGGACATCCTTGAGTGGGTCAGCCCGGCCAGTCTTGTGACCCTGAGGTACAAAGCCCAAGGTGGGCTGGCTGCAAGAGAGGCACATAGAGATGAGAGTCCATCCACCCTAGGTAGCTTTCCTGAGTTTTAGGGGCATGGCATTCATTTAGAAGCCTGGATAAACATGAGTCCTAGGCTTCTATTGTCCCTTGCTGCCTGTGTATAATTAATAAACCTGCTTCATGTAACTTTGTGTGTGGGTGTTATGTCTCACCTGACTCAGACAAGTCGGTAACCTGCGCCCAGTGAATGCGCTTCACAGTGATAGCAGTTTAACGTCCACCTATTCATTATCTCACAGTTCTGTAGGTCAGAAGTCTGGGCTTGGCATAATTGGCACAATAGTCTTCCATTCAGCTTCTCAGAAGGCCAAAATCAAGGTATCCTCTGGCTGTCTTCCTGGGAGCTTGGGATCTTCTTCCAGGCTCATTCGTTGTTGGTGGAATTAAATGCCTTGTGGTTATAGGCTGTGGTTCCATTTCCTTGCTGGTTGTTGGCTGATCCTAACCACAAGGCCTTCTCACAACATAACAGCTACTTCTTCAAAGCCAGCAGGGGAATTTCTCTCTAGCCCACTATGAGAGAGTTGTAAAAAATATAATGTAGTCACAGGAGGGAGCCTCCCATCATTTTTACTGCACAAAGTGACTGATATAGTTTGGGTATTTGCTTCTGCCCAAACCTCATGTTGATATTTAATCCCCAGTGTTGGAAGTGGGACCTGGTGTGAGGTGTTTGGGTCATGGGGGAATATCCATGACCCCACTGTGATCCCTGGGATCACAATGAGTGAGTTCTCACAAGATCTGATTGTTTAAAGTGTGTGGAACCTTCCCCACTCTCTCCTGCTGCTGCTCTCACCATGTGACGTGCCTGCTCCTGATTCACCTTCCATCATGAGTAAAAGCCTCCTCAGGAGCTGAGCAGATGCCAGCACCATGCTTGTACATGCTACAGAATGATGAGCTAATAAAACCTCTTTTCTTTATAAATTACCCAGTCTCAGGTATTTCTTTATAGCAATGCAACAAGGACCTAATGCTGTACTTAATTAAGGGAGTGATATACCATTATATTCACACATTTCCCCCAAACTTGAGGGAAGGGACTATACAGAGTATGTGTGCTAGGGATGGGAATCCTGGGGGTCATTTGTGATTCTACTTACTATAGTGGTGAAGGGGGTTGGGGGTATCTAACTGCTTCAGATATACCTACAACTAACTTTTCTATTTTATTCATTAGTGTACCCTCAGTTATCTAAGAAACCTTTGTCTCAATTAGTCAGCCTTACTGTAGTTCTGTAGTATAAAATGATCTGTTGATAAGCTTTCGCAACTGTTGGCTTAGATGCAGCATTCTTGGGTCTGATAAGACTTAGTGATTTAGCTTGTCTTGAGATAAATTTTCCAGTCTCCTGCCTGAGAGTGTGGTAAGTTTACACCAGATTGTGTCTCTTCTGTGGTTGATTGAGGAAAGAAAGCTGGAGGCCTAATAATCATCAAATAGGCAGACTTTAACTTAATCATTCTACCTTCAGAACAGCACTTCACCTTAATGATTTTCTGCCTATAACTCCAAGTCTCTCTGGTTTATTATCTTTTCCAGAAAATTGACTCCCTTTCTCCTATGAGGATAGTGCAGGGTGTTGCGTTTCTGCTCCAAGTAGTGTTGGAAGCTGGGCTTTTAACTGTTTTCTTGTTGTCTATTAATCTAGACTCACCCTTTTGATGTCCCACCTTGTCTTTCCCCTTCAGTGTTCCCACTGCCCAGTTTCTCAGCTATTGGGGGATTCTGTGAACAAAACTTGCTTGTTTATCTTCAGATTTACATGTTTGGGAATGAGCTCTCCTGCCAACTCCTTTATTATCCTTGACTAACAGCTTTTAATTTCCATCTATTGTGCTTTGAAGTTACCTCATTTCCTTGAATATAATGTTTTTGCTTCTGTGTCTACATTGATTATTGCCTGAGGATGAGTCATTTTCAATTAGAACAGGGGACACATGTGGTTTTATTCTACCACGAATACCAAAGGCCAATATAATAATAATAATTACTATATTCTTATAATTTATTTATTTTTTGAGACGGAATCTCACTCTATCGCCAGGCTGGAGTGCGGTGGTGCAATCTCCGCTCACTGCAACCTCTGCCTCCTGGGTTCAAGTGATTCTCCTGCCTCAGCCTCCCGAATAGCTGGGACTACCTACAGGCACCCGCCACCACGCCTGGCTAATTTTTGTATTTTTAGTAGAGGTGGGGTTTCACCATGTTGGCCAGGATGGTCTCGATCTCCTGACCTCGTGATCCACCCGCCTCAGCCTCCAAAAGTGTTGGGATTACAGGCGTGAGCCACTGCACCCGGCCTTGTTTTATTTTTTATTTTATTTTTTGACTGGTAACAGTAGAATTTATTCAAATGTGCCTTACTATAGGCGCTGGAGCTTGTCCGTGGTCCTCTTGATACATAAGGCCCGGACATTCTGCCAGTTTTTCTTGAGCAATGACACCAGGAATTTGACAGCCAGGTGAATGTTATACACAAGCTCATAGTCTGTCATCTTCACGTGACCAACAGCCACAGCCAGAGGTAACACCTTCTTCATTTGGAACTTTATCATAAACTTCACCTCGTCCACTTTGGCCACCATGTTTTCCTTGGGTGTGAGCA
This sequence comes from Homo sapiens, assembly GCF_000001405.40. Classification (NCBI taxonomy): domain Eukaryota; kingdom Metazoa; phylum Chordata; class Mammalia; order Primates; family Hominidae; genus Homo; species Homo sapiens. The sequence goes on from NC_000008.11 coordinate 34,323,237, forward strand.
GGGAAGGGAACTTTCCTGCCTTATTTAGGCCTGGGCCGAGGACTGGGATCTGCTTGATCAGAGACTCTGAGGCCAAAATTGCATCATACTTCTTGGCCAGCTTCTTGATCAGTTTCTTATTCCTGTTGAGTTTTTTCAGTGCCTCGATATCCATGTGGGGAATATCCACGGCCTTGGCCTCGTCGCAGTGCTGCTGCCTCCCCAGGACACACACAGAGAACTTGGGGTGGGGAGTGGACTTAAGTCTGACTGTGCCCGAGAAGCGCTTGTCCTTCTGGGGGTCATAATTCTTTAAGCTGATCTGCAACTCCACCGTATCCAGGAACTTGTGGCGTTTGTGATGGTTCCTGTGCAGGACTTCCCGCACCGCCTCCTGCAGTGTGTAGCGAGAGACTTTGCTACTCATGGCTTCTTGAGCCGGCTAACCGGAAAAGAGCCTGTCATTATTTTATAATAAAGTTCATATAGCATGGCATCTACTCTGGAAGTTTGGGCTGTTCTTATGGAAAGAGGCTTAAACCCATTGTCTCTGAAGAAATAAGAGTGCTAACAGGATGGCTCTTCATACAAGTGAAACTGAGAATTTGCATGGATTACTTGTGTTGGTTTGTTAGTCTACCTGCCCTCTGCAATGCATAAAATCACTTTGCCAAGTCAGTAAAGGCCATTAGAGTTGCTGGAGTGATGATTAGATGGGTTTCTGCATGCGGAGAATTCATATCAGCAATAGATCTGCTGGCAGCATTTGTGTTGTTCAACTTTTAGAAAAAAATCAAGTAATAAACATGAATATCAGTGGTTTGAGTAAGAAATATACAGTATGGTATTTAGGGGTAAGAATTCCCATTAGAAAATCCAAAATGGGCTAGGCTGGGGGGAAGAATTCCCATTAGAAAGTCCAAAATGGGCTAGGCACTTTTTGATTTGCTAAAATAAATCAATTATTAGGGAGCTATTTATTTTATTAAAACATTTTCATTTATTGAAAAGAATGTCTAAGCTTCTTATTAACACATGTGGGAGACACACAATAGACATCAAGGAACTCACAGGTGGTGCTGTTAACCAAGATGCGCAGGCTAGCTTTTATGTAGAGGTGGATAAAATTGTAGTGAAGGCTTGAACTAAGCACACTGGATCTCAAACTTGGCTGCAAAACATGAAAACTTAAAAAAAAAGTGAGAATCTCATGGATGTGTATGCATGTGGGAGTGTGTGCAAATACACACACACTGATGCCTCAGATCACCTCAAGGAGATGAAACCAGAACTCTGGGGATAAAACTTATGTTCTAGAATTTTACAATTTGTCTAGCATTTTTAGATAGTTTCAATGTGTAGCTAGCATTGTGAATTGCTGAACTAAGATTACAGTCAACTTTGGAGGAAGATATAGATGGGAAGAGAGGTAGTTACTTTTTTTCTGTTTCTACTGATGTTTCATACATTTCGAGAAATCCATTGAGAAAACTCTTTAAACACTTTCTGCTCTCTCTACTTCCCCTAGGAATAGGAGTGGCAGAGAATTGGCTCTCAGTCACCAAATCTCAGTATCCTACATACAGAATAAAGTGCCTTGCTTTAGAGCAAAGACTTGGTCAATTAGCATTAGATAAATTTTCTGTGTTTCCAAAGGTAGAAATATTCTCACCATCCTCCCACTTTAATCAAGCCACCAATTGCCATTTTACCTATTTAATTACAGGCTTCCTTTTGAAAGGTTGGCTGCTGAGGAATTAGTTTCCAGGGTCACTGAACCCCTGTGAGCAGCCTCGCCTCTGAATGCCACAGAGGGTGCTCATTCTCAATTCAAAGGCTTGTCTACTTAGATCTCTGCTTCAAGCTCTGGATGTAGTCAGCCTACAAAACATTGCTCAGAAAGAAAGTTACAAGTGCTTGATCAGCCCCTGTGAGGATATTGAATTCAGTTCTTATTTTTAATCATGTTTAAAGGTGGGATCTCTTCATTTGTTATGATAAAACCCATCTTTCATTCTGAAAAGTAAATCAAAGCAAGAACAAAACAGTGTAATCAGTGCCTCTGATGGTTTATACAGGATATGGAGATATTTCAGAATTGTAAATATGAATGTGAATTTTTGTATCAGTGTAAACTGATACTGATACTAAGAAAAATTTCCCCCTTCCATTGTCAAAGAGAAGAGAGTTAAAGTTGTTTCTCTCTATCATTGTTCTTTTCTTCTGACATAAGCAGTTGTTTTAGCCTCTGAAGACTCTGGTAGATATGCATAAACTGATCTGGGTTTCATTCTATTTCACAAATCAATGAACAAAGCTGTCCTCCTGAAAAATTATTGAAAGCTCTTCATTACAAATGACAATGAAGGAAACTAGAAGAACCAGATGAAGTTCTAAATCCTAAGTGGGTTTTCTGAGCATCAGAATAGGCTGAGGTAAAATAAATAAATAAAAAATAAAGCCAACTCTGTTTGACTTGCAAATTTGTTATGAAATACATATGGAATGCTTCAATGCTGGCTTAACCAGCCCTTCTTCTCTGAAATAATAGTGCAAATTTATTTAGCTTCTTTCCTCCTTGAAGATTCTCAAACATTCTATAAGTTATGAGTAGAGATGTTCCCTAGAGAGATAGAAAAAGAACATAGCAGAAAGGGGCAGTAAACATTTCCAGCCCTTCAATGATGTTAGAAACTATTTGAATTCAGGATAGTGACAATATTCCTTCCTCCAACATATGTATTAGACAGTTTCCCAGGTTTTATAGTTGAATAGTACATGTTGGAATAGTGAGTCACCATACAAAAAAAGTCTTTATTTAGAATTTTTTGGTAAAAAGGAAGAAAAAACATTTTTTTATATTATTAAAAAAGGGAACAGTTTTCTAAAAAGTGACTACTCTTTGACACTATCTAATTTGAAAGAGTTTTGAAAACATTTTGGCACATTTCAATATTTCAGTTGGATTGGAGAAGACATTCTTCAATTAGTAAACATTTATTTCAGAGCCTTCCCCAAGAGAAAGAGTTGCTCCCTCACTTTGTTTTCTTTTTCTTTAGGAATCTAAGGGAGTGATACATCTTTCTGTCTTATAATCTCTGTAGATCCAAATTCACAAATATTTAGCCTATGGAATTCAGCACTATGTTTTGTGTTTTGCTCAAATTGGATTTCAGTGAGCTTTTCTAGAACAAGTTGGATCTTTATCTCCTTCCTTTCCTGGACTTGAAGGCTTTGTAATCACCCAATTGGGTTCTTCTTGCCTTCTGCCCAGAAAAAGCTAATACACTGAGAACAGCAGGAATGTTTGCAGTAAAGAAAGAGTTTAATGATCACAGGGCCAGCCAAGTGGAAGGACAGGAGATAATTCTCAAATCTGCCTCTCCAAGAATTTGGGGACTAGGGGTTTTCAAGGATAGCTTGGCAGTCAGAGGACTAGGGAATGAGGATTGCTGATGAGGTGGGTCTGGGATGAAATCATAGGGGGTTGACACTGTCTTATTGTGCTGAGTCAGTTACTGGTTGGGGGTTACAACTACAAGATGTTAGTTGGTCCGTATAGAATGCAAGGTCTGAAAAATGTCTCAAACACTAGTCTTAAAGTATTTACAGTAGTGATGTTATCCATAGGGGCAACTGAGGAAGTTAATCTTGTGACTATTGGCTGTGAGACTCCTGAGTAGTAAGTAGTTTTAAAAAAGCAAGTTATAAAACAATGACTTCTTAAGAGTTTATGTCAACAAAAGAAACAATGGCTGGTTAGAGTTTCCACTATGCCTACAGCTTAGCAGAATTCAGGCTCCTACCTATCCCAATTCTAACCTTGTGGCCCTTCTTTTGTTTTACAAAGGTGGTTTTAGCCTCTGAGCAAGGAGAAGGTTAGTGTTTGGATAGGACCGTTATCATCTTTGTTTTAGACTTAAACTACAAATGAAATTCCTCCAATAGTTAACTAAGAATGAGCAAAGACAGTTATCTTGCAAGGTTAGAAGTAAGACTGAGTCAGTTATGTTAGATTTTCCCCACTGTCATAAGTTTCATAAAAGTGGTTTCAGCATTGCTTTGGGTTCTTAGATCACTCTTAGCTCCTGCTGGCCTGGGACACTCTACATATACTTTTAAGGAACTCTATCAACTACTGCATTATGTAAAAGCATGGAGTTAATTTAGTTTTGGTATTCTTTATTTCAAGGATTTATAACATTTACATTTTGGAAACATAATAATGAGAAAGACACTCCCTGACCTCAGTGTGCTTACATACTACCAGGCAAAAAATTAATACATGATATTAATAAAATACTTTAAAGAAAATACATAAGATGGTCATAAGCAAAGCAGCGTAAGGATTTACAGGGAAACTGTTCTTCTGATCAAGGTAATTAGTAATTAACACTTCAGCTAGACATGTAGGCAACATATTTGAGTCGGATCATTCAATGGTAACTCTAAATTTAGATACAATAGGCAAGATGTTCCTGGAATTAGGTAGTTGTGAAGAGTTATTCCCATATCTAAATTTCCTGCCATAAATTCATGAGAGAGTACCACAAAGAGATTGCTACCCAGAGCATCCCATTTTTTTAAATGTTAGGCTTTAATAATCATAAATAAGCCAATGATTAAGTACAAAGAAATAAGCAACTGAGAAATTCTCTAAGATGGAGCCAGGCTAACGCAAAGCATCATTCTGATTGAGCAAGGTGATGCTGGATACTCCTCACTCTACTCACCCAACGTTCAATTCCAAGAAGACTCTGTGGGGCAGGCCAGGCAAAGTTGGTGCAGCCTCTGCCTATTCATTCCTGCGGATTCACGAACCCCAAACAATGCCTATGTCTTTTCTGAGTAGTCCAGGGTTTGCTGCAACCCTAGTATAAATATTCCAAGACAGCTCTGATTCTCTAATAAATGTAAGTAAATAGATTCTGGTCTATAAGATGTGATTTATGAAACATACAAATCTTTCCTTGCAAAACTATTATTTTCTCATCATTTTCCCCCATGCCTGAAATTACATACCTTAAGGAATAATCTTTTAATTTAGAGATAAATTCATTATAGGTTGACATACATATATTTCAAATAGGTTCCCTATTAAATCTAATCAGCAACTCACACCTAAGTGTAAATTAATTTAATTAGATATACTCAGAGAAAAATTTAATGCAAACTAAAAGAAAGGAAGAAATAACATTTGTTAGGACTAGGCAATTAAATACATTTTTTCAAGTAGCCCATAAACCTAGTGGATTCTGCATCATTATTAAAAAGGACTCTGGAGTTCAAACTGGCTCAAGTTAACCCTGCTAGTAGCAAAGGCAATATATATCCAGTTCTGTGTCAATATAAGTTAAATACACTTGAAGAAGAGAAAGTAGGAAGAAGAGGAAGAGGAAGAGGGAGAGAGGAGGAGTCAGAGGATTCAGAGATCAGTGTTGCCAAAATTTTTGTTTACATTCTATATGCATGCAACATACCCTGTTGTAAGAGTACCCTTGAATAAAATACATAAGTAAAATTTATTTCTGTGCAATAGTACCTAAGGGAAATGATTATAAGCTGTGTTTTGATTACATGTGATGCAATATGAACATCTGTATCACATGTAGATAGATAAATGTGAGTGATAAAGGCTAAACAAAAAATATAAAATAGCAAACAGCAACAGTATTTTTTTCCTTGCAATCTCACTCTCTTATGAGTAAATAAAACAAAAAGAATATTCATAGGTTTTCACTTCAGGGACTATAAAGATGCCAGTGACTGGTTGATTCTATCATTTAGAGTAGCCATAGGTAGGCAGTAGCTTGAGTTTACCATTCAGATAAATGGTAGATATTGTGCAACTGCTCAGAATAAAGCCGTTCAGAAACAGTTCTGAAAAGTAAATTTGGGGGAGCATATTTCCAAATGTATTAGTGTGCTGGCTTTTGGTCATAGAGTTGAAAGATCTCCAAAATAGAGCAGCATTTCATTGTCCTCTATACATATGTGCTATTTAAGACCTAGGTAATAATGCTAGATTAAAAGCATAAAAACCACCAGCCTGGCATTTTCCAGGGTGTTATATGTATACTTCTGGTGTTATAGGAAATGATTGTTTTTTGGTGGTGGTGGTGGGACGTGTTTGTGTGTGTGTGTGTATGCATGTGTATGTGTATATGTAAGTATATATATATATATGCACACACACATATCTGAAGAGTTCATTATTGTAGTAAATAATAAATAGACCTTGTTTAAAAGGAATATTCTATAAGGTAAGACTAAGTTCATTTAAGTATTGAACCTTTGTGAGTTGATTAAAAATATTACATTAGTAGTGTAGGTGGTATCCAGATGTGACAAAAATTGTGATATTAAAACATGAATTAAATTTGAAGAAAAATAGCATCATCCTAGACAACAAGCTATCAGAGGGCAGGGAACTTATCCTTTTTCTTGTGCCATATTTGCAGTCCTTTGTATAAAGCCTAGCACATAGTTGATGTTCAATAAATTTTGAATGAATTAATACTAAATGAATACTAATTAAAGTTAACTTTGCCTCTACCGTGAGTTTGTGGAAATTGTTTATTCCTTCTGAACTGTCAAGCATCAATCTATTGACAGAAAATGATAATTACAGTCCTCCAATTTCACAAGGCTATTGTAAAATGCAAATACAATAACATAAATAAAAGTACCTTGCAAACTGCTGAACATCATACAAAATAAAGATAATTTTATATTGTTTGTAATTCACATGTCATAGGTTGACAACCTAGGTAAATGACTTACTATACCATTTCTCTTAGTGTTAGAGACCACAAATGTGTCATGAAAAAATTCAATACTCCTAGGGGCATGTTAGACATTTTTATCTAAGTGCTGCAAGAAATGTATCCTGGTCCCTGGTGTTTTATCCAACCACACAAAGTTTTTTGTTTTAGAAGAAAATGAACTTAAATAACTTAGCTACGTGCATCATACACACATGAAATGCACAATTAGCTATGAGCATTATAGGAGAGACTTGCAGTGTTCGTAATAATTGTCATTATGGAAAATTGCTCATGTACAGCTGGATTGTCTCCATCACGTAGCCTTGGTGTGGTAAATTAAAGGCAACCACAAATTCTTTGTTACCCTTCTCATTGAGAAGTGGACTCTAATTCCTCTTCTCTTCAACCAGGACTGGCCTTAGCGAATTCTTTGACCAATAGAATATGGAGCTAGCTTCTGGTGCCAAGCCTTAAGAGACCATAAGCTTCCACTTCCTATGTCTAAAAATGCTTTCTCTGGAAGTCCTGAGCCATCCACCATGTGACACTATGATGCCCCTAAGACTGCTGTCTGTAGAGGCCATTTATAAACTCTGATAGACAGTTCTGGCTGAGCCCAGCCTGACGGCTATCCTTAACAAAAACCCAGCCATGAGTGTCAAGTTGTCTTGGACCTTCCAGATCAGGCTCATATTCTGCCAGCTGAATAGTCAGGTACCTCTGTCAACATTGTGTAGAACTGAAAAGTTCTCCAACCCTTCTTTTATTTGATTTCATTTTATTTATTTTATTTTTTGAGATGGAGTCTCACTCTGTTGCCCAGACTGGAGTGCAGTGGCGCCATCTTGGCTCACTGCAACCTCTGCCTCCTGGTTCAAGTGATTCTCCTGCCTCAGGAGAATGATTCCCAAGTAGCTGGAACTACAGGCAGGTGCCACCACACCTGGCTAATTTTTGTATTTTTAGTGGAGATGGGGATTCTCCATGTTGGCCAGACTGGTCTCAAACTCCTGACCTCAAGTGATCCACCCACCTAGGCCTCCCAAAGTGCTGGGATTACAAACATAAGCCACTGTGCCCGGCATCCCTTCTTGATTCCTGACCCACAAAATTGTGAAATAAAATTAAGAGGTTGTTTTATTTTATCAGGGGTAATTTGTTATACAATAATAGAAGGCAAGAACACTCAGCTCACAGTCCACAAGATTTTCTTCCTCCATAATAATTCCATATAATGTGTGTGCTATGTATATTTGCAAAAGATCTCTTATTTGCTACTTTTGTATTTCTTATATCCTCAATTCATACAAATAAATCAATGGATTGTGGAAATACAGAGATAGTAAAGTAGTAATTTTAATGAAAACATTACAGCTTCAAAAATAACATTAGAATGAATATAGAAGGAAATTCCAATGCAAACACAAGGTTTTATGTACTAAGGGTTTTATATACACAGGGTTTTTATGTACATAATTTTTTATGTACTGAGATAAATGAGTCTCTGAGTATGATATGTAATTGGAAAAAAGAGGTAAAATTGAAAGTATAAAAACAAATATTTTAAAATTCAGACTGGTGTGTTCACTGTCAAGAAATTTTGTCAAATGGTAGCATAGAATTTACTGAGTCTTTTGTGTTATTTTCAAACAAATCAAAGTAACAACTCTAGTAATCCAAATTAGTTTTTCTTTAACAAGTGAAAAACAATGCTTTCAAGTAAAAATTATGGCCCTGAAGCATCACTCAAAATTGCTGTCTTTGTAACTACAATGAGATTTAACTCACAATGAAACAGAGAAGATTGTAATATCACCTGAAACTTATTAACAAACATCATGCTTTGCACCTTATCCTTAAAATTCCATTTCAAGTGACAATAATGGATACTACATAATAGCAATGTCATATAGTATAGAAATCCAATTACTGGTTTGTGAATTTCTGCCAACAGAGCAGACAGTTGACCTTATATTTAGATAAATTAAAGTACAAAAGATGAATCAGTGTGATGCCTTAAGTGATACTCCTATAAAAGAGATGCTCAACAACTATGTCCTTTTTATCATTGATAGTACAAACTATAGGGGAAAATAGTTTTGGTTTACTTTATCATTATTTTGTAAACCATGATGTAGGCTCCTACCATTTCATTAGGCTGAGCAGAGACTGTGTAGGTATGTACCTGCTCTGCGTGGTATGTGCTGCTAGGGAATAAACGCTGCTTTACTCACAAAGAAATGTGGTGGTTGATGATACTGCTTCCTGATGTCTATTCATCATGGGCACGAACACTAAGCATTGGGATTAAGATTGAGTTTTAGCTATTAAGAATTAGTACTTTTATCATGTTGTTTGAAGAAACATTCCACAGTTTTGCTATACTGACCATTTAGGGAATGTTGGTTACATGTAAACTGAAAAATTAAGAGATTTCAAAGATTTATTATTAATTTTGATAGCTCAGTAGTTTTATTTCAGGTGGCTTAGTCAAGTGATAATATATTCAGATTTTAAATTATGAATCAGTCACTTTACAGGCAAAAGAAAGCAAGTTTTTAACTTTAAGGCAATATAAGGATTTAATAAGACTGAATTAATTATTGTGGAAATAATTGAGTTAAGTTTTTTGACGTTTTTATTTAGTTACTAAGAAAAAAAATATGCCCATAATACAGTAGAAATCTCTCTCTACAGTTTCTTCCCAAATTGAAACATTCAAAATTCTCCTTTTGAAAGCAAATACTTATGGCATTGTCATCTGACAGCATCCTGAGATTAGACTTCATGAAAAAAATTACTTCAAATTTCAAGGCCTATTTCAAATCAAATATTCAAAATTAACTGTCAGTGACTCACAAAGCTTATATCCATTCCAATATCTTTAATTATGTTGTGGGTTTCTTTTTTTACTTAGTATACATGGAATAAACACAGAAAACTAGATTTTGTATCTGACCAAAATATCACCTATTCATTATTGAGTCAAATATTTTATAGTTTTTTTGGTGAAATTTGGTGAACAATGTCACCCTTTTAGTGAAGCAAAATAAAATAAAAATTTTACTAATTTAATAAAAATTTTACTAATTTAAAACTCCCTGTTATTTTTATGGAAAGTAAGTCACATTCCTTCAGGAAAAGGCAAAATATAGAAAGAAAGAGGAAGTCAGTAGTCAGGGTGAAGAGCTGCAGGGGGATCTGATTGCAGAGGAGCAGTGTGAAGCCTTGTTGAAGTGTTTGCAATGCTGGGCATTCTATCGGTGGTAGTGGTTACAAGTGTGTAAGAACTCATGGAACTCTATGACAAAAAGGGTCAACTTTTCCATTTGTAATTTTTTTTTTTTTTTCTGAGATGGAATCTCACTCTGTCACCTAGGCTGGAGTGCAGTGGTGCCATCTCGGCTCACTGCAACCTCCGCCTTCTGGGTTCAAGAGATTCTCATGCCTCAGCCTCCAGAGTAGCCAGGATTACAGGTGTCCATCACCACACCCAGCTAATTTTTGTATTTTTAGTAGAGATGGGTTTCACCATGTTGGCCAGGCTGGTCTTGAACTCCTGACCTCAAGTGATTTGCCCACCTTGGCCTCCCAAAGTGCTGGGATTACAGACATGAGCCACTGTGCTCAGCTAGTTTTAATTTAAAAAAAATAAAATGAATCTATTTTAAAGTGATACAGAATGAGGTGTTCATATTTGCATTAAACTGTCATTGATTTGTCTGAAATATTGAAATATAATTTTTCTTTTTTTTTTTTTTTTTTTTTTACAATAGATTTGAGTCTTTATCTCCTTATTCAGGCTATCATGAAATCCTAGAGTTTAGGTGGAAGGGAATGAGAAAAGATACCAGAAGCAATAAAAACAGAAGCAGAGCCATGAAACTCATGGAATACTTGGAAGGCATGCCTGCTCTGCTGAACTAAATATAGTGAAGTTCTTCTCAGCACTGACGCCCAGGTGCAAATACGCACATCTGGATTTGATAGCAACATGCTCACAGAAAGACACCAAGAAGCAGTGGATAAAATATTCTGTTATTACACACAGAATATTTTACAAAATATTCTGTCTTTATGTGAAAGTTGCCTAGTATTTCTTCCTGGAATGTCATTCTCTTTAGTATTCACTATTTAAATGTATTATTTCCTTAGATAAAAACCAGGAGACTAATGATTTAAGTCCCTTTTGTCTTTCCTTCCTTCCTCGATATTCTTCTCATAAAAGAATATTTACTTAAAAAGTGCTTCAGGTACTAAAGCAATTGGTCAGACCTTCGAATTACTTCCCTCACAATTGAATTTAAAGCATCTGTTGCAAGCAACATAACAATCGTCATAGTAAGAAAGGAGCTGTGGAGAGACAGGAGATTAAGAATCATAAGGTCTCCATGCTAAACCCAGTTCTGTCATTTATGGGATGACCTTGGGTGACAATGATTATGATGATGATCATGACGCTGATTTCTTACTCCCAAATCCAAGAACACTGAGATTGGGTTTGAAGATACTGGACCTGAAAATAATAGACTTTGCTCAGTTTAATGCACAGGATTATTAAACATGAAGAAAGTCACGGGTTCTGGAAATGGATACTGGTGATGACTACATAACACTGCGAAAATATTTAGTGCCACTGAATCGGACACTTAGCCATGGTTAAAATGGTAAGTTTTATGTATATTTTGCCACAATAGAAAAAAAGATATGAAAACAGCATAGGTAAAGAATATACCTAATGCAAGCCTGTTTCTCAGGTGACCCCTTTTATTCTTTATGAACACTTATTCCAGGTGGAACCATGAAAATAGTCAGCAACTTCAGGAATCTGCCACACCTGAGAAGCCCTCCAAGAAAGCATCTTGAGTTTTATCCTCCCCTGTGCAGAAGGGCTGTCTCAATGCCCAAACACAATTTCTAGCAAGTAAGACCATAAGTTTGCCACGAGGTCAGCCACATCCCCCAGGCCTAATGTCCTGGTAACAGGGCTGGAAAATTCCTGCTGCATCAAAGTTGTTCAATCTCCTTTTCATTATCTTTGCTGCTCATTGAGAAACCTTATGTTGCTTGTGTCTATGTGGCAAAACCTGGGAATTTTCACTGATGTTCATGTCAGCTTGTCCACAGTCAGGCATGATACACACACGCAAATAAAACCATTATAGTGGTATGAGCTCCTTCTCCTGTCTAAAATTTTCTTCTATGTGAAGGGAGCTTCATTATTATAACATTCTTGGTTCTTCATGTACTTCTTTTCAAGAGCAGTAGCTTAATCAGATTATTGTGTTTGGAAAAATAGATGAGGCATAAGTAGCCCAGCTTCTTGCTAATTCCTTATTCTTGGAAGCAGCTTTGCTCACATAGATTATGCATTATCTTTTGCTCCTTCATATTGTCTGTTTCATAGGGACCTGCCTCTAGGTGGAGAGATGTCTGAGAGCCTGAGACTGGATAATTCTGTCTAGTTTCAGGGAGCACTGTTGGCTGTGTGTGTGTGTGTGTGTGCAACATTCTTCAATATCAGCTTATTCAGTAAATAAAGGCAGGATTTTATCCTTCCCCCAACCCCCCTATTCTCACTCCATTTGTTTTATTTCCAAGTTAGTTCAGAACTTAGGCAGACAAGACAGATGCTATTTACTGAGCCTATCAAAACACCCCAACATCTGCTGCATGAATTAATGAGTTTGAAAAAGAGACAATGAATAAAATGTGGAAGGCCAGAACATAGGAGAAGTAATTGAGGCTTCTTATGTGCCTTGAGAGGGGAAGTTGAACTTTGGAGTTGCTTCATTAAAACAAATTGAGGATTCAGCTGATGACGTGCAGGCCTTTCTCTTCTTGAACAAAGGCCTCAGCAACGGCGCAGACCTCAGAAGGCTGATCGTCTTAGCAAAGATTTGGGCCATACAAAACAGTGAGCAAGCTTCAGCAAGGGGATTGGACTTTAGCAAAGATTTCAGAGTCCAGACCTCAGCCAAAATGCTGGCTTCAGGTCTTAAGCGCATTATCCAAACACCAGCTGGCCCTGACTGTATCAGCAAAGGCTGGGCCATTTGCATGTGCAGGCCACCTGGGGGCTACAGCAAGGTTTTGTGGGAAGTGGGGTCTCTGCTCATCTCTGCTGCTCACAGAGGCCTTATAAACAGGCTCAGGTTTTCGATTAGACAGAAAAGAGAGTTTTACTGGCCTTTTTAACTTTGTAGGAAAAGCAATATTTGATGCTTTTAAACTGCAAAGCAGCTGACGTCTACAGAATACTGGTGAGGTTCTTGCTTTAAATTGTTAATGCCAACTGGAGTGTTTATAAGTGAAATAACAAGGTGTTTTGTTTTGTTTTCAAATAAACAGGAACAGTATCAGCATAAGGGCAGGAATTGATCCAACTAGATTTTTTTAAAAGTTTATACTTGTGGATGCAAGGAAATTGATGAATGGAAGTTAACTATATGCTTCTCTCTGCTTTTGTGAATTTTAATGCCAGGCCTAGGCACATGGTCCTAGACACTATGTCCCAAGTTGCTTTCTGCATTTTAGAGAAATGCATATTGTGGGCAGTTCACGTGGATTAAAATGGCTTGTTCACATGGTCTCAAGAATGATCTCTATAAGTTAAGTACATGGAATTTAAACTAACAGCATGGCTATTCACTAGCAATATTTAAATCTGTTACCATACAGTGTCCACCCTCAGTATGTCACTGGATTGACAAAGCTCTGGTGCTCAAAGGAGGAATTAAAATTTGAATATGCTGAATGAAAAAAAGAAGACACCTAAAATAACTATCTCATCTCTGATGGGCTTCATTGGTCAATAAAATTTGACGTAATTTTGGGAATATCAAATAACATAGAGATCAAGTTTTCAGCTGTGGGTCTGTTGTTAATTTAATAATTGATTTTTGTGAACTACCTAGCTTAAGGGAAAAATCTACCCTGCATATAAACAGCCCCAGGAGAACACTTAAAAGATTTGTACTTGCTTTATGTTGCAGGGTAGTTTTATGAAACTGGGAGCACTTGTCTCCTGATAAAACACTGATCTTCTCAAAAAAGACAAAGAAGGACAGGTTCTGTACAGCAAAAGAAACTATCAACAGAGTAAACAGACAACCTACAAAACAAGAGAAAAAATACTTGCAAACCATGCATCTGACAAAGGTCTAATATCCAGTCTTTAAGGAACTTAAACAAATTAACAAACAAAAAATAAACACCTCCATTTAAAAGTGGGCAAAAAACATGAACAGACACTTGTCAAAATAAGACATTCACGTGACCAAGAAGCAAATAAAAATAAGCTCAACATTACTAAGCATTAGAAAAATACAAATTGAAGCCACAGGGAGACACCATCTCACACGAGTCAGAATGGCTCTTAATAACATGTAAAAAAATAACAGATGCTGGTGAGGTTGAGGAAAAAAAGGAATACTTACTTATACACTGCTGGTGGGAGTGTAAATTAGTCCAGCCATTGTGGAAAGCAGTGTGATAAGTTTCTCAACTTAAAAGAGAACTACCATTTGACCCAGCAATCCCAATATTGGGTATATACCGTTAAGTTGTTTTACCATAAAGACACATGCACGCATATGTTCATCACTATTCACAATAGCAAAGACATAGAATCAACCTAAATGCCCATCAACAGTAAATTGGATACAGAAAATGTGGTACATATATACCATAGAATACTATGCAGCCACAAAGAAAGCCAAGATTGTGTCCTCTGCAGCAGCATGGATGAAGCTGGAGGCCATTAACCTAAGTGAACAAATGTAGGAACAGAAAAATAAATGCTGCATATTCTCACTTTTAAGTGGGAGCTAAATACTCGGTACACACGGACACAAAGACGGGATCAGCAGACATCAGGTGGAGGATGGGAGGAGGGTCAGGATCGAAAAACTACTTATCAGGTACTAAGCTTATTACCTCAGTGACAAAATAATCTGCACACTAAACCTTCATGACTTGCAACTTACTTACATAAGAAACCTGCACATCTGCCCCAAATTTAAAATAAACGTTAGCAAAACAGCAACAAAACACTGATCTTGGAGAGAGGAACGGCCACGACTTGAGTGTGCCATGAGGTTAATGGTTAAGATTAATGTGTTAAAAGAACAAATAGTTGAATTGTTTGGGGAAAAATCTTACTTTTTTTTTTTTCTCCGAGGTAGAGTCTCACTCTGTCACCCAGGCTGGAGTGCAGTGGAGCCATCTAGGCTCACTGCAACCTCTGCCTCCTGGGTTCAAGCAATTCTCCTGCCTCAGCCTCCCAAGTAGCTGGGATGACAGATGCCCGCTACCACGCACAGCTTATTTTTGTATTTTTAGTAGAGACGGGGTTTCACCATGTTGGTCAGGCTGGTCTCGATCTCCTGCCCTCAGGCTATCCACCTGCCTTGGCCTCCTAAAGTGCAGGGATTACAGGTGTGAGCCACTGCACCCAGCCAAGAATCTTCTTTCCCAGGACTGGAGTGTCCTTTCATATGGAAGGCTCTCCATTAGCATAGCTCTCCACACCGCTCTTCTCTCACTCATTCTTTTCAACAGAGGAGAGACATAATCTCTTTAATTAGTTGGAAAAAGAACCTGGACACAAAAGGCTATGAAAACATTAGGCTGTTTTCTTCTGTCAGACACATGATAGGGTTACATTTCTCCACCCAAATGAAGTCAGACCAGTTATTCCTTCCTCTTACCATAAGGATCAGCAGCCTGAACTATTAAGTAGGATGATGGTGTTGATGTTGAATAGAGCTCCCAACCAACCCTTGATGGACACGTAATATGAGCTTCTGTGAGTGGAAAGACTTGCTACCCATATTGTTATGTATTGTTATGTAGCCTATTTTCACCAATGCAGAAATTAGCTCCTAGAAATGGAGTGACCTCATAACAAAAAATCTAAACTATGTGGTACTGCCTTAAAGGCTGTGGAACAGAGAATGAGGGAAATAATATTAAAGCCTGGAAATATTGTGAACCATGTTATTCATTAGCATGATATTTGATAGAAAGCATCACCTGTAATAACTCAACAGGCAGATAATATATCCAATGAACTTATTGGTCTTAGAGAAGAGTTTAGAAAAAAAGAACATAGTACCATAAATTGGTGCTGTTTGCTCCATTTGAAAAGGTTCTATAATCACAGAAGAGACTTATGAATTTGCAAAAAGGGAATGAAAATTGAGAAGAAACTTGAAGGGGTATAAGGCTTATTAGAAAGGCAAAATAGAAAATTGAGACATTCCTTGAGTGACAAAAACTTAAAAGGTGATAGAACTCAGCCTTGCTGGTGAGGATAAAATCAGAGATTTTACTTATCACAACCATTGTTAAAACCTGAAAAAAATAGGTTAATATCATGCCTAGCAATTCCCCTGAGTTTTACAATATGGCTTAGGGAATTAAAGCTAAAAGTGTATTTCTCACCACAAAGCTTCATAAGCTCAAAGTATTTAGTAAGTCCAGAGAACGAGGCATGCGTCTAAAAGAAAGGTAGTCTTGGTTATTGGTATCTGGATCCTACTAGAATCAAATAGAAGTCATTCTTCTGAGTTGTACTGTCTGGGAAGATATGAAACAATATTAAAACATTATTTGAGACCTAAAAAAAATTACTCTTTAAGTGCTAACCTTCATGAGCAGGAAGCAAGCTAAAAAGCTGCTCTGCCTCCCAAGAGGGTATGTCCTCTAATACCCTCATTAGATGTAGTCAAGAAAGATAATAAACAAAGAGGACTTTTCCGAAAGTCAGAGCCAGTTGCCATAGAAATTATTTGACTATAGAGCCTTTTCCAGGAATGAGAAGTGAGGACTAATCAAGGAATGTTACCTTTGCCAGAGATAGGGCCCATCCAACATCTGCTCAGTGGGATTTAGAATTGCTATGAACTAGTAACTATATGATGTCTCCTCTCCTCCAACCCACCCCTTTTTAAATGAGAATGCTGAAGTTGTCCTGTTTGCCTTCCATCATGGTATACTCTATATGTGACTGTAGTGGTTGTGGCAGGGTGAGGATGTAAAAAAGAAAAAATCACTTGTTTTTGTACTTCGTAGGTGTTTAGAACAAGAAGAATTATATGTGTTCCTGGTATCAACATTTTCCCCATTACCTCTTGATGCATTGACTACAAGTTCACCCAAAGATCCTAGGCCTTGACTTGATGCTTTGACTTGATGGAACTTGGGGTGGCCTTCCTTGAGAAAGTGGTGAGTCTAATTTGTATAAGAGGGAGAGTGAAGCAAATATTTAGTGGCAAGAAGGGAGAACTATTGGGGATGTTCACAAATACGTTGCTTGTCCTTCATTCTCTGCATAGAATAGAATCAAACCTGCCTTCCTACTTCAGTTTGAACATAAGGCTTGTTTTTGTCAATACAATGTGAGAAGAACTGGTGTGTGTCACTTCTGGCTGTGTGTGTTTCACCAAGCTTCCTTCACCATTACCATAGCTACCTGCAGGGTTCCAGATATTGGGTACTCCATCAGCTTAAGTCCTAAAGTGAGATACGTATGGACCTCATCCCTAAAACTGATGAACTGTAGAAATGTTGTGTGAACCAGAAATAAACCAATCCTGCCTGATACTATAGCCCTGGTATTACTCTTCCCTACTTCTTGGGAGCAAGCATGCCCATAGAGAATGCGTTTACTACTGCTCTTAGATGCCGTAAGTCTTACAGTTCCAATGATGCCTGGAAGATGTAATCAGAAAGCCCCACTGTCTAAAGATGTAAGTTAAATTTTCCAGCCTGGCCTCTATAAATAACAAAATCTTATCAGTGAATTATTTGTCTTATTCTCTATTGTATGGAAATTCAAGTATAGAATAGAAGGACTGATCTGGAACACAACAAATGCAAAGTTTTTCAGCAACATTCGTTGGGCACTATTCTTACAAATCTTCACAACTACTTTAATATAGAGGTTTTGGTTATTATTCTCATATCCTTACAGATATTGTTAATAGTGATTAACAGTTTTTAAAGAAGAAGAAACTAAGACACAGAGAAGTTAATTGTTCAACAAATTAGCTTCATTTCTTTTAGCTTATGATTTCTTAAAAAAAGATACCTAGAAAAGTGAATGAAACATTATTCTTTTTTATTTGTACAACCATGTGGGACTTTTTGGTTATGTCTGCATTATGTTTTGAGGAAAAAAGGAATTAGGTTTTTTAAGAATAAGAAATCAATGACCCCTAAATAAATAATTTACTAAAATAGAATTCCATGCAAGTAAAGGAATCTGAAAATTTATTTTAAAATGTACTCATTAATAGCCTGTCAGACCAGAAAATTGTAAAACTCTGTAGCACTTCGTATTGCCTATTATGGGTAATAGTATATGGTGAAAATTTGATTTCACATTGATTGAGCCATTAGACAAATTAACTTTAAACATTCTTTGAAAAGCCATATCAGTATGAATAGATGGATAAGTAGATATGCTGGTTGCATAATAAAATATTTTTAGAAGCATGTAGGAGTCTTTGGGGGTAGGAGGTGCCGAACTTTTAAACACCATGGATACCTACGTGGACTTCTCTAGGGTTCAACACAATTCTGGTACACTTATGCCTGCCCTTGCACTATCAAAAGTGTCATAGTATAAACAATTGATTAGTGGTCACCCTAACTACATGCTATCTTTTGATCTGCATGCATAAATCTCATATCTGCTGTGAACTGAAAATTTGTGCCCTACTCTCATTTATGTGTTGAAATCCTAACTCCCAATGTGATGATATTTGGACATGGGGCCTTTGGAAAATAATTATGGTTAAATTAGATCATGAGGGTGGAGCCACCATGATGGGATTAGTGCCATTCTATGAAGATGAAGGGAGCAGAGTGCTCTCTCGCCACCATGTGAGGATATAAGAACACCACTTTCTTCAAACCAGAAAGAATTATTTCACCAGACACTGGATCTGCTGGCATCTTAGCGTTAGACTTCCCAGCCTTCCAGAATTGTGAGAAATAAATTTCTGTTACTTAAGCCACCCAGTCTGTGGTATTCTTTTATAGAAGCCTGAACTGACAAAGACAGGCGATATCTTCCTTGTATTAAAAATAATGTACTGTGGAAATATAAGAGAATAATTATCAGCTAAGAGAGAGGGAATTTCAGCTCATGGTCAATTTTCTATCAAGATAAAATAATGTAAATGCACCGTATAGGTGTTGTTCTTTGATATGATTTGGCTTTGTGTCCCCCACTCAAATTTCATGTTGAATTGTTGTGGGAGGCACCTTGTGGGAGGTAATTGGATCATGGGGGTAAATTTCCCCTTTGCCATTCTCGTGATAGTGAGTGGGTTTTCATGATATCTGGTTATTTAAAAGTGTGTACCACTTCCCCCTTCACTCTCTCTCCTGCCGGCATATAAAGATATGCTTGCTTCCTCTTTGCCCTTTGGCCATGATTATAAGTTTCCTGAGGACTTCCAGCCATGCTTCCTGTACAGCCTGTGGAACTGTGAGCCAATTAAACCTATTTTCTTCGTAAATTATCCAGTCTCAGGTAGTTCTTTATAGCAGTAGAGAAAGGACTAATACATTCTTGTAGCAAAAAGATAGAAAGTGTTATAACAGGCCCTTATGCAGTTTTCAAGGCTGATATAATAATGCATTTGGTCAACTAGGTGAATGTTGGTAGAAGGTTAGTGTGTTGTTGGGTGGGGTAAGAAGTTTTTGATCCCTGTTCACCTCTATATTTTTGGTGAGAAAAAGCAGGCTCATTTACCGTATCTCCAAAAGCAATCTTCAATCTAGTTTGGATACATAGTTGATTATGAATTTTATGAGCACTTAAGCTCTCAAAGCAATCATGTATTATCACATTTTCACATAGAAAAGCTATAACCACAAGTCTCTTCTCCAAATATGTCCACTTTTAACCTTATTTCTAACCTTATTTCCCAGTATAAATTTACCTTGAATTGGTCTGAAGCCAGAATTTCTGAAAGAGTCAGGCAACTAATAAAGTTAGAGCTTCAGCTGCATTTACTTCTCAGGATATAAACCCATTAAGTTACGCTAGATGGAGGGAAAGTCTTCAATGTAAAAGGGTTATGCAAAGAAATGCCATTAAGTAGGTGGATGGAAGCTCACTATATTGTAAGAGTTTCCAATGTTGGAAATTTCCATTGTTTATACAATTTTGTCGTACTTTCTACATAATATATCTTTGAATACCTTTTTCATTGTTAATCAGAATAATGTGCTTTGATCTTGACCCCTTTTCAATAAACATCTGCTTAATGAATCAGACATGAAGATAGACCCAATAGTTTTTGTAATAGACCATTTTATATTTGATATATTCTCATTAGCAATCATGTAAATTTTTTAAAGGTCAAGAGGTCTAATACATATTTCAAGTGGTATATATCAGTAACTTAATCTTTCAAGAATGAAGACATAAATATTAAGAGATCCCAGTATTTAAAAGTATATTCAAGTAAAAAAGCCCTGATAATTCAGAAGCAACTCAGCTGGGTATATTTACTATTCTATTTCAGGTTGTTTCCAACATTTAAGGCCCTTTAGATTCGTGATCTGAGGTTAGGTAAAGAAATATGTCTCTAGTTAAGCCATTGCTGATCTTTCATATTTATATGGTGACTTAGTATTTCCAAATAACTTTTATATACATTAAACCATTTAATCCCTGATATAGTCATCTGAGTCACGGATTGTTATCTTCACTTTTCATATGAGAATGTTCCAGCTGAAAATCATAGTCCAAAATTACATAGCTATAAAATGACAGATCTGAGACTCAAAATAAAATGTTTTGCTTCCAAGTTTTCTGTTCTTTTCAGAAACGCTTTGTTCTGGGTTAGTTGCAATGTGTGTTTATAAAATTCAATATTTATGTCTGTTTAATTTTAAGTAGAGGCCTGGTGCTTCTTCTGTACTCATGGAAGAGGCTGGAATATTAACTACATATTAACTATGTGTTAACTTAAAAGTAATCCATGCAGATAGTTTGTACAGGTTGCTAGAATACATTGAAATTCATGTACTTTCTTGAAGAAATTCCATGATAAGATTAGAAAAAATAGTTATTGACCTCATGTAGCCATTCAGGTGAATGCCTCTGTTTTTCATGACTACAGGTCATAAAATGGGCACAATTATATTCAAGACCCTTGGTACAAACAACCAATGAAGTCCTCAACTCTTCATGCTCCCTTGTTCATGGCTGGCACTCTAAACTCTTTGCCTTGACCTACCAAAAATAAGACTTTTGGAAGTGTTTGTCTTCGTGGTTTAACTCTTCCCTGTACTGTCCTCATTACAATTGGTGTTGTTCCATAGTATTGCACTCTGGCTTTCTCAGCTCTCACTCATTTTAAATTATTCCACGACATTGCTTCTATATGCTCTGGGTAAACATTCTTGCTGTCTGTTCCAGCATTTCTCTGAGTTTTACTCCAGGTCTAAGAAATGAGCCAGAAAAATGGGAAATACCAAACTTGGGAGTTTCTACTTACACAAATAAAGAAATATTGGTCACAGAGACCTATTTTAATGATCACTTAAAAGTGAGAGCAGATTCCAGAAGTCTAATTCACCTTATATTAAATACAATATTCATCTCTGGCCATGTGAAAGAGCAGTAGCTATCCAGCTGCTGCATTCCATTTTAGAAATGGCTGTCATTGCAGCAGTGGATGGATTAACACTTTCTTTATATATATCACTTTAAGATTGAGATTAAAATGCTCTGTGTAAATGTAAGTTCTTAACAACCACTTGCAGGATTAAGGACTTCCCCAATATAGGTTGATGTTAGATACATTAATAGTTCTGAAGAAGCCATTACAGTTTATGGTGTCAGTGATTTGATGAGAGAATATAATAGGAACATCATCTCTGTGACCCAGCAAAATATCATTTATACCTTTGATGAGATGAAATAAAAGACATTAAACTTATGGGATATCTTAAGGTACAAAGAATGGTAAGAGAATGTTAGGTGACCTTGTGAATCAATTCTGTCACTGTTTCCAGGAACAGTAATGAAAAATAAAATGGCAAAATATTAACTCATTTATGAAGTCTTTTGAAAATATCTGGCAAGCTTCATGGACAATTAAAATAAAATAATTACAAATCATAATATGGTAGAAACCAACCACAGCATTAATAACCACACAGAATTTCTTCAAGTCCCTGAGCTAACTATCCAGCCATAATTTCTTTTTATTTTGAATCACACTGTAAGAAACAGTCCCTTAACTCCACCAATTCCCAGTCTCATAAGATTAGATATACAGCCATTTTGTATAATGTAAGTTTGAAGTTTATTTTGTATATGAGTTTTACATATGTTTATTAAACACCCTCTATATACTTATATTTGCATACATCTATCAATCTAGCAAACAGAATCCATGAAGGCAGGGTGACGGAGAACTAGCCATTGAACCCCCAACTCAATTGTGTTTATTTGCTCTCCTTAGCTTCCTCCAGCTTTCTTTTTGCTTCGATGAATGTTTTGTTGATTTCACTTTTGAGAATCATTTTTAAATTTCTCTTGATCTGTTTGAGCTGTATCTCAGTAAATACCAGAGGAGTGTCAGAATCAATATACTTAAGCAGTAGCACTCATAGGAAAATTAGATCTCCATGTAAGTGAGAAACAATTTGGAAGAAAATACAGGAAAATAAATTAAGAGGGAAAAATGCCTCCCAAGGCTACATTGTTTCCTACTGTATTTATATTTATTTCAACAGGAGCAAATA
Organism: Homo sapiens; assembly: GCF_000001405.40. Lineage (NCBI taxonomy): Eukaryota > Metazoa > Chordata > Mammalia > Primates > Hominidae > Homo > Homo sapiens. Next base: position 34,345,763 of record NC_000008.11, read on the forward strand.
TGCTTTCTAAATGGCGCAGGATCAGATGCACCCTTAATAGGAATCAGGGATGAGAATATAATATCTGTCCCATGCCAATATGTTGCCTAGTCGTGTTCTTGTCATAATTCTAATAGTTTTGCCCCTTGATCTTTTAAAAATTTATGTTTTTGTAAAAGGGTTATGAAGCCTTTCTTGTATATAAACTCATTAGAATCTCAAAATATATCTGTAAGGTGGGAAGAAATTATTATCTATATCTTTCAAATAAGAATATTAGAACAAAAAGACCCTATGTAACTATATTACCATTTTCCATGGTCACATAGTTCATAAGTGGCAGAGGAGAGATTTGAAACTTAGTTGTTGCTTTTTTATTTTTTTCTGGCAGTTTTATTTTATGGGAAAGTAAAATGTAAGGAGGCTGTTTCCTTGAAAAAAGTGTGGAGGCCATTATGTGATCATATCCCACAATTTCCATACCCTTACAAATTTATTTCAATCCAAATAGTCTCCAAAGCTGCTAGGAGAGGCAAATATTGGCTATATTTTCAGTGTCGTTTTTTATTAGAGATGCTGATAGAGTTGGAGTGGGAATCTTGATTGCAGGGAAAATAATTGCCACCTTGATATATTAGTGCTATAGAATAATCCTTCATCAGAACACACATGCTGCCCCAGTTTGCCTGTTTGTGTATACACACACATGCATGTGGGTGGTAGGATACAGTTCCACTAGGCTCCTCTCCACACCCCTCCCAGCAACTCTAGGTGAACACTCAATGCCGCTTCCATGTACACAAGCAGAGCTGACTAATGATTTATCATATCACCTTTGAATAGGCAGAGAAGAGACTGGGAAATGGATGAAGGTGAAACCCTGTCAGAACAAAAGAGATGATCCTGCCAATTGACATAAACCAAAACAAATGCTAAATCCATGTGGCTCTTCAGCCCCATCTTACACATGCCTCCTGAATCAAGAGAAAGGTGGGGTAGTTATGTAATTACTTTTCTCTTATCCATACCCTCTGTAGTTATTATCAGGACAAGAGGAAAGTCTATATTCCTGTCTTTCTGTCTCTTTTTCTCTCTGTCTCTTTCTCTCTTTAGGCTTTTTAATTTTAATTTAAAAAATTTAAAATTAATTTAAATTTAAACTAAATTTAAACTAAATTTAAACTTAATTTAAATTTAAACTAAATTTAAAATTAATTTATATTTAAACTAAATTTAAAATTAATTTATATTTAAACTAAATTTAAAATTAATTTAAATTTAAACTAAATTTAAAATTAAATTTAGATTTACAGGAAAGTTGCAGAGATAGTTCAGAGAGTTTCTATTCCTGTCGCCTAGTTTCTCCTATTGGTAACATCTTACCTTAATATGGTACATTTGTCAAAAAACAAAATTAGCCAGGCGTGGTGGCGGGCATCTGTAGTCCCAGCTACTCGGGAGGCCGAGGCAGGAGAATGCGTGAACTCGGAAGGTGGAGCTTACAGTAAGCCGAGATCACGCCACTGCTCTTTAGCCTGGGTGACAGAGCAAGAATCCATCTCAAAAAAAAAAAAAAAATACACACATACATATATATAACCCAACATTGGTACACCACCATTAATTAAACTTCAAACTTGATTCTCGTTTTACTAGTTTTTCTCTAATACCATGTTTCTGTTCTAGAATACCATCCAGGATGCCACATTACATTTAGACATCGTATCTTCTTAGTTTTGTTTGGCCTCTGACTTTTCTTGTTTTTGATGACCTTGAAAGTCTTGAGGAGTAATGATAGGGTATTTTGTAGAATGTCCATTAATTGGGGTTTATTGGATGTTTTTCTCATGGTTAGACAAAGGTTATGACTTCTTGGAAGGAAACCACAGAGGTGAAGTGCCATTCTGACTACAGTATATTAAGGCTGATGTTATCAATGTGACTTCTCACTGATAGTTAACCTTCATCGTCAGAGGAAGGTAGTGATTTTCAAGGTTTCTCCACTGTAAAGGTACTTTTCCTCTTTTTTCATATTCTACTATTTGGAAGCAAGTCACTAAGCACAGCCCACACTCAAGCTTGCTAGACAAGTGAGTTAAGCTCTACTTCCTGGTAGTTAGAGTATTCACATAAATTATTCGAAATTTCTTCAGTTTGAAAAATTTTTTTTAACTTTCTTATGGAGCAAGTATACTGGTGAAAAATCCTCTCAGTTTTCATTGATCTGAAAATGTCTTTCCTTTGATTTCATATTTGAAGGATATCTTTGTTGAATATAGAAATGTAAGCTTACAGTTATTTTTTCTATTTGCTTACAATATTTTAAGTATATTATTCAATTTTTTTCTGGCTTGCATTGTTTCTGATAAGAAGTTAGCAATTATTCTTGTCATTATTCCTCTATAGGTAATGACCCTTTCAAGGTTTTCTCTTAATATTTGTATTTTATAAATGTAACTATGATCTGCATACATAGTTTTCTTTTTATTTCCTTAGATCAATTTCCCTTGAGCTTCTTGGATTTAATGCATTAATAATTACAGTCAGATTTGGAAAATTCTGGTCACTATTTTTTCTGACGCCTATTTTTACTTTATTTTCTCCTCTCTCTCCTTCTGGGATTTGAATTACAAATATTATACACCACTTTGGTATCCAGCAATTTGTTTTGTGTTGCTGTCAGCGGTGGTGGTGGTGGTGGTGGTGTGTGTGCATGTGTGTGCTTCATTTTCATATATTTTAATTTAGATAGTTTTGTTTGACCCATCTTTAAGATTATTGATATTTTCAAATGCAGTGTTAAAGTTTTTATTTCTCTGTTGTGATTACTTATTTATTCACTCGTTATGTCCATATTTCTATTTAAGGCATTGGATATGTTTCTAAGAGCTCTTTGAAAGTCTTGATCTGCTAATTTCAACATCTGCATCATCTCTATGTCTGTTTGTATGAGTTGTTTTTTAAACTTCCTCTTGAATACAGGTCACATTTTATCGCTTCTTGTATCTAGTAGTACTTTTTAAAATTTTGGGATGCACATGGAGAATATTACATTCTCAAGAGTGAATTGTCAACTTTGCCTTGTTCCTGTTAAGGCTTGCTTTTAGGTTTTGTTGGAGTAGGCCTAGAGTAGCTTTATTCTTCATGTGAGGCCTTTCTAGGAACTCGTCGAAAGTCCCAATATATTTAGAGAGGTCTTTACACTTTGGCTGGTCAGAACTTCAATACCCTCCAGTATTGTATGATGCCCAGAATGTTCATTTGGCTCACAAATACTCAACAGCTTTTCTCTGAAGGCTTTGTCTTGTATTTTCCCGCATATATGCAGCTTTGCATTTGGCAAAAAGTGGAGGGGAGTCTTCTCTAGATTTCTGGACCTCTTCATGTATGTAACTAGCTCCTCTCTGGTGTCTTGCCCCACAAATAACAATCTCCTTAGAAATCCTGGACTTTGTATTCCAACTAATGAGATTGCTACTTTCTACTTGCAGTCCACTTCCTTGTGCTGCAGTTTCAATATTGACTTCAGCCAGAAAGTCCTGGTGAATTTGGTGTTTGCATTGTATACTTCTTTTATCTCAAATATAACATGCCTGTACTGTTTGTTTTCCACTGTGTGAAAAGAATTGCCTCATATATTTTTGTCTAGTTTTATGGTTTCTCACGGTAAAATGATAATATCTGCTATTTTGTAATGATTAAAAGTGGAAGTCACTTACTTTGACTTTTTTAAGTCATTTTATAAATTTGGTCAATGTCTTTTAATATTTCAGACTTATTGTTTTCCCACATATTACTTTAGATCCATGTTTTTCTTCCCAATGCCCAGCACTCATTCATAAAAATATAAGGCTACCCAGATTCTATATTACAAAAAATAGGGAAACTTGGACACTAGCAGAATATTTTAAATGAGTGACTATAGAAATTAGTTCAGGTTTTCTTCTGTCATTTAAATCTTATCAAGGATCAGAGATAATCCAACATATAAATATAAGGCCATTCAAAGATACTGAGCTTTTTTTTGGGAAAAATGTCAGATCTCTGATTAAGAAACAGGAAGAAGCAAAAGACACAATTAGAACCTGTTGCTTTTTGGCACAACTTATTCCACTTTTATTTGAATTTTGGATGTTCATGTGATTGATATCAGGCTTCCCAAATATTAGCTTTAAAAGATGCATGATTATGATGCTTTAACTTTAAACTTGGTCTTCAATTAACCCTTAAGGATGAATAGACTGGTGCTTTTTGTTTTGTTTTATTTTTCTGTTCTCTTACAACCATGACATGGATGTTCCCAGTACCTTTGTTGCAGACATAGATATTTGGTACAAGCACATGAGACCAAAATAAGAGAGCCAGCATAAAACTCTTTCATTCTAAGTAGTTGTAAGAACATTCACAAGTCATGATCTCCCTAAAAATCAGGTATTTTGTCCAGTAATGTATATATATTAAGAAATAACTGTTTTGTTTGCTTAAAATATAATGTATATGAAAGCACTTTTAAATTGTAAAGTGCTATTTAGTATACAAAATTATACTTATATTGGGTATGGTGGCTCATGCCTGTAATCCTGTCACTTTGGGAGGCTGAGATGGGCAGATCACCTGAGGTCAGGAGTTCGAGAGCAGCCTGGTCAATGTGGTGAAACGACGTCTCTACTAAAAATAGAAAAATTAGCCAGACCTGGTGGTGCAGGCCTGTAATCCCAGCTACTGGGGAGGCCGAGACAGGAGAATCGCTGGAACCTGGGAGGTGGAGGTTGCAACCTGGGAGGCGGAGTGAGCCAAGATCACGCCAATGCACTCCAACCCGGGTGACAGAGTGAGACTCTATCAAAAAAAAAAAAAAAAAAAAAAAGGGTGCTTTTGTGGTACAATTTAAGGAACATCAAAAAGCTTCAATACATATCCCTCGTTAGATATTAATAATGCCTAGAAGTCACATTATTTGAGTCTTTCCTCTTGTTTAAGATATTGACTTCCAAAATCATCAATAGGAATGCCTGAGAAATTAGTTTATGTGACTAGCATTGTTCACTAAACCGTGGACTAAAGAGAAGGGAAAATAGAGAAGTACTTTTTTTTTTTTTTTGTAGGAGAAGGGATTGGGAAGTTCTGACACATGGTGTACCATTGGCATGAAAAAACCTAGAATGGAGAAATGGTCTGAGAAGTAAGGAAAAGCATAAAGCAGAATGGGACACTGAAAAGAAGAAAGAAAGGATCGTGAAGCAAAAGCTACTCATCGTACTTTGGTTTAAAACCTACCTCTCCTAGAAGTTTTTGACAGGACTCAGCTCACCAATCTTTGCAATAGCCCAGAAGTGGAAGTTAATAGTTGTACAAAAGAAAATATATTAGAGCATATTAAAGATAATTTAATTTTAGTTCAAAGATTAATATATCAAATTTTCTTTTAGTTTTGTGGCCAAGGATATAAAATAACTCTCCAACACAGAGCTTGTTAGTATTCGATTCAGGTCGAGACCTCAAGGCCCCTTGTTTTTGGCCCTTTGTTCTCTCTTCATCTTTTCCTTACTTTTTATTTTTCTAGTTATGGGCATTATAAGTGAAGACTGGCCTGCCTATAGTCACAGCACAAACCAAAGAAGCAACATTAAATCTCTGCCAAGAATTAGAAATTCATGCGCATACTCTCAGGTGTTTCCAAACCTCTCTAAGCATGCTGTAGTGAAGTTTGCATAGAAATATAGATATATGTTTTGATCTTCAGACTGATCTATTCTTATAGTATATATCATTGTTTTCCATAATCCTGTGCTGGCATCGCTATTACCCAAGAGGTTGAAAAGACTGATGCATAACCTGGAGCTCTTTCCATTTGAAGGATAAATACATGTTGCAAAACTGTCTTCTGGATTTAGTAATTGCCAAAGCCTGTGATTCTTGAGGTTGCGTGGGCACAGTACATATAATTTAGCATATTCTACATCTAAACTATGTAAAATAAGTAATCATATATGTTAATGAGAAGAATGGGAAATGGAACTAGGTATTAACAACTCAGATTCATTTTCTTCATGTCTAAGAGTAAGACTATCTGGGAATTACTCCCAATTTATTTATAGTTTAGTTCGTAAACATAGAATAATGAGATTCTAAAAGTGCAACTCCTTATTTTTACAAATGAGAAAAATATAGATGCCAAAATGTTAAATGACTCACTCAAGACCACACCAGAGAGTTTGTGGCAAGGCCACAATGGAATTTGAGCTCAAGGACTCAGTCCTGCGGTCAGGGATCCTACAAGGATTTGTACTGTTCCAATGAAAAAAAACCTAAGTCAGGGAACTATCTTAAAGAAATTAGTTTTTAATATTTCAAAAACAATGAAACAGAATATTCCATGATATGGTGTTCAAAATATGTGTCTTTTATTGGATACCACGTTCATGATCAGACATACAACCTCAGACACATACAACATTCACTCAGGAACCTATTCTGAAAAAAAACTGGGTGAAATTTTCTGAATTGCTGCTATCTTGGTCACTGGTATCATCAAATATTTTTAGTCTCTTTTCTGAGCACAACTCAGATATTCAACAGCTGGGAATAAATAAGCAATATAAATCTCTATTTCTTGAAAACAGAAATGAAGTCTATACCTTTCAGATAATAACCTCTAGCATCAGTAATAAATATCCAGCTTTCTGTATAAATTACATTGGTCTTGGAATATTGTACTCAGCCCTGAATTATTTGTTTCATATATCGTATCTCTAGGTATACAAATTAAAAAGAAATGCTTTGGAATGTGATTAAATTATGATCGGAGGGAGGTGTAGGCTGGCAATAAAACTCTGTGACGTGTTCCTCTCTGTACTTTCCTTAGTTCTTTGTTATAATTGCATTTAATTAAATAAGTGCTCTAGAATTTCAGAATAAGGCAGGCATTCTCAGTGTCAAGAGGAACCAGCTAGCCACCCTGATGTGAAACAGCCTAACCTTGCCCTGTACAGTGAAGTTTCAACAATTGACGGTCACAAACTCTCATTAGTTGTTTCAGCCTTTGTAGAGAGCCAGGGTCAGAGACAAGCACGGCAAAGTTCAAACAGTTCTATGTTTCAGGTTGAGCTGTGGTGCTTTGTTTATGTTCCACTAATGACTAGACCTGCTGCATGGCCAATCTGGTCTCTTCACCTGTCTTCAAGGCAGATATTGATCACCACAATCATTCTCAGTTCAGAACCGATCTTAATCAGGGTCCATTCTTTCATGACTATCTGTCAGCAGTGAGAAACATGTCATTACAGAGCCAAAGGTGATGAGTGGGTCTCCTTCTCAGAAAGGTTTTGAAAAATAGGCATGAATTGTTATTGCAAAGTCAATAAACTTAGACACTGACTAAACTAAACCCTAATGTTCTGGGAGAAACTGGTGAAGATTATTTGGGCAGCATATTCATTATCAGTTCAACACTTTATTTTAATCAAATGCATTCTGCAAACATCTAATATCTGATATGTAAAACAATAACTTTATATCTGCCCATATATATACCCATGCATAAAAGGAAAACATCCACAGCAAAAGATGCATCACATCGTATTTGTGCAAATCACTGTCTCCTGGAGTCACATATTTCATTATATAAAAATCTCATTATGAATTTTGCTTGAATCACTATATTCTTGACTTTTTCTTAGCAAAACAATATTAAGTTCAACATAATATTTTAGACAATATATGAAAGATGTTTGAGATAAAATTAAATCTATGCCATATATGTATATACATACAAGTTGAATTGAATATAAGTTGGTCTTGTGTTTTTTTACTGTAGATTTTTGATAGGGTTCATAATAATTCAGAAGGCTCTAAGTTAGAATGTCAGAGCTTTTAGTTTTGTAGATAGATGGCAAGACAGATAGATAATCTTGCATGGTACAAGGTACATGTTCACATTTCAAGTTTGTAACATGGAAGTAACAGCCCGTGGCTTCATTCTGATATTTGGCACTGTCTGAGCATGTCGAGCACACTGAAGGAACAATCTTGGCTGATGGTCATTTGCATGAGGCTCTAGAAGTCTCTTAGACAAACACATATGGGGAAAGGAGGAATAAAACAAAACCAAATGCTATTCATTGCTTGCCTTGTCCCCTGGATACCTCGTGGTGTTAGGAATACAAGGAATACAAGCAGTTTGAGAAAATAATTAAATGATCTTTTTCTGATCTTTGTATTACATTGGGGCACAAATGTGTACTATTCTGAGGACCCCTCTAACATAGTATTACAAAAAGGGACACTCTTCTTTCCCAGTATAATCATAGATCACCTTTTGGCTTTGATACCTTATGTTGCAGCTTCATAAGACAAGCTAGGATGTCCGGTGGCAGATGGCAGAACAATAATCGTTTCACTATCCACAATTCCTTTCATAAGAGAGGAATTTAGGGGAATAAAAAAAAACAGATGAGGAACAGAGGAGACTCATGTGTTCCAGTTTGACCACCAATTTCCCAAATCATTAACCATTTGAACTTGGATTATACATTGCCAATAAGAAAGCTAAGAATCCTTAGTACTTCTTTTATTCTAAGGTGTTCACATTCCCCACCAGTGTTGACTGAGATTTAGGATGGTTATGTATGCAACAGACTGACTAGCAATAGCACTATAATAGCTTATAATGGTCTTTCAGTATGACTTTTTGATTCCAACGGATATGGCAAAAAGCCTATATTATTCTGCAATTCGATAAGCATTATATAATATTAATGGTTAACAATGTAGTCTTTTATTTATAATTTTATTATCAACTTTTGTTTTAGGTTCAGGGGTACATGTACATGTTCATTATATAGGAAAATTGCATGTCACAGAAGTTTGGTGTGCAAGTTATTCTATCACCCAGATAATAAGCATAGTACCTGCTAAGTAGTTTTTAATTCTCTCAATCTCCCCTCCTCAAGTAGGCCCCAGTGTCTGTTGTTCCCTTTTTTGTGTCCAAATGTACTCAAAGTTTAACTTCCACTTGTAAGTGAAAACATGTGGTATTTGGTTTTCTGTTCCTGAATTACTTTACTTAGGATAATGGCCTCCAGCTCCATCAGTGTTGCTGCCAAGGACGTAATCTCATTCTTTTTTAGGACTGCATAGTACTCCATAGTGTATATGTACCATATTTAATATAGCCAGTCTGCCATTAATGTGCACTTAGGTTTATGCCATATCTTTGCTATTGTGAATACTGGTATGATAAACATATGCATGAATGTGTCTTCATGGCAGAACAATTATTTATATTCCTTTGGGTATGTACTCAATAATGAGATTGCTTGGTTAAATGGTAATTCTGTTTTAAGTTCTTTGAGAAATCCCCAAACTGCTTTCCACAATGGCTGACCTAGTTTATATTCCCACCAGTAGTGGACAAGCCTAAATGTTCCCTTTTTTTCACAACCTGGCAAGTATCTGATATTTTTTCACTTGTTAATTATAGCCATTCTTTCTGACTGATGTGAGATGGTATCTCGTTGTGGTTTTGACTGGCATTTCTCTAATAATTAGTTATGTTGAATATTTTTTCTTATGGTTGTTGGCCACATGAATTTCTGATCTTAAAAAGTGTCAGTTTATGTCCTTTGCACAATTTTTAATAGGTTCATTTGTTTTTGTTTTTTTTTTTGCTTGTATTTTTAACTTCTTTGTAGATAATGGAAATTAGACTTTTGTTGGATACATAGTTTGTGAATAATTTCTCTTATTTTGTATACTGTTCAATCTACTGGTAATTTCTTTGGCTGTGCAGAAGCTCTTTAGTTTAATTAGGTCCTATTTGTCAATTTCTTTTTGTTGCAATTGCTTTGGCATCTTTGTCATGAAGTCTTTGCCAGGTCCTATGTCCAGAATAGTATTTCCTAGATTTTCTTCTAGGGTTTTTACAGTTTTTCATTTTAAATTTAAGTCTTTAATCCATCTTGAGTTAATTTTTGTATGTGGTTTAAGGAAGGAGTCCAGTTTTAATCTTCTCCATATGGCTAGCCAGTTATCTCAGAATCATTTATTGAACAAGGAGTCCTTTCCTTATAGCTTGTTTTGTCAATTTTGTCAAAGATCAGATGGCTGTAGGTGTGTGGCATAATTTTTGGGCTCTCTATTCTGTTTCATTGGTCTATGTGTCTACTTTTGTACTAGTACCATACTGCTTCGTTTACGGTAGCCATGTAGTATAATTTAAAGTTGGTTAGTGTGATGTCTCCAGATTTTTGCTTTTTTCTTCAGACTGCGTTGGCTATGTGAACTCTTTTTTAGATCCATATGAATTTTAAAATAGTGTTTTCTAATTCTGGGAAGAATGTCATCAGTAATTGGATAGGAATAGCATTGAATCTGTTAATTGCTTTGGACATTCTGGCCATTTTGGCAATATTGATTATTTTTATCCATGAGCATGGAATATTTTTCCATTTGTTTGAGTTATCTCTGATATGTCTGAGCAGTGTTTTGTTTTCTCATTGTAGAGCTCTCACCTCCTTGGTTAGCTATACTCCTAAGTATTTTATTCTTTTTGTAGCTATTGTGAATGGGATTGCATTCTTGATTTGACTCTCAGCTTGGATGTTGTTCATGTGTAGGAATACTAGTGATTATTGTACATTGATTTTGTATCATGAAACTTTGCTGAAGTTGTTTGTCATATCAAGGAACTTTGGGGCAGAGACCATGGGGTTTTCTTGATATAGAATCATATCATCTGCAAACAGGCATAGTTTGAGTTCTCTTCCTATCTGGATGCCTTTTATTTCTTTCTCTTGCCTTATTGCTCTGGCTAGAACTTCCAGTACTATGTAAAATAATGGTGGTGAGAGATGACATTCTTGTCTTATTCCAGTTTTCAAGAGGAATGCTTCCAGTTTTTGCACATTCAGTATGATGTCACCTGTGGGTTTTTCATAAAGTGCTCTCATTATTTTGAAATATGTTCCTTCAATGCCTATTTTTCAGAGTTTTTAACATGAAGGGATGTTGAATTTTACTGGAAGACTTTTCTGTAGCTATTGAGATGATCATGTGATTTTTTTGTCTGTAGTTCTGGTTATGTGGTGAATAACATTGACTTGCATTATGTTGAACAAACCTTGCCTCCTGGGGATAAAGCCTACTCGGTCATGGTGTATGAGCTTTCTGATGTGCTGTTGGATTTGGATTGTTTGTATTTTTTCTTTTTTCTTTTTTTTTGTTTTGTTTTGTTTTGTTTTTTTGAGATGGAGTCTTGCTCTGTCACCCAGGCTGGAGTGCAATGGTGCAATCTCGGCTCACTGCCACCTCTGCCTCCCAGGTTCAATTGATTCTCCTGCCTCAGCCTCCTAAGTAGCTAGGATTATAGGTGTGTGACACCACAACCAGCTAATTTTTGTATTTTCAGTAGAGACAGGGTTTCACCATGTTGGCCGGGCTGGTCTCGAACTCCTGACCCTCAGGTGATCAAGTGGCCTCGGCCTCCCAGATTGCTGGGATTACAGGCATGAGCCACAACGCCTGACCAGGATTGCTTGTATTTTCTTGAGTATTTTTGCATTCTTGTTCATCAAAGATATTGCCTTGAATTTTTCTTTCTTTCTTGTGTTTCTGCCAGGTTTTGGTATCAGGATGATGCTGGCCTTACAAAAATGAATTAGGAAAGAGTTCTTTCTCTTTGATTTTTTGGAATAGTTACAGTAGGAATGGTACTAGCTTTTCTTTATACATCTGCTAGGAGTTGGCTGTGAATCTGCCTGTTGGGTTTTTTCTGGTTGGTAGGCTTTTCTTTTTTTTTTTTTTGAGATGGAGTCTCCCTCTGTCCCCCAGGCTGGAGTGCAGTGGCACAATCTTGGCTCACTGCAACCTCTGCTTCCTGGGTTCAAGCAATTCTCCTGCCTCAGCCTCCTGAGTAGCTGGGATTACAGGTATGCATCACCACGCCCGGCCAATTTTTTTTTTTTTTTTGTATTTTTAGTGGAGACGGGGTTTCACCATATTGGCCAGGCTGGTCTCAAACTCCTGACCTTGTGATCCACCCACCTCGACCTCCCAAAGTGCTGGGATTACAGGTATCTGCCACCATGCCCAGCTAATTTTTGTATTTTTAGTAGAGACAGGGTTTCACCATGTTGGCCAGGCTGGTCTTGAACTCCAGACCTCAAGTGATCTGCCCGCCTCTGCCCCCCAAAGGGATTACAGGTGTGATTTATTGTGCCCAGCAGGTAGGCTTTTTAAAAAAATTTTTTGAGAGACAGAGTCTCATACTTTCATGCAGGCTGGAGTGCAGTGACATGATCTTGGCCCATTGCAACCTCTGCTTCCCAGGCTTAAGTGATCATGCCACCTCAGCCTCCAGAGTAAGTGGGACTACAGGCATGTGCTACCATGTCTGGCTAATTTTTGTATTTTTTATAGAGAAGGGGTTTTGCCCTGTTGCCCACACTACTGTCAAAGTCCAAGGTTCTAGTGATCCACCTGCCTCAGCCTTCAAAGATCTGGGATTGCAGGCATGAGTCACTGAGGCTGACCTGGCAAACTTTTTAATACTTACTTAATTTTGGAAACCAGTATTAGTCTGTTCAGGGATTCAATCTCTTCCTGATTCCATCTTGGGAGGTTGTATGTTTCCAGGAATTTATCCATTTCTTCTAGGTTTTCTAGCTTGTGTGCATAGAGGTGTTCATAATAGTCTCTGAGGTTTTTTTTTTTTTGTTTTTTGTTTTTTTGTATTTCTGTGGGGTCAGTGGGAACATCCCTTCATCATTTCTGTTCTGATTGTGTTTACTTGGATCTTGTCTCTTAGTCTAGCTGGAGGTCTATGTATCTTATTGTTTCACAAAAATAGCTTCTGGATTCATTGATTTTTTTTGTGTGTGTGTGTGGTTTTTTAAATCACAGTTTTCTTTAAATCAGCTCTAATTTCGGTTATTTCTTGTCTTCTTCTAGCTTTAGGGTTAGTTTGCTCTTGTTTCTCTGCTTCCTCTAGATGTGATGCTAGGTTGTTAATTTGAGATCTTTCTATAATAACTTCTTGATGGGGGTGTTTAGTGATATAAACTTCCCACTTAACACTGCTTTCACTATGTCTCAGATTCTGGTATGTTGTAACTTTTTACTCATTCGCTTCAAAGAATATCTTGATTTCTGCCTTAATTTCATTATTTACCCAGGAATCATTCAGGAGCAGATTGTTTAGTTTAATTCAATGTTTTGAGTGATTTTCTTAGCATTGATTTCTATTTTTAGTGCATTGTGGATGAACAGTGTGGTTGGTATGATTTTGTTTGTTTGTTTTTTTAATCTGCTGAGGGTTGTTATATGCCCGATTGTGTAGTTTAGTTTAGAATGTGTGCAATGTGCAGGTGAGAATGTATATTCTGTTGTTTTGGGCTGGAGATTCTGTAGATGTCTATTAGGTCTATTTTGTCAAGTGTTGAGTTAAGGTCCTGAATATTTTGTTAGTTTTCTTCCTCAATGATCTAGCTAATACTGTCACTGGGATTTTAAAGGATCCAACGATTGTTGTGTGGTTATCTAAAACTTTTCATAGGTCTCTAAGAAGTCACTTTCTGTATCTGGGTGCTCCTGTGTTGAGTGTGTATATATTCAGGATTGTTAGATCATTTTGTTCAATCGAGCCCTTTTCCATTTTGTAATGTCTTTGTCTTTTTTGAACTTTGTTAAAGTCTGTTTTGTCTGATTTAGAATAGCAATCCCTGCTTTGATCTGTTTTCCATTTTCTTGTTAGATTTTTCTCCATCCCTTTACTTTGAGCCTATGAATATCACTACATATAAGATGGGTCTTTTAAGACAGCTTACCTTTGGGTTTTGCTTCTTTATCCAATTTGCCACTCTGTGCCTTTTAAATGGGGACATTTAGCCCATTTGCATTCAAGGTTGATATTGATATGTGTGGATTTGATCCTGCCATCATGTTGTAAGCTGGTTATTATGCACACTTGTTTGTATGGTTGTTTTATAGTGTGACTGGTCTATGCACTTAAATATGTTTTTGTAGTGGCTGGTAACAGTCTTTCCTCTTTCCATATTCAGTGCTGCCTTCAGGACCTCGTGTAAGCCAGGTCTGGTGGTAATGAATTCTCTTAGCATGGGCTCTCTGAAAAGGATCTTATTTATCCTTTGCTTATAAAGCTTAGTTTGGCTGGGTATGAAATTCTTTGTTGAAAATTCTTTTCTTTAAAAATGTTAAAGAATTTGGACCCCAAATGTCTTCTGGCTTGCAGGGCTTCTGCTGACAGTTGTGCTGTTAGCTTGAGGAGGTTCCCTTTGTAGGTGACCTGCCCCTTCTCTCTAGCTGCCTTTTGCATTTTGTCTTTCATTTCAGCCTTAGAGAATATGACTGCTATGTGTCTTGGGGATGGTCTTCTTGTGAAGTATTTCTCAGGGGTGTTCTACATTTCCTGAATATAAATGTTGGCCTCTCTAGCAAGGTTAGGGAAATTTTCATAGATGACATCCTGAAATATGTTTTCCAAGTTTCTTGGTTTGTCTCCCTCTATCTCAGGCACACCAATGAGTCATAGTTTGAGTCTCTTTACATAATCCCGTATTTCTTGGAGGTTTTGTTCATTCTTCTTTATTGTTTTTTTCCTTTAATTTTCTTTAACTGAGTTATTTCAGAGAGTCAGTCTTCAAGCTGTGAGAATCTTTCCTCAGGCTGGTCAATTCTGCTGTTAATACTTGCTATTGCCCTATGAAATTCTCATAGCGCATTTGTCAGCTCTATGAGATCAGCTTGATTCTTTTTTATAAAGGCCATTTTGTCTAATGTCTCCTGTATCATTTGACTGTAATCCTTAGATTCCCTGGATTGGCTTTCAACTTTCTGTTATATGTTGATGATCTTCATTCCTATCCATATTCTGAATTCTGTTTCTGTCATTTCAGCCATCTCAGCTTGTTAGGAACCATGGCTGGAGAACTAATGCGGTTGTTCGGAGGTAAGAAGTCATTCTGGCTTTTTGAGTTGCTGAACCAGTTACAAGAACCAGTTGCTTGAACTGGTTCTTTCTAATCTTTGTGGGCTGATGTTCCTTGAATCCTTGAAGTTGCTGACCTCCGGATGATTTTTTTTTATCCTATTTGATGTCCTTGAGATCATGATTCCATGTTTGCTGTTGTTTCTTGTGAATATACATGTAGGTCTTTGCATCGAAGGATTGGTTATTTAGTCTTCTCTTTCTGGCTTGTTTTGGTTTTTATTATGTTTGCTTACAAATTCTTTATAACTTATCTGTTGATTTTCTTTATTTCTTTCCTTTATTTCCCACTAGGTTGCTGCCTCATTTTTGATACTATGTGGCATCTTAATCCCAGGTTTGCTTCAGTTCTAATAAACAATCAGATAACTACCCATCTTGAATGGGGTGGAAGGAGGATCCAAAAGGGGGATACTTCTGTGGTGTGGGAAGCCTGACTAAGGATTTTTGTCAGGGGACCTGTGAACAAATATGCATAGTGATGCTGAAGAGCTATTCTGATATGGCATCTGTTTTGTTATAGAACAGAGTTTCCAGGGATGTAGATGGTAGTTCTGCCTCTCTCCTTTGTCTTTTGCTCTCAGACGTCTTTCTCCTTTCAGGTGCTCCCAATGCTCCCTATGAGTTAAGGCAGATACAGTTCCGCAGCAAGGGAATGCAAGATGGTGAAGAAGCTGATTGTCTACTTCATCTAAGTTTTCCAGTATGGAAACTGTGATTTAGAGGGATATATTTTACATGCTTGGTGCTGGGTGGATTGAGGAAAGGAGAATTGCAGCTATGGAAGTCTGATTCTCTGACCATCTGCTTGGACATTTTTATGACTCTGTGACCCTGGAAATCGTCTCATCCTCATATTTGAGTTCAGGGAGAGTGTTGGTGATCATTTTTATGCTGTATATTTGTTTTTGGTTTTCTGTGGGGAAGAGTAAATTCAGCTTGCTTCTATGCCACCATTTTGGAACCAGAGTCCCTCTTTTAAATAATAATTTAGTCTTTGGAGTCAAAGACCCTGGGATTATAATTAAGATTTTAAACTTATTAGTTATATGATCTTTGGCAAGTTAACTAATCCTTCTATTGCTTGGTTTCATTAACGTAAAATGTTTATTAAAAACACTTCTATAATTAGACCTGTTGTAGAGTTGAATCATTAATACTTGTAAAGTGATTTAAATAGTACTTGATATACAGAAACATCTTAATAAATATTAATTCTCAATATCATGGAAAGAGAAAATGAAAACATGAGAATAGATGTCTGAACATTATGCTGACCAAGGAATGCTGGTTTGTATGGAAACTTGATGTTTAGCGTTTTCGGAACTGTCAAACTATTTTCCAAAGTGGACACATTTTACATTTCCACAATTAGTGTTTGAGGGTTCCTATTTCTCCATGTTGCCACTAATGTTTATTATTGCCTGTTTTTCTTAATATAGCCATACTAATAGGCATAAAATTGTATCTCATTGTGGTTTTGATTGGCATTTTCCTAATTACTAATTGTTTTGAGCATTTTTTTATGTGCTTATTAGTCATCTGTGTAGCATCTTAGAAGAAATTTCTATTGAAATTCTTCATTTATTTTTAATTGGGTTATTTATCTTTTTACATATTCAGGTTATTAGATCCTAATCAAATTTATGATACGTATATATTTTCTATATTTTTTGCCTTTATAATTTTTGATAGTGCCTTTGAAGTACAAACATATTTAATTTTGATTATATCCAATTTATTTTTCTTTGGTTGATTATACTTTAGATGTCATAGGTAAGAAATTATTACCTAATTATATGATCTGAAACTTCATCACAAACATTAATAGTTAAGTGATATTGTTTATTCTAATTGTATTTGATTATATTTCCAGATCTAGGACTAAATAAGGAAATTCATCTTGCAATCTTCAGTAATGATAATAAAACTTGTTATTTTTTAAAAAACAAATTATTACCTAATCCAACATCACAAAGATATATACCTATGTTTTCGTCTAAGAGTTTTACAATTTTATCTTTTCCATTTATGTCTTTGATCCATTATGAGTTAATTTTTGGACATGGTATGAAACAGTAGTTCAACTTCATTCTTTCACATGTGGCTACCCACTTATCTTTGTACCATTTGCTTAAAAGGCTATTCCTTCCTCTTGAATTGTCTCGGCACAATTGTCAAAAATCTATTGAGCATAAACATATGACCTCATTTCTAGACTCTCAATTCTATTCCATTGATCTATTTTTCTACTATCATGTAAGTGCCTCATAATCTTGATTAGTGTAGCTTTGTAGTAAGTTTTGAAATCAGGAAGTATAAGTCCATTGACTTAGTTCATATTTTTTAAGATTGTTTTGGCTATTCTGAGTCACTTGCATTTCCTTATTAATTTTAGATTCAGCTTATCAATTTCTAAAAAAAAAACGAGGGATTTTGATAGGGTTTTTTGAAAAATGTTGATCAATTTGGAGAGTACTAAATCTTAATAACATTGATTTTTTTAACTCATGAATATAGATGTCTTTTCATTTATTGGGTCTTATTTATTTTTTTAAATTATATTTTATAATTTTTAGTGTATAAATTTTAAATTAAAAATTATTCCTAAATATTTTATTTTTGATGCTATTATAAATAGAATGGCTATTATAATTTTGTTTTGGGTTGTTTATTGCTAGTGTATAGAAATACAACGGAGTGTTAAATATAATCTTGTATCCCAATACCTTGCTGAATTTGTTTATTAGATTTAATAACTTCTTTGGTAGATACCTTAAGATTTTCCATATTCAAGATCAAGTAAACTGCAAGTAGAGATAATTTTACTTCTTTTTCAATCTAGATGCTTTTTATTTATTTTTCTTGACCATTTGCCCTAGCTGGAAACTCCATTACAATGTTGACTAGAAGAATCAGGAGTGGACAACTTTGTCTTGTTCTTCATCTTAGTGTGAACAGTTTTGGTTTTCTATGTCTTTTGAGCTGATCATGAGGCTTTTGACCTTTATCCATTTAATAAAGCATATGATATTGATTTATTTTTATATGTTGAACAATTCTTGCTCTCTATGGATAAACCTCACTTGGTCTTGTTTCTTTTTTATATATTGTTGGGTTGTTTGTTTTGTCAATAATTTTTGAAGCTATAATCATAAGGGATAGCAGTCTATAATATTCTTGGGATCTTATTCTCTGATTTTGCAATCAATATAATACTGGTCTTATAAAGTGACTCGGAAAGTATTTCCTGCACTTCTATTTTTGTCATTGTTGTAGTAGCTAGAAGAGTTTGCAAAAGATTGGCATTAAATATTCTTTAAACATTTGGTAGATTGCATCCATGAAACATCTGTTCCTGGGCTTTTTTGTTTTGATTATTAAATAAATATTTTTACATGCTATAAATCCATTTACATAATCCATTTCTTCTTGAATCAGTTTTAGTAGTTTGCATCTTTTTTAGAAATTTTAGAAAGTTTTAGAAATTTGTGCAAATTTATTGACATAAATTATTTATCATATTTTCTTATGAATATTTTTATTTCTATAATTTAGTTAGTAATTTCTCCTCTGTCCTTGATTTTAGTAATATGAGTCTTTATTCTTTCATCTTAGTTAGTCTAAAGATTTGTTAATTTTGTTGATCTTTTCAAAGAACCAACCTTTGTTTTGACTAGTTTTTAAAATTGTTTTTATATTCTTACTCTCATTTAATTTCATTCTGATCTTTATTATTTCCAGAATTTTGTTTTCTTTGGATTTAGTTTGCCCTTATTTTTCTAGTTTCTTAGGGTGGAATGTTAGGCTTTTGAGTTGAGATTTTTCTTATTTCTTTTAACATAGGTGTTTAAAATGATAATGTTTTTTCTATGCATCATTTACCTGTATTACATAAATTAATATATTTTATGTTTTTGTTTTCATTTATCTCAAAATATTTCCTAATTTCCCTTGTGATTTATTCTTTGACTCATTGGTTATTTAACTGTGTGTTGCTTAATTTACATATTTCTATTTCTTATTGACATTTAGTTTTATTTCAGTGTTCTCAGAGAACATACTTTGTATGATTTTAATATTTTAAATTTTCTTGAGATATGTTTTATGGCCTAACATATGATCTATTCTAGAGAATGTAACATCAGCACTTGAGAAGAATGTATATTCTCCTGTTGTTGAGTGTAGTGTTTCATAGTTATTTGTTAGTTCTAGTTGTTTTATAGTATTGTTCATATCTTTTATTGTCTCATTGATTTTCCTGCTAGTTTTTCTATTATTTGAAGTGAAGTACTGTAGTCTAGAAGTACTTATTATAGAATTCTCTATTTCTCTATTCAGTTCTTTCAGCTCATACTTCATGTATTTTCAGCCTCCATTATCAGTTTCCTATGTGTTTATAATCATTATATCTTCTTAATGGATTAGTCCTTTTATTATTATAGAATATGCTTCTCGCCTCTATAAAAATTTTTGTTTTAAAATCTATTTTGTCTCATATTAATGTAGTCATTCCAGCATGTTTTTGTTACTGTTCATATGGCATATAATTTCCATCCTTTTACTTTCAATCTATTTGTGCCTTGGATCTAAAGTGTCTCTAATGTAGATACCACATAGTTGGATGATTTTTAAAGAGTCTGTTTTCCCAGTCTGTACATTGTATGTGGAGTGTTCAATTCACTTACATTTATTATAATGACTTGCAAGGTAAGATTCATGTCTGCCATTTTACTATGTGTTTTCTATATGGCTTATGTCTTTTTTGTTTCTTTGTTCTCTTACAATTTTTGCATGTCAAATAGATATATTATAGCTTACCACTGATTTCCTTATCATTTATTTTACTATGTATTTTACAGTTATAATCTTAGTGATTGCTTTGCTCTGGGATTACAATTAATATCTTAATTTATAACAATCTAGTTTGGATTAAAACAAACATGAATTCAATAGTATAAAAAGCCTATATACGTATCTCTCTGTTTTGTTCCCATTCTTTGGTGCTATTTTCATAAAAATCAGATCTTTATACATTGTGTGCCCATTAAAACAGATTTTAATGGGTGTTGTTTAAATTAGACAGGAGGAAAAACAGAGTAAAAAATAAAAATACCTTTATAATGTCTTTTATATTTACCTAGTAGGTATCTTTAATAGTTTTGTATTTCTTCATGTTGATTCTAATTATTGTCTGATATACTCTTCTTTCAACCTGAAAGATTCTCTTTAGTATTTCCTGTTGAGTTAGTATTCTATCAAAAATTTCTCTGTTATTGTCTGAGTATCTGATAGTGTCTTAGTATTTACTTTTAAAGAATAATTTTCTGGCTATAAAATTACTGGTTGATGATCTCTCTTTTAGCACCCTTGAATATATCATCCAACTGCCTGCTGGCCCTTATGGTATCTGATGAGAAATCAGCCACTGATCTTATTCTGGATTGCCTAAATAAAATGTGTCACTTCTCTTGCCACTTTTAAGGTTCTCTTTGTCTTTGGCAATTTGACTATAATGTATCCAGGTATGGATCTCTTTAAGCTTATCCTGTCTGGATTTGCTGAACCTATTGAATGTATAAATTGATGTTTTTTTAAAATCAAATTTGGGAAGTTGTGGTGATTATTCCCTCAAATATTCATTACATTAGTTCACTCTCTCCTTCTGGGACTCTAATTATGCCTATGTTGCCATACCTAAGGTCCTCCACAGGTGTCTGAAGCTGTGTTCATTTTTCTTCATTCATTTTTTTTCTTTCTTTTCCTCAGACTAAATAACCTTAATTGATCAATCTTTAAGTTTGCTCACTCATTATTCTACTATTTAAATCTTCTCTGAGCACCTCTAGTAAATTTTTTATAGAAATCATTAGACATTTAAACTCCAGAATTTTTATTTGGGTCTTTCTTCTGTCTTTATTCATATTATCTATTTGGTGAGGCATCATAATCACACATTTCTTCAGTTCCTTCAACATAGTTTTCATAAGTTCTTGAACATACTTAAATAGTTCATTTAAAATTTTTGTCTAGTATGTCTGGACTGCACAAAAATTTAGTCAATGAATTTTTGAAATGTCAATGTCTGGTCTTCATAAGGCAGAGTTACCATTGATACTTGCCCCCTACCTGTGTACTGGCTACACTTTCTTGTTTCTTTATATGTCTCATAAATTTTTATTGAAAATTATATATTTAGAATAATATAAAGGTAAATGCTGGAAGTCAGGTTCTCCTTACTTCCCCTTGTTCCCCCAGTGTGTGTTGATGTTGCTCTACATTGTTTATCTGGTAACTTTTCTAAACTATTTCTGCAGTTTCTTTGTCATATGTGATCACTAAAGTCTTAATGATTCAATGGAAATTCTTAAAATGGCTGAAGCCAATAAGTCTCACTCTGCTGAAGTGTGTGTTGTCACATGTCTTTAATACCTAACCAGATATTATAAAAGTCTGCATTACCGTTTACTTCCTACTTATACAGAGACTCAATTTTAGCTAGATGTGAGAGCTTGGATTCTTCTCTAGTCTGCCCTAATTGTGCATACGACTCTACACATGCACATGGCATTTTGATTCCCAGGAATATGCCGTAGCTCTTCAAAGACTCCTATAGACAACTCATTTTCAAGATTTCTTCTTTTGAACTCTTTCATTAGCCTATTATTTGTCCATTTTTACTCAGTGCTTCAGACAGCTGCAATGTTAAATAATTTTCTGTGATTGTTTTTGACAAACACACTAACAGAAAAGGCTTTGTACACTGGTGAATTATGAGTTAGGTTAAATAAGGAAAGTTTTGTGAATAGAATCTTCCAAGGAATTATCAAATGAGTATAATGGCAATCTCTAGAAATGAGGCATTGAAAGAGCCCCAACCCAGTTCTGCCCCTTTCAGTGACTGGCAAGCTGCTGATTTTCACTGTTATTGTAAGCTATTGGTTGCTTTCCAGAGTTCTAAAAATGTTGATTTAGTTTACCAGTGTTTTCATTGCTTACACAGAGGAGAAAGTTTTGAAGGTCTTTGGTATTTGTTATGGCAGCCCTAGAAATCTAATATGGCATTATTATTATTATTATTATTATTATTATTATTATTATTATTTTCATCAGTTTGAGATACTCCTGGTTCTTGGCATGATGAGTTATTTTTAGTTGAAATCTGGACATTTTGTTGCTGTTGTTGTGTTATGAGACTCGAATCTTCTTTAAAGCTTCTGTTTTATCTGGCTTCCTCTGCTGTTGCTCTACCAGAGGAAAGGGAAGTTCACCTCCACGTAGAGGTAGAGTTCTATGTCTGCCAATCAGCCTCTGTTGACACTTGAGGAGGTACTTCTCTTCACTGAGTGTCCTGGCTCTCTTCTAACCCTCCACTGGTTGCTTTCTGAGGGTGTAAGCACATAACTACTGCTCCTCACATGGCCTCCATTGAGATCATGGGGAGGAATGGTCTCCTGACCACTAGGATTGGTGAGACTCTGTCTCCACGAGACACCTGAGAAGAGAGATTAGGGTCATCTTGTTGCTACCACATGAAGGAAGAAGTTCAGGCTCCCTGAGGGGTCTCCACTGGCATTGCAGTGGTAGCCCTTGTTACAGTCTAGCAAGGATCAAGGTCTCAGATGTCTATTTTACTTTTCTGACACAATCCCACAACAAGGCAGGGGCAACATTTGGAGTGTGTCATTATAGTTTGGTGAAGGTGAAATTCTATACTTCCCATTTGACCTTTCCTGGTGTGGGTGTAAGCAGGGCTACAGTTTTGTATTCTGTGCTGTTTGGCTAGAGTAGAGCAGTTTATTGTCTTGCTGGGCTGCCCTTTTCTGTGCCTTTGGCTAGAGAGATTAGGCTTTTGTGCATGTCTCTTTTGATCTGTGCCTTTTGATGTTTCCTGGTTGCTGACTTCTTTACCTTCAAGTTGGGATATGTGAGACAAAAAAAAAGTCCAGATAATTTACCATGGAGTCACTTTTCAGGCCTTGAGTCCCTAGCCAGTCTTCCTTCTCTACCTTATCTTTCAGAGTCTTCTCTGTTTGTTTTATCTAAAAACAAAGATTTTAGTGGGAGGAATGAGGAAAAGTATGCCTATGCCATCTTCCTAAAAGTGAAAGTTGGATATATTTTTCAGCATGACAACCACTTTAATTGTCGATGCAAGAAATTTAGAAATATCAAACTCAATTTTAGCACTCTAGATATTAAAATTCTGTATCACACAACATACCCATGAAACAAACATGCACATGTACCCCTAAATCTAAAATAAAATCTGAAATTATTTTAAAAAATGAAATATAAACAATTCTCATTACCCTTTTTATTTTAAAAAAAGAAATCTGATTTGTTTGTTTTTGAGTTAGCGGCCATGTTGTCTCTTTTTTTAAAAAAAAAAACAACAGGTAAGTTGATTTTCTTTGCATTAAGAATTATTGAATATGAAATTACTATAAGGGCAATCAAAGCATTGTAGCTTATGAGAGATTCACTAAACTCCAACTAGTCACCAGTCCTTCACAACTACAATTTGTCAACAAAAGCAAACCTAAAGAGTCTCAGGTCTGAAGGTATTAGAAGTTAAAAGTTGGCTTAAAGCTATTACTGATGGCTAATCTTTGTTGTGGAATGCTTTTAACAGAAGGGGCATGGTCTTTTAGTGCAAACAGGATTGGGCACCAAAGAACCTGGAAAACTATCTGATGATGATAAAGTAAAAACAGAACTAATTCAAGAGTTTGAAGAACTGGACTTCATTCCTACCTTGGCCTTTAATCTGCCATGTAAACTTACTCAAATTAATTAAACTTCTCAAATCACTGCCACTGTGGCTGTTTAGAGCTGAATGAACTTATTCAGTAGACTAGTGAGAACTGATATTATTATTACTATTCTCTTTGTGTTTACATTTTGGGAGATGCATCTTGATATACTAATCTTGGGGGAGGCCTAACCATCAGTGTTTTTGAAAGCCCCTTCTCCAGCTGACTCTAATGTGTGCAGGGCTGAGACTCTTCAATCTAGACAAATATCTCCAGTTCTGACTCAAGATGTCATTCAACCTGAATGATTCAAGTGTTCAGCCATGTTTGGGTACCATTGATCTAGTAATTTTCAAAACAGGGTTGGGGAAGACGGCTAGTTTAGGAGAAATTTCTAACTCCTTTACCCTTCTCCTTATCCCTCAAGATGAACATTTTGAAAGTATTCCCTAGTGATTCTGATACCTGACTTGGACTTTCACACTCCCCACTCCACTGCCATTTTTGTCTCCTCTAACCTTCCAGTCCAGAGTTGTCTTGATGTAACTGTACTTTCAAAGCTTGAATGCTCTCTACAACATTGCTACCAGCTTCCGTTTGAACATCATCTATGACAAGAATCTCATTAGCTCTTGGGCAACTAATTCTGTCTCTTGACAGTCTCAATAAGGCAAAAGATACAGTAAGATACCTGAGTAAGGTAAGGTAATGAGGAGACAGCTTTCTGCTCTCTGTAAAGAAGATTACGTGTGCTATTTTAAAAATAAGTCACAACTCAAGTTATAGTCACTTTGGAAAATCGCTAACTTTAAAAATAAATAACATATTTCACTTGCTAAGTCTCTTTCCCTAAAAAATTCCTGTGGAAATGTTACAATCTTCATTTTTTGAAAATAAAAATAATTTTTCTTAATTGTTACAGATAAGAAAGCCGAGTTATATGAAGATAAGTAAATTGACAGAGTCAGCTGGTACATGATCACGTGGGATTTGAACGATGGCAATTACCCTCACAGCCACACTCTGACATAAGGCTTCCATCAGTGAACAGGTTGAGTTTGCTCCCCTCCCCACCACCACACACATACAACATGAAATGGTGATGCTCTTTCAGTAATATTCCCGAAACATGTTTTCCAGATCAGTCCATATCTATGAAGAAATGTCTGATACATGAAAGGAGGAAAGGGACACTGTTGTGACCAATGCTGAAGAACAGGCTAGAGACAGAATCCTCAGAATCAGTCTGAAAATCATGTGATGGAAGACAGCATTAGCGAAGGCAATGTGCATGAACCCAGTTTGCTTTTCTCTTGGCTACTGTTTTCAGCTAAGTGTGAACTCAGGACATTTCCTGCATTTAAAGGCAAAAGCCTGTCACTCCCAAAAAGAGCTCTCTGTACTGACCGGTTCACTAATTCACTGCTGACTGGGCTTGTCTGGTAAGGGAACACATTAAATATTTAAACCTCGTCCTTCCTCAGATGCAGAGCAGCAAAGATGATTTTCCACGGAATTTAGCATTAAACTCAGGCAATTTGTACAGCTGTGCATATAAATGGCTTTTCACATAATCTCTAGAGGCTAGGGTCAATGTTCCTCGTACATTTTAATACTGTAGATGACATAGCAACATCCTCCTAATTTATGTTCCCTCATAACTGAAAGAGGCTTAATAAAAGTGAGGAAGAGGCAATATGTACACAGCAACATCGATTTCTGCTGACAGTTGAGCGGAAGTTAATTGTAATTTTAATGTAATTTGTTCCATGGGTGATGTTGAGCCTTAGAATGTACCTAAATCCATTTTAAAAGAAATTATGCGTGTGCATATGTGTGTGTGTGTGTGTGTGTACCTGCATTATAACGTTAGAATGACCCAATTATACAGTTGTCATGAAAACACCAAATATAACTTGCCCAGATGAATAATTATTTTTCACACAGATATATTTGTTTAAATAAATGGAAGCTGGGTCTGTATTGCCAACACAGAATTGCGCCCGATTAGATTTTGGGGTGACATAGATGTTATGTTGTGTAAAATAAATGCAGACTTTGTTTGTCAGAGTAAGAGTGCAACACAGTCCTAATTGCTAAATTAAGCTTATCTGCATGAACTGTAGTTAATATTTATTCTGAGTGAAACAGTTTTTTATTATTTTTTCATTTAGTAGAGCAAGAACATGCTAATAGTTTTGTTGATAATTCAAACATTTCCTGCTGTGGGTAAAAACAAATGTAAAACGGAAGAATGATGGTGTTCCCCGGCTCTGAAATTTGCTAATTGCAGGGCTATTCAATTATAGGTAATATCCTTTTATTGCTAATAAGATTACCGTGTGTCAACACAACTGCAATTCTGAAATGGAATTTGCCCAATTTGCCTTGTATGGAATTTAAAACTGTTCTGCGTAAAAGACTTTAGAAAATTAGCACTGAAATATGAATGACAAAGAGAAGAAATCAGTAAAATATCTAATGTACTTATTTTTTCCCATGCAGATGCTTTTATTTTGGAACAGTTTCAAATTGGGTATTTTGTCACCAAAAAAGAAAAATAAACAAAAGGCAGGAGTATGATCGAATATGTTGCCCCCTAAGTTAAAAATTATTTTAAAAGTTTATGATTCATTTAATACATTTTAGTATTTTCCAAATCTCCCTCCATGAGCCAGGATTTAATATTGTGTTGGGTCCACAATAAGCAAAGAATGAATGTAAGTTTATGAATCCGTAACACAGATAAAGAATCAAGAAGATAGCCAATCACCTGGCGGGGAGAAAAGAATGTGTAAATTGAGTATTCCTGAATTTTACTTCTGTGCAGTTAAATCAGACTCTTAGAATATAGAGTACAAGAATGTCCATGTTGTACTGATCCCCATGTGCTTCTTATAAACCTGGAGTTTGAGAACTACTGGGTTGATGAGATCATTCCAATGCCTGAGTAATGGTGACAGTGCTTATCTGGTGTCCCTAAGTCATGGTCTTTGGCTACAAAGGCTGTAAAATGGCTTTGGATCTTCTCTTAAGGAAAAGACTAGTTATCTGCTTCCTGCCAAACACATGTGAACAGAGGCCTCCAGAATGATGATTGTCTTTAAATCAGATATTACTAATGATGCTAGCAGATACAGGTGCTAGGCTCCTCTGGATGTAGTAGGACCCTGTAAGAGTATACAAGAAAGACTCCTTGGGAAGTCTCTCTTTCTTAAAAAAGCTTTCTAAAAACGTGACCTATGAGCTGTGTGTGTCAGAATAATTTAGGAAGATATTAACAGTATGTGTTCTGGAGTCTCATGCCAGACCTGTTCAATCAAAATCACAGAGAATGGATCCAGAAATCTGTATGTCTTAACATGTCATATCAAAACTACACCCTTACCTCCCCCCACCAAAAAAAATTGGGTCACTGGCATTTGGTGATGTTAGGAGAGAACTTTCTTCACTTTTCCCAGGATTTAGGACTAACCAAGGTGAGCAATTATCTCAATTTGCCTGGCTTTTCCAAGTTTAACACTGAAAGTCTCATGTCCTAGGAAACTGCTCAGTCCTGGGCTAATCAGAACCGTTGGTCCCCTGAGATCTAATTTCACATCTTGTTCTACCATATACTAATTACAATGCTTTGAGGGTGGCACTAAACCGTTTTAAGATCCAATTTCCTCATCTGTAAAATGGCTATAATAACCATTTCACAGAGATATTGTGTGGATTAAATGAAATTAGATGTGATTACATATATGAAGCACCTAGCAAGCAGACATTCCATAAATGTTATTTCCTTTTTCTACCATTGGAAAAGTTGTATTTTCAAGCCCAAGGGGAGGATCATGTTACACACCACAAGACAGTGGATGCCATTTAATTTATTTCATCTTAAAAAAAAGAGAGAAAGGGAGATACTTTTTTGTCAGTAAATAACAGGTTGTCACACAGTTTTCAGGCAGATTTGTTTTTGATTTTTTTCTTCAGTTTGCAAATATGCAAATCAAGAGTCATGATTCACTTCATTTCCATGAAAAATTAATTCACTATAAAATTCTGGATATAAGCAAAAAAAAAGGAAAAAAGATGAGTTCAAAATACTGAGTCCTAAGTCCTAGAATTTAGACAAGACATTTGGAGTCATATAAATCAAAGAAGGTATTGCTTCTACAATTTGAGTAGATATACGGACAAAGCCCTCAGGCCAGGCTATGTTCCTACCACTGGCTTTATTTTATTTTATTTTAAGATGTAGTTTCACTCTTGTTGCCCAGGCTGGAGTGCAGGGCGCAATCTTGACTCACTGCAACCTCTGCCTCCCAAGTTCAAGCAATTCTCCTGCCTCAGCCTCCCAAGTAGCTGGGATTACAGGCATGCGCCACCACACCTGACTAATTTTCTGTTTTTAGTGGAGACACAGTTTTGCCACGTTGGCCGGACTAGTTTTGAACCTCTGACCGCAGGTGATCCACCTGCTTTGGCCTCCCAAAATGCTGGGATTATAAGTGCGCCTGGCCTGGTTTTAATAAGCTATATGCATTTAGATATGTCTCAATTTTTCTGGACCTTAGATTTCACTTATAGAATGGAGGTTGGAATAGTATATTGAATTGGTATCTAAAATTCTTTCAAGTTTTATGATTCTATTCCAGATAAATTATTTTGCTTTGGTTTGAATTATCTTAGTAAAAGGGAGCTGGCTACTTTTAGGCAATTGATGTCAAAATAGAAAGATTAATTTTAGACTGTTATTTATTTTGGATCAAAATCTTCTTTCTATAACTTATTCCTGCTAATCTTAAATCTCTCTTAGAAAAACACAGAATAACTCTATTTTCTTTTTCGTGGGCTTGTTCTTCAACTATTTGAAATGAATGACCACATTAAGCGTTGGCAAATCATATTTCTAGCTCTGCCAGAAGTGGTATTGACATGGCCATGTTTAACCATGATGGGCTTGATTGAAGCTCTGAGGACTTCTCAGGCCAGGTGAGACTGTCCTAACCAAGCATCAAAGTTGATAATTGAATGAAAAGGTTCACCCTTACTTATTAGTTAGCTTATAATACGAGGGTCAGAATTTAAAGGTAAGAGTGAATTAGAAGAAGATTAAATCGGCAGGAGCTCAATCATGGAAAGACTTTGGAACAGGTAAATTTGGTGAGGAGGTGTCTGGGTAAAGGCTGAGAAACAGAGGTGTTTAATTGATAGCAATATCCTGAGTTGTAGTTGAGAGGATAGAGGGCTTAAATCTAGATTAGAGAGATCATTCATTTCTTCAGTCATTAATTCACCAAATATTTGAGTACTCACTATGTGCCAGGCATGATTTGGGCCCTGGGATATTTCAGTGAGCCAAGATAAGCCTAGCTCTTTCCAACATGGCACAGGGTACCAAACTGACCACCTGTCAAATGCCTCCTATTAGTACATTAATGATCTGAGATTCCCTGTGCACGTTAAAACATACAGATTTCTGGATCCATTCTCGGTGTGGTTGGATGGGTTTGACAAAGGACCCAGGAGCATAGGAGCATACGCTTTTTAATAATCTTCCTAGATTATTCTGAAACATAAGGCCCACAGGTTACATTTTTATTAAGATCATTGTAAAAGGAGAGATCAGATTTCCCGAGGAATTCGTCCTTTATATGCTTAAAGGGTCCTAAGATATCCTGAAGGGTCCAGACACCTATATCTATGGAAGTAGTATTTTCTACTTATCAATACATGGCTTGTTCAAGGCACTGACAACCTGTTTCTCATTCTACATGTCCTGACAACTTCCTGATTTCCACTGCATGTTAGGGATCTGGAGATTGACTCTCACTTACCGATGTTATTCTTTAAGAATAAAGCCCAGAATTATCCTTGGTGTCCTGGATACATTACATCAGCCAGTGGGTATATTCACTTTGGCAGGGCAGTGAATTTTTATTGACACAATCAAAGAATACATTGTTTGTCTTCTTTAGTGGAGTCATGTTTTCAGCTTTTATTGATCTGATAGTCAGAACCTTCACATCCTTCATATATTTCTCAACTGAAATTGTGTCATCCAATCACCTGTGTGCTTTTGCAAGTCAGCTTCTTTACTCAGGGGCAAAACTGAATCTCAGTCTCTAGTGATTCCATGTTTTGCTGCGTTGACACTTCCCCAAGGGCCATGAACAGCCGCTTTAGGTTATTCAATCCCTTTTCTGATTTCTAGAATTAATCCACTGGGCTTCTACCCTTGGATATTAACAGAAATCCAAGTTTCAATACCATAAAGCATAATACAAATGATTATCTCCCTACAATTGTTTACATTTACTGATCAGATCTTAACACCCAACCCTCCACCTTTTTCAAATCCTTCAGTACTTTTTGGAATCACTGTCACAAGCATACTCCATTCTGTTCTCAACCCCTTCTTTGAATGATCACTTTATGTTCTTGCTTAACTAAAATGTGGCTGCACTGAAAATACATCTCTATAACCCCTTGAATGGAGACTGTTTTTTCTTCTACACTTCCTATAACTCAAGTGTCTTTTCTATTCTGTATGCCCACTTCAGAACCATTTCTTTCCCTTCTCCTTTAAAACACTAGCTTTTTGTCAGGTTCAACCATCAGACTTTTTTAGCTCCCACTTCCATTACTGCCATCTATAGACACTTTTACCTCCTCCTCTCATAAGATACCTAGCTCTTGTCTCTCTTTCCACAGGTATGACTTTTTTAAGATTTCCTCATGCATATTGATGATACATACACCTCCTACATTCTTAGAACCTTTAAATAGTTGTTTCCAACATTTTCCTCCTATCTCTCTTGACCATCCAGGAATGATCTTGTCGTTACCTATAACTATACTACTCCCAAAATGTTAGTTTCAAATATTTCAATCTTTATCAACTTTTCTTCTTTCAGCTTACTTAGTTCAATATTTTTATTCCAACCATCCTCAAAACGCATGAAAATTTGTATTCCATTTGTCTTAATACCTTTTCACTATTGGTTAATCAGTCCCAGTCATAACTCTCAGGAGAACACCTGAATATGTAGTCCAGCTATGTGATCCCTTGCAGACCTTGTGAATTCTCTATTCTCTCTCTCCTGAAATTCTATTCACCTGGACTATCCAGAAGCTTGATTAAGCTCACTACCATTTTATTTTGTATTTATTAACAAGTATCTCAAAATTTAGAGAAGAGTCACTGCTCGGACTTACTTTACATTTATGTCCACTGTATCAAAAGCAGTCTCCACAATGAGACAGTTCTGCTAAACGTTCCTATTAAATTCACTTAGTCACTTTCTGAAGTAACAATTTTATGCCTTTTTGTCAGATCTTTAGTATCCACAGCCACATAATGTCTGAGCTGATGACCTTGCATACAATAAATAGAATTAGAAGATAATTACTTCAACTGCACCAAAAATTTGACTACCCTACTGTATCACTTCCCTTATTATAGTTTCCCTTATTGTAGTTTCTTTCATTATAGTAAAAATGATGTTCCTACTTAAGGCCAAGTTAGCTTTTGCCACAAATTTAATCCACTATTACTATCTTAAGAATTTAATTTCTGCAATTAAACACTTTCTGTCCTGAATCACCACATTTCCACTCTTTCCTGGTTCTTTCAAAATATCTTTAAAAATATTTTTTCTTGCCCTCATATAACCTTGCAGTTAGAGTCCTATTTCTCTGATCCTTTTCATGGAAGAAAAATCATGAAAGTAGTTTCTTATATTTGTAGTCTCCATATACTCCACCTTGCATTTTATTTTCCAACCATTCCAATTAGACTTTGGACCCCATAACTGTATGTAAATAGTTCTTAACAAGCTCACTGTTAATCTACATCTTCCTATAGCTAATAGTTCTCCATCACCTTGCAAGAGCCATCTACAGTATTTAATGTAATTGATGATTCTATCCATCTTGAAATATATTTTTCTTTTTCTTCCAGGACACCTTGGCCTCCTGGTTTCGTTCTTACTTCACTAACTGTGGTTTTTAAAATTTTCTTTCACAGTTCCATGTTAATAATATTTGTATTTTGTTGAACTTTTAAGATAACTCCATCTGAATATTTCCCCAGCATGCAAGTCTAACATAACCAGCTAACATAGCCAAATAATCACTACTAGAATATTTAATAGGGGGCAGGCCTAGTAGCTCATGCCTGTATTGGGAGCCTGAGGCAGGAGGATCATTTGAGCCTAGGAGTTTGAGACCACCATGGGCAGCAAAGTGAGATTCTGTCTCTCAAAAAAAAAAAAAAAAAAAAAAAAAAGAGGGAAAAGAAAAGAAAGAGAAAAAGGAAAAAAAAAATTAGCCGGGTATGGTGGCACACACCTATTGGCCCAGCTGCTCAGGAGGCTGAGGTGGGAGGATTGCTTGAGCCCAGGGGATTAAGCCATGATTGCATCACTGCACTCCAGCCTGGGTGACACAGTGAGACTCTGTCTCAAAAAAAATATATATATATATTTATTAGATATCTCAAATTGAACATGGCCAAAGAAGAACCATCAATTGTTGTTTTCCAACTTATTTCAAAGCAATCCCATTACCTCAAGAAATGGTAATGCCATTACCACTTAGATGCTCAGGCTACAAATCTAGGTGTTAATAATTCTTGATTCTTATTTTTCTTTCATAATCTAGTCTCAATCTATTAGGTAAGTTCTGCCACCTCTTCTGACAAAATATAACAAAATTCAACCAGTTCTCACTATCTCTATTGCTCTACAATACTCCTCAAAGCCATCATTCCTTATGGAACTCTAGCAAGAACCTCCCCTCATATCTCTCTGCATCCACTCTCATCATCCTATAGATTATTCTCCACAAAGCAGCCTTGGTGATATTTTCAAACGCATGTCCTTATTCAATGTCAAACTCTGCAATGGCCTTATATTACATCTAGAATGAAATCTTACTGTAACCTACAAGGCCTTATGTGATCTGGCTTCCATTTATCTATATTCCTTCTCTCAGTTGTTCAAGAGACAACATCACTTTGGCATTCTTTCTGGACCTTGAACATACCAAGGTCTTTTCCATCGCAAATGCTTTGCACTTACTGTTTCTTCTGATTGAATCATTTTCTTCCTTCTACATGTTTGCATAGCTGCCTGCTTCTTATTCAGGATTTAATGTAAATAGAACCTTCTTACCAAAGGCCTTCTGTGGTCACTATAGCTAAAGGAGACCTCTCAGTCGCTTGTTATTACATTACCTTATTTTATCCTTTTTATTGACCTAATCAGTTCCTGAAATTAGCATTCTTAGGTTTTTCTTATTTGCTTTATGTGTTCATCACATCCCTCACTTGCATACTGAAACATAAGTTTCTGAAATATTATGTGCTGTATTTCCAGGGCCTAAAAAAGCACCTGAAAAACAATGAATTTAATACTTTTTGACAGCTGAACAATCACATTAGGATGTTTTTGTTTTGTTTTTGAGATAGCATCTGGCTCTTTCACTCAGGCTGGAGTACAGTGGTGTGTTTATGGTTCACTGAACCTCTAACTCTTGGCCTCAAGCTATCCTCTCACCTCAGCTTCCTCAGTAGCTGGGACTACAGTGGCACACCATCACACCTGGCTAATTTCTTTTTATTTTTTATAGAAATGGGGTCTCACTATGTTGCCCAATCTGGTCTCTAACTTCTGGACTCAAGCAGTCCTTCTGTCTTGGCCTCTCAAAGTGCTGGGATTATAGGCATGAGCCACTGCACCTGGCCCATTAGCATTTTTTATCCAGTATCTGTGTATCTGCTCTATACCTAAATTTAGACATGTGTGGTAGGTTAACATTTCATTTGGTTGATTTTGGTTAATAGTTCTGGCCCACTGATCCTTCTTTGCATCATGAATCTGTTACCCTTTATCTATTACCTTTACTATTAATTATTATTTAGCTTTGTGCACAAGAGCATTGTTTTCTAGCATATACTTATTTTAACTATTTTTAGAAGCACTTCGCATTTTGAAAAGTGAAAATAACCTAAGTGTTCATCAATGGATGAATGGAAAAAGAAACTGTGGTACGTATATACAATGGAATATTATACGGCTCTAAAAAAGAATGGGATCCTGCCATCTGTCACAACATGGATGATCCTGGAGGACATTTTGCTAAGTGAAACAAGTCAGACACAGAATAACAAATACTACATGATACCGCTTATATGATGAATCTTTAAAAAAGTCAAATATACAGAGACAGAGAATAAAACAATGATTACTGGGGTGATGGTTGGAGAGTAAATGGGGAGGTTTATGTCAGAGGATACAAAGCAGCAAATGTGCATGATGAACAAGTCTAGAGATCTAATGTACAACATGGGCACTATAGGTAATAAAATTGTACTATATGTGAGATTCATGCTAAATGAGTAGATTTTAGCTGCTTTTGCCACAAAAACAAAAAATAATGAATAACTGTGTGAGATGATGGATATGTTAATTTGCTTCACTCTACTAACCTTTTTACTATCTATATGTATCCTGTAACATGTTGCATACCTTAAATAGAAACAATAAAATTTATTAAAAAATAAGAAAAGTGGAGATTGAGAAGTGACCACTATTTGAGAAGGGGAGGAGGGGCATGTTTTGGAATTTAAAAATATCTAAATGTGAATCTTGTCTTGATCCTATTCTTGTTTTTGCAAAAAGTAACAGGTTTCTAACATGTAAATCATTTTGTTTGAAAGGTTGCTTTGAAGTTCAGTGAAATAATGTATATAAAGTATTCAGGGAAAACTTTGGCCTGGAGAAGTGGTATCAAAAGAGAAAGAGCTATTTTGTGGTCAGCGTGGGTTAGGAAAAGGAGGGCTCAACTTATAAAAGGGACAAAGAAAGACAATATATGCTCATACATATTACCTTACACATTTTAGGTTTACAGTTCCATTTGAATTACTAAATTACCTTTCAGCATTTTAGTTTCCTTTCTTCTAAAATAAGGGGTCTGACTTCTAAATTCTTGTAGCTGTAGAGTCTCTGATCAGATTAAGTAATTCACATGGGCAACACAAAGAATGTTTTGCCTCAGGCCACAGAGAGAGTCCAGTTTTCTAGTTTTAGTTCATAAAATACTCAGTGATTTTTGCATCTTACATTTCAGCCTCTGCCTGGAAGAATGAGTACAGAGGAAAGAGGAGGCTGGACAAGGGAAGATAACATTGGAGCCTGGGCCCTTCAAGGGGAAACAAGAGTCGTCCTAGTAGGAGATTGTAATGGAAAGCTTCAGCTTGTCAGAGGTTTCCAGGAATCTTCTGTGCAAGGAATAGGAGAACCAGTGGATAGTACAGACCCTCAGTGAGTGATGAGAGAAGGTTATGTTTTACTTTGCAATTTTTTCCAGAGCCTTTACCTTGAGTAGCTTCCATGTGATTAGCAGTGTAGCAAGTGGTTCAGCATTTGGTGGAGAAGTATTAAAAAAAAATGGAGCCAGGGGCTGGGTGTGGTGGCTCATGCCTGTAATGCCAGCACTTTGGGAGGCTGAGGCAGGCACATTGCTTGAGCTCAGAAGTTCGAGACCAGCCTGGGCTACATGGTGAGACCCCTCTCTACAAAAATACAAAAATTAGCCAGGTGTGGTGGTGCATGCCTGTAGTCCCAGCTACTCGGGTGGATGAGGTGGGAGGATCATTTGAGCCCAGGAGGTTGAGGCGGCAGTGAGTCGAAATTGTGCCACTGTACTCCAGCCTGCATTGATAAAGTGAGACCCTGTTTCCAAAAAAAAAAAAAATTGAGCTAGAATATGTGGGTTTCAGATCTAGCTCTGCCACTTTTTAGCTGTGTGACTTTCACCAAGGTATTAAATGTCTCTGAGTGTCAATTTTCTCATTTGTAATAATTGGGATATCATCTATCTCATAACTCCTACTTCAGATGGTTGCTCAGATACATTTCAAATAAAATGAAACAATTAATCATTATTTCCCAATCTTTCCTAATAATAAGAATCGCCTGAGGTTTCTGTCAAACATGCAGATTATAAAATATTTACCCTGAGAAAGTCTGATTTGGCCAATTCTGTTTGATGAGCAGAATTTATGCTTTTAACAATAACCAAGATTTTTTTTCTTCAGGCAAATTTAGAAGACAGTGAAGTGATAGTGCTATGTTATGGTAATGGGAATGGTAATGTTAGTTAATATTGTGAGAACCAAAGACCTGAGTTAAAAATGAGCCAGCGCAAGATATTTTCTCTCTTCATTTGGTTCTCATTCATGTAAAGGAGATAGTAGTATATTGTTGTCCAAAGATATTGCTATTGTGGGGTAGAGATAGAGGTACTTGCTTTGCTTTTGTCTGTCTATCTATCTATCTATCTATCTATCTATCTATCTTCTATCTATCTATCTTTATCATCTATTTTCATCATGATCATCATCTATAAATTAAGCTAACT
The DNA here is from genome assembly GCF_000001405.40 of Homo sapiens. NCBI lineage: Eukaryota > Metazoa > Chordata > Mammalia > Primates > Hominidae > Homo > Homo sapiens. Next base: position 34,381,919 of record NC_000008.11, read on the forward strand.
ACCTAGCCATCATCTATGTATCTATCTACCAACATATCTACCTACCTACCTATCATATACAATTTACTTTTACTGTGTGTTAGAAGCCAATGCAAACATGTTACTGTGTCACAAATCTAAGTCTCTGAGTACTGACAGATTTAGGTCTATCTATTATAATCATATTTTTATACAATAAACCTCAATGTTGTTGGGAGAGAGACAGAAGAGAAGAGACACACAGTGAACCATATTATGTTTTCTGGTGTTATAATGACAACTGTGTCAACATCATAATTGTTTACTTAAATTAAAGGCAATGTTTTCTCATATAACTATGTTTACAAACACAAAACTGCAAGGATACCACTTTAATACTGGCATATGGGGCAGGTATTAAACCTTATGGGGTGCTCAATTTATTGCCCTGTGTTTGGTTAAAACTAATTTTTTTTTTTTTTTTGAGATGGAGTCTCGCTCTGTCGCCCAGGCTGGAGTGCAGTGGTGCAATCTTGGCTCACTGCTAGCTCTACCTCCTGGGTTCACGCCATTCTCCTGCCTCAGCCTCCGGAGTAGCTGGGACTACAGGTGCCCGCCACCACGCCCGGCTAATTTTTTGTATTTTTAGTGGAGACAGGGTTTCACCTTGTTAGCCAGGATGGTCTCGATCTCCTGACCTCGTGATCCGCCCGCCTCGGCCTCCCAAAGTGCTGGGATTACAGGTGTGAGCCACCGCACCTGGCTGGTTAAAACTAAATTGATAAAGAAAAATGAGATGCTATTTTTCTTACAAATCAGCAACACATTAGCAAGTGAATTGCTTTTGAATCTCCAAAGTTCCAAGAGCCACGGAGTGTTTTTGCTTATCCATTCTCTAATTTCAGTCAACTCCACTTACAAAGTAATACATATGAGATTCATTATCAGCAAGAGACCTGGTGAAATTTAGCAAACTGTTGTGCGGTATTGAGGCTCTTTTACTATTTCCCTCTTGTCCTGAATCTGCCTTTGAGTAAGTACCTAACAGGGACTATAAGAACTGCTAAGGGAATTTTCCAGTTTTATGGTGCACATATGGTCCTTGAGCCTATTTCCTTTTAGTTGTGGTTCTGTACTTAGTTTCTTTAAATCTTCTGTATATGAAAGGGTTTAGCTCCTACAGCAGTCATCTACAAATGAATCGTTACCATGAAGTATTAATGGTTACTTTCATATATCTGATCTAGCACCTTATACATCTTGCATATAAAAAAAGCCTAAATAAGTGTGTAAGTGACTGATGAATTTTTTTCCTTCAATCATAATCTATGAGATACAACTTTTGAACTCTAAAAGTTTAAGATCTACTATGGCTAACAAAACATAGGTATAATATGCAATAGATATTTGCAAGTAAAGTACCCCCCCCATCTTATCAAAAAAGGAACTTGGATTCACCTTCCATGGCTGCAGGTAACCATGGGGGATCTTGGAACATATCCTTCGTGGACAATAGAGGACAACTATCCTATTTATTGTATAACACGTTCAAATAAAATGATATGATATTCTGAGATTGATGAGATCACTTTTGGATAATGTGTCCATATATACCTACATTTTCACCCATATGTAAAATTTAAAATAAATCAAATTGTTATCCAAGTTTCCTGAGTTGTAAGGCATCAGCAGCTTTCAATACTCTTTTTTCCTTGTCTTCCTCTCCCTCTCCAAGTACCCAGTTTTCCTAATCTAGTTCCTCTTATGAAGAGTGTTTTGATACATGATAGAAATATTGTGAAAATAAATGTTTTTGTCCTCTCAGAAGTATTCATGTTTTAAAGAGTGTCACAGTAAGAGGAAACCTTAAGAACTTTCTACAGGTAGAATTTCAGACTGTATTACAAATGAGAAGTGTGTTTTGAAGTGGGAGGGTGAGCAGCCTTTCAGATTTCTCTTGAAATGTGACAGAGGACACTGCCACTTGTTCTTTAGTGGCTATAACCAAGATCCTTTGAAACAGACTGAGCAGTACATGAGAGGGTACTGAGGGAGACAGGCGATGTTTACAGAATTATTTGTAGAACCACTCTAGCATACTTCTCTACTCATATTGACTCTGGCCATTCCTTTCCTAACTAACAGTTTATTCTTCTGCTCTCCTAGGTCAATATATGGTTGGACAACTTTATAGGCACTAAAATATTTTAATTTTATGTCTTGGAATATTTTCTATACATTTTCTCTACCCAAGGATGACTTGGTAATGATTTCCTTTTGGTTTAACCCCAGGATAACTCCAAATTTAGTGCCACCACTGAGATATACAGGACCTGACAAAGCTCAGACTTTGATCCCTATCCCATTCTTCACCTGGTTTCAGAATATGAACTTCTGATGCTTTGTGTAAGCCTCAGTTGTTCAGCATTTGGTCTTTAATGCATGCTGAAATCTATCTTTCTTAATAACTGATTTCTGAAAATTATAAAGTTGCACTCACCATGGGCTCAACTATAGAACCCTGGCTGAAACTAGCTTCTCTTTGCATAAAGTCCCTGCTGGAGGTACAGCTTCCCTCCATAGTTAAATTAAAAACTGTTCAGGACTTCAAGTCCGGAATGTAAAGAGCTCAGAGCTATCACTACCATTCTCACAACAAAAAAGCCCGGAGTGAAAATAATGACTAACTCCTTTTAGCACCATCAAAGAGGTCAGTGGGCAAACTGTTTCTTCCCAAACTATAGAGAAAGAGAGGTGAATACAGAGAATCACAGCTTACTGGGACAGAAGCTTAGGAGCAGACTGCATCACTTGAGCCAGTACAGAGATAGAAACAATTAACTATAATTGAGGAATAGGCTTGAGGCTTACTGTGGATAAGCTTGAGAGCTACAAAAAAATCCACAGGAGCCCCGTCTTAGTGAGACCCTCATACTTTTGTGAGTCTTCCCTCCAGGAATCTACCAGGTTTTCACAAAAAAGAACAAAAAAAACCTCCTGTGTGCTTCTGGCATGAGGAAGGGAAAAGTAGCCATCTGAAATATGCTCAGACATTCTGCTCTTTTTAACATGAACTTCCCTTAAAGGAAAGTATTTTTCCTGAGTCTAACCCCAAATGGAGTTTACTAGTCTAACCAACCAAAGAGAAAGAAAAACTAAACTGCAGCTCACTCCAGCTTCCATCATAGGGGAAGAGAAATACACAAGTCTAACCTATTCTAGCATTACTGCCTCATTTAAGGGGTGGGGAGAGACTGAAGAGTACTTTTGAAGGCCATAGCCCAGAGTTAGAGGCTTAAAAAAGGAGTAAGACATAGTAACAGGACCTTAGAATGCTTCCTTTCCCCCAAACTTATCACCACATCAATAGGACTCCTGTATAAATAACAGAGGAATGCACCTGAATGAACTGCACATCTCAGATCTTATTCAAGGAGAAGTCTTTAGGGAAACCCAAAGACGACAGAGGAAACAAGAAAAAGGATACCAGAAGAAATTTTAGCTTCTGACCCATACAGCTGTAGCAAACAGTAACACAGCCGAATTCCTAGCCACAAAAATGCAAGACCTCACACTTAAAGGTGTATTTACTTCCATTTTTTTCCCCCAGTACATCATGTCCAGTTTCTTCAAGATGACTGACTAGAGGCATCTGGTACTCACCTCCTACTCAGAGAAGAACCCAAATAGCAAGTAATCACACTTCACAAATAGATCCTCTAAGAGAGAACACTGAAATTCAACAGAGAAGTGACAAAAAACACCTAAGGGAAGGAAGGAGAGGTGGCATCTTTAGCCAGGATCAGCTGGCAGCCTGGAGAGGCTCCCATTGCAGGGAAAGAGTAAGTGAGAGATCCCTAGCAGTCCACATTCCCACCATGAATTCCTGCCATTTTAGCCACAGGAAAGCCCCTTGACCTTCACAGTCCCTGAGACTAACATAGGAAGCTGCCTGGAGACCATATGACAATATTGCTCCAGAAGTGCTTATGATGAGTCTCATACACCACTGAGTCCTAAGCAGCTACAACAAGATGCCATTTTGAGAGCCCAGCCTCCGAACAGACTGCATCCTGACCTGCAGGGAACACCCCCTGCTGTTGACATTCCCCACTCACAGCTGCCACTTTTGCTGGCTGCTGCTGCCAGGGCCAAATTGTGAGCCATTGGCAGCAACCCCCTCACACCCAGCAGCAGGATGACCAGTGCATGACAAGCACCCTGAAAAGAGGATACCCTGCCCATGGCCACAACTTGGGGCTTAGGTGGATGTATTATCGTCATAAAAAACAAATACGTTGCAAGAAAGGAAAAGCAGAGACTAATATCTCTCATGAACACAGATGCAAAACCTCAACAAAATATTAGCATATTGAATAAAAAAAAGTATAAAAAGAATTATATCCCATGAGCAAGTGATATTTATCCAGGTATGCAAAGCTGATTCAACATTAAAAAAATCACTGTAATTTATTGCATCAACAATCTAAAGAATAAAAATATGACTACAGCATTAGATGCAGAAAAAGCATTTAACAAAATTCACTATCCATTCATGATCAGTCTCTCATTCCATTCCTAGTTTGCTAGGAATAGAGGGAAACTTGCTCAAATTAATAAAGAACATGTACGAAGCACCTACAGACAACATTATATTTAATAGTGAGAAACTAGATTTTCAATTAAAATGAGGAATAAGGCAACAATGCCTCAACCCACCATTTCCTTTCAACATCATATTAAATGTCCTATCTAATACATTAAGACAAGAAAAAGAAATAAAAGATATACTCATTGAGGAGAAAAAATAAAACTTTTTCACAGATGACATAATTGTCTATGTAGAAAATCTGAAAAATAGACAAAATGAACAAACAAAAACGTCCTAGAACTAGTAAGCAACTATAGTAAGGTTGCAGGATACAAGATTAATATACAATAGTCAATTACTTTCCTATAGATCAGCAACAAACAAGTGGGATTTGAAATTAAAAACACAATACCATTACATTAATACCCATAAAAATGAAATACTTTGATATATGTCTAAAGATGTATGAGATCTATAGGAGAAAAGCTACAAAATTCTGATGCAAGAAAAAAATGCATATAGATGAAGATATTCCTTGAAAATGGTTTTAAAAATCTCAATATTATAAACATATACATTCTTCCAAATTTGATTTCTAGGTTCAATGCAATTCTAATCAAAATTCCAGCACATTGTTTTGTGTTTTTTTAAATTTGGAAATATTTTAGATTTATTAGATTTCTGATTTTATTACCTCTTATTTTCCATATGGTTTCAATTGTTGTGTGGATTTTAGCAGCCTGATTCTAAAACTTATATGGAAAGGCAAGGGTCCAGAGTAGCCATTACAACATTGTTGTGGAGAAGAACAAAGATGAAGGACTGATATGGCCCAATTTCAAGATTTGCTATGAAGCTGCAATAATCAAGGGAGTAAGGTTTTGGTGAAATAATAGCCAAATACATCAATGGAACAGAATATAGAACCCAGAAATAGATGCATACACATGTAGTCAACTGGTGTTTGACAAAGGAGCAAAGGTAATTCAATGGGAAAATAGTAATTTTTTTCAACGAATGCTACTGGAACAACTGGACACCCACATGTAAAAAAAAAATCTAGATACAAATTTTGCACATTTCAAAAATTAACTCAAAATTGATCATAGACCTAAATGTAAAACACAAAACTATAAACTTTCTAGGGGGAAACATCTCCTTTGTTATCTAGGTGACTTTAGGTTTGGCAATTATGTCTTTTTTGGTACAACATCTAAAGCACAATCTATGAAAGAAAAAAATAAGTTAGTCTTCATTAAAATTTTTAAAAGTCACTCTAAGAGAATGAAAAGCAAGCTACGGACTGAAGGAAAATTGTTGCAAAACATATATCTGATAAATGACTAGTATTCAAAATATACAAATAACTTTTCATTATTATTATTATACTTTAAGTTCTAGGTTACACGTGCACAACGTGCAGGTTTGTTACATAGGTATACATGTGCCAAGTTGGTTTGCTGCACCCATTAACTCATCATTTACATTAGGTATTTCTCCTAATGCTATCCGTCCCCCTGCCCCCCACTCCACAACAGGCCCTGAGGTGTGATGTTCCCTGCCCTGTGTCCAAGTGTTCCCATTGTTCAATTCCCACCTATGAGTGAGAACATGTGGTGTTTGGTTTTCTGTCCTTGTGATAGTTTGCTCAGAATGATGGTTTCCAGCTGCATCCATGTTCCTGCAAATGACATGAACTCGTCCTTTTTTATGGCTGCATAGTATTCCATGCTGTATATGTGGCACATTTTCTTAATCCAGTCTATCATTGATGGACATTTGGCTCGATTCCAAGTCTTTGCTATTGTGAATAGTGCTACAATAAACATATGTGTGCATGTGTCTTTATAGTAGCATGATTTATAATCCTGCTACTATAAATCCAATCTATTATAATGGATTTACAATCCATTACATCCCAGTAATGGGATGGCTGGGTCAAATGGTATTTCTAGTTCTAGATCCTTGAGGAATCACCACACTGTCTTCCACAATGGTTGAACTAGTTTACACTCCCACCAACAGTGTAAAAGTGTTCCTATTTCTCCACATCCTCTCCAGCATCTGTTGTTTCCTAACTTTTTAATGATCACCATTCTAATTGGTGCGAGATGGTATCTCATTGTGGTTTTGATTTGCATTTCCCTAATGACCAGTGATGATGAGCAGTTTTTCATGTGTCCGTTGGCTGCATAAATGTCTTCTTTTGAGTAGTGTCTGTTCATATCCTTTGCCCACTTTTTGATGCAGTTGTTTTTTTCTTGTAAATTTGTTTATGTTCTTTGTAGATTCTGGATATTAGCCCTTTGTCAGATGGATATATAGACCAATGGAACAGAACAGAGGCCTCAGAAATAACATCACACATCTACAACCATCTGATCTTTGACAAACCTGACAAAAACAAGAAATGGGGAAAGAAATCCCTATTTAATAAATGGTGCTGGGAAAACTGGCTAGCCATATGTAGAAAGCTGAAACTTATCCCTTCCTTACACCTTATACAAAAATTAATTCAAGATGGATTAAAGAGTTAAATGTTAGACCTAAAACCATAAAAACCCTAGAAGAAAACCTAGGCATTACCACTCAGGACATAGGCATGGGCAAGGACTTCATGATTAAAACACCAAAAGCAATGGCAACAAAAGCCAAAATAGACAAAGGGATCTAATTAAACTAAAGAGCTTCTGCACAGCAAAAGAAACTACCATGACAGTGAACAGGCAGAATGGGAGAAAATTTTTGCAAAAATATACAAAGAACTCTTAAAGCTCAACAATAAGAAAACAAACAACTAAAATATAGGCAAAGATTTGAACCTCATTGAAGAATATAAATAGATGGTAAATTATATGAAAAGATTCACAGCATCCTACATCATTAGGTAATTGCAAATAAACCCATGGGATAGCATTATATACCTATTAGAATGGTGAAAATCCAAGACACTGACAAAACCAAGTATTGGCAAAGATGTGGAGCAATAGGAACTCTCATTTATTGCTGGGGGGAATGCAAATTGATATAGCCCCTATGGAAGACAGTTTGGCAGGTTATTACAAAGTTAACCATATTCTTTGATCCAGCAGTTGCACTTCTTGGCATTTATCCAAATGAGTTGAAAACGTATGTCCACATGAAAATCTACACCCAAATTTTTATAGTATCTCATCTTTATACATAATTGCCAAAACTTGGAAGCCAACAAGATGTCCTTCAATACAGTAATGCTGTGAGTGGATACACCAAGTGGGGTACACTGTACGATGGGATACTAATCAGCAATAAAACGAAATGAACTATAAAGTCAATAGAATATGTGGAGATATCTTAAATATATGTGTGTATATATATATACATATATATATACATATATACATATATACATATATATACATACATATATACATATATACATATATATACATACATATACATATATATACATACATATACATATATATACACACATATATATATATTTCTAAGTGAAAGAAACCAATCTGAAAAGGATATGTACTTACTGCATGATTCAATTTTATGACATTCTGGAAAAGGCAAAACAGAAGACAAAAAGAAGATCAGAGGTTGCCAGGGGATCAGAGGGAGGGAACAATGAATAGGTGGTGCATGGGATTTTTAAGGCAGTGAAGATATTCCATATAATAGTATAATGGTGAATATATGTTAGTATACACTTGCCAAAACCCATAGAATAACAACACAAATGGTGAATTCTAATGTAAACTAGGTACCTTCATTAATCATACTGTATCAGTATGGGGTTATCAGTTGTAACAAATGTAATACAGTAATGGAAGATGTTAATGATGGGAGAAAGTGTGTGGCAGGGCAGGAGTGAGGAAGTAAAGGAGTCTTTGTACATTCTGGTCTGGTCAATTTTTCTTTAAACCTAAACTGACTGATGCATTTTAAGTTCCTAGTATCCTCCAGATTTCTTGGCTCATAGATAAATAATGGGTATTAATCCTGGTCTTTCACCTCACGGAGTAATGAGATATGGAAGATTCTCTGAAAGTAAGAAAGGGCTGTCTTTTTTCAATATTAGTGGTGAGTTTAGCCACATTCCCGATGCCAGCCAGTGTTTTAGAACTACAGAACATATCCCAAAAGGGGCAATAGTCAATGAGGACTTGTCACATCACCAAACTACATGCAAACCCTGGATTATTCTTAGTCTAAAAGAATCTCATTAAATACTCTCATATGGATGATTTTGGTCTGCAGTGAGTTGTGGCTGGCTGAGATGTCACATTATTGCCTCTGATATACAGAAAGGTAAAACATGTACCTTACCTTGTTAGAATTCCAACTTGCCAGATTGTTTTCTGCATTCTTTCCTGCAAGACTCTTGGCCCCTCTAATGAAAGACTATAGACTTTATAAAAACATAAAGATTATAAAAACATAATTTATTTTTCACAGTTCTGGAGACAGGGAAGTCTACAAGCAAAGCGCCAAAAGATTTGGTGTGTAGTGAGGGCTCACTTTCTCATAGACAGCTGCCATCTTATTGTGACGTCACATGATAGAATGAGCAAGGCATCTCTCTGGGAGCTCCTTCATAAGGGCACTAATCCCGTTCATGAGGGCTGTACCCTCATTATATCATCACCACCCCAAAGCCCCACATCCTAACATAATCAGTTTGGGAGTAAGGATTTCAACATATGAATACTGGGGGGACATAAACATTCAGATCATAGCAGCTTTGCAGCTTCAAATTTTTTCAATCCATCTACTCTCCTAGTTCTCAATCATCCTACTTCCTATCATAGTCTTTAAATTAGCTAGTTTATATCGTGACTGAATATTGTCATGTATTAATTGCAAACCTTTCATTAAACTGGGATTCAATCAACTTGAAAATACCTTGATATACATTGCTGATTTTATTACCAAGATTATATGGATCTTTTCATTTCTAGCCTAGCTTAGGATGGGAGGTGTATTAGTTATTTACTCCTATTTAACAAATTACTCCATCTTAGTGGTTCAAAGCAACAAATATTTGTTATTTTGCAATTCAATTCCTTTGAGTCAAAGATTCAGGAGTGGCTTAGTTGTATAGCTCTGGAGAAGAGTCATTCACAAGATTGTACTCAAGAAATTGGGCTAGGGTTATAGTCATGTGAAGGTGTGAATGAGATAGAAGAATTTACTTCCAAGATGGCTTACTCGCAAGGAGGTTGGCAGGATGCCTCAGTTTTTTTGTTGGCTATTGTCAGGAGACTTCAGTTCTTTCCATATGGTTCCCTCCACAGGGGTCCTTGAGTGTCCTCAAAACATGGCACTTGGCCTTCCTCAGAGTGTCCCAAGGCAGAGCAAGAGAGAAGCCATAATGTCTTTTATGATCTAGCTGTATAAGTCATATATTATCAGTTCTAAAATACCCTAGTGGTTATGTAGGTTGACCTCATTCATTTTGAAAGGGGAATATACAGGGCCATGAACACCAGGAGGTGAGGATCATTGGGGTGGGGTCATATTAGAGGCTACCACAGTAAGGCATTTGGATGTTTGTTATAATTACAAAATATCAAACTGATACCTCTCCCCTAAATAAACCACATGGATAAAGGCTAATATGTATTTTTAAATAACTTGTCTTATATTTAATTAATTAATTCCACAATCACTTTTTTGGGGTAGATTCCCTATTTTACAGTTGAAGAGGCTGAGTTTTCATACCCAATATTACCCAACTAATAAGCTGCAAGGCCAAATTTTGAACCCAATGAGGGCAATGCTAATTCTGTTTGAATTTCTATAGAATAATAGTCAACATTGTTTTCATATTGACTTTCTTGATGAGAAAATGTTCATAAAAGCATGCATCCTCATTATACTGGTCATTCACATGGCTTTCTGCACTGTCAGGCTGCAAATTATGTTCAATATTATGCCATCCAGATACAGTATCTCCTCTTCCCACAATTTCTTTTCCACTAATCACTTAGCATTCAAGGTTACTCTGTAGTTGAGGCTCACCACTGCGAAGCATTTAATTTCCAAAGAAATATCATCCATTTGCCATCATTAAAATATAGACTTCAATGTCATCATCACCAGTGCTTGGAAATCCCCCATGAAGAAGCTCCTCTTTGCTGTGAACATCAACTTTTGTCTTGCAGATGAAAAAGGACATTTTATCTTCTACTCATGAGTCTTTGTGGCAGCTTCTGCTCTTCCAAATTCATGTTCCCTTGGGGAATGAATGTGTATAAGAACTGTAATTTTCATTCTAACCACACATCTAAGGGCACAGAGCCCTGAAGATATGATCTGTCTTAGCCTTGATTCATGACTGTTTTAATACCTCCAGTTAGCATTTGGTGCACACAGTTTCAACTTCAATAAAAACACTGTGACTACTGCCAAAGAGGTAGAATGGTAGAGCAAGCTGCACAAATCACAGAGGATGCTAAATTCATTTTGACCAAAAATCTAAGATTCCTATTGTGGCTTATTTAAGCAGCAGAATTATAAAGCTTGGAATTTCATTTGCAAGAGTCAGTTTCACAGATGTTAAATGTTTTGGCTTTCTTTCCACTTTGCAAGCTTGATCACAAATTATGTCTTGGCCCTGCTTTATTTCTTAGTCACTTGAACTCCAATTGTGGGGTCGAGTTCTGATGGTTCTTTATCTATCCCAGATCAAAATTAGGGCATTTTCTTTAAAACCTCCCAGGCTTGGAATGACAAAGAAATAGGCCAACTGCTAAATGGTTGCTGCTACTCTAAATAAGATTGGGGATGTAACATAATGGACAGAATCTCATATTATCTTAAGAAAAGCCCTCCGTGTGGTAAAGAGACACCTTCAAGAGGTCTGGGTTGACCTCAGCATGACAGTAATTCTCCAGAAAGCAGATTGCATAACAATAGATGATCCCTCTCTACGTTACTGTCTAAGGAAGCTGGGTCTCATTTAATTCAGGGTGTCAGATGGCATTAAAAGATATTTTAATCATCTTAGATATAACAACAATTCTGTATTTACATGAGAACATTTCCCTATTTTATGAAGATTCATATTGAGATACATAGGACTGACATGACCTATTGTCTGTAATTTAAGCTACATCAGCAAGTAAAATAGATGATGCAAGTATAGCAAAAGGTTATCAATTGTTAAATACAGGTAGTAGATATTTAGACGCTTAATTCACACACTTTTTTAGAATAAAAAGTAAAAGAAGAGCTGAATGAGGTACAAAAATTGGGGGACAAAGTGCACAGGTTAGAACAGTAGAAGAAAGGGTGAGGCCTTGCTATAAGCCATCTTTCTTCACTGTCCTTCCCTAAGGCAACATTCAGGCTACTGTCTTAATAAACATTGGACAAATATTTAAAGAACATATTTTAGGAAATACTAAATTATGTGTCTGGCTTCAAGTTTGGCCTGTAAAGTAACTCTTTTTAAATCTGTAGCTCAGAAACTTAACCAGTAGGAGGGCAACAAGACCTAAGAAATGAAGGTGAATGAAGTGAAAATAATTAATTTTTGAACCAAGGTCTTGCTCTGCTCCCCAGGTTGGAGTGCAGTGGCACAATTATAGCTCACTGAAATCTCAAACTCCTGGTACTCAAGAGATGCTTCCACCTAAGCCTCCCTGGGACTGCAGATGCATACCACCATGACTGGCTAAATCTTCTGGTATTTTTTTGTAGAGACAATCTTGCTGTGTTTCCTAGGCTGGTCTGGAACTCCTAGCCTCAAGTAATCCTCCTGTCACAGCCTTTCATATTGCCAGCATTACAAGTGTGAACCATCACACATAGCCGAGGAAGTAAGTTTAGACAGACAAAAAGATGTTATATCTATATATCTCATGGATAAGAGCTTCAAAACACAGTAGTCAGAGGCCATTTTTAAATAGTCCCAAAGGTATTACTGCCTCACTGCATGTTCACAGTGACTATTCCAATTTTTAAATAAAAGTTGCTATTTGCAGAATAATTTGCTTAAAGAATAGAAAAGTGAAGTCAATTTTTAAAAATATTTGATAAAAGATGACTTTTTAAACTGTGGTAATCAGGAATATCATCAGTTATCTGAAAAGTGTTTATTAACTTATTTCATCAGTGTGTAAAATAAATGATAGAAAGTAATACCATAAACCAGGAGGACTCTGTTTTGGAGGCATGTTTGAGAAACTGGTCAGCTATTTTAAACTTCTTTATTCTTTTTTGGTGATGCGGAGTGTGTGCCTATGCATGTGGATTTTATATTTATTTCTCTTTTTTATTTTTGCCATGGTCATTGCCACTTCATTGTTAAGTAATATAGTACATTTATTCTAAAAAAAAAAAAAAGAAAAAAGAAAAGAAAAAAGGCTATCTGTGAAAGCATATGGGGTTTCCACGCAGATTAAACTATGTGTTGAGGAAAGTTTAAAAAAAATCTGAAAAATACTTTTTCCTCTTCCTTTTTCTTTGCACAATTTGCAAGGGAACAAGCAGTCTGCAACAAGGATGACAGTAGAAAATGAGGTAATTAACTATACAACTGAGAGTCAGAAGATAATCCAAAGAGAAGTTGAGAAAGCTTAGGCCAGCTGGGTAATTTAATTTTGTCATTAGTGGTAATCAGTGCTTGCTATTCATCAAAATAATCCTAAAATGGGATCAAAGAGAAAGTTCATAGTCCTGATGATGTTAACCTGAAGATTCCTATTTTTTTATTTGTATGCATGTGCATAAGAAAATTAGCTATGATGTAAAAATTTTAATAAACATGTTTTATATTAAATGTATAAAAATTATTTATTTATTCCTTTCCATAATATTATTTTAGATTCATATTTCCTTGAGTAACATCAAAGTTGATAGAATTTGAAAATTAAATGTGAAACTGTGCATAATTCCTTAATCGTAGATTATTTAAAACAATATTGAGTCCTGATAAGAAATGTTTAGTAAGCATTTTTCCTTAATAAATTATCATTTTGAACCTCTCTTTTCAGCCTTCCCAAGGTATTTTAAATGGAATTCAATTTGTGAATATTTGACTCTATAAAGATCTTTAAAATAGTCAAAATAAGTATATTTCTTCTCATCAATTAAAAAAATGTGTTTTTTTTTTCATTTTTTTCCCCTCAAGGGGAAAATTCCACAAAAATTCTAGCTGCCCAAACTTTTCTGATCCAATAAAGCTGGTAGCATGGACCCTGTAGAAAGTTATTTTCTGACTTAATTTTATAACATAGAGTTAGAAAGACATTTTTTTCTGAAAGCATTGTGGCTTTGACTCAACTCTTGACATCATTTTTGGTTGAAATACACCTAGATAAAAATATACTGTGATTTCTTACAAAAGATTAGGAGAGAAGGGATGTAAAAACAATATCCTTGAGCTAGTATTCTAACCTTAGGCAAAGTATCCAAGTATTATTGGTAAAATTAAGTTTAAGCTTTTTATCATGTATGAAAAGCACATAAAACAGTTAAGAAAGGCAATGGTGTCATTAATTTTTCTATCTTCCCATCTGCTTAACTCTCTATATCTACCTTCAGGTACACATATAAACACATACACATGTTTTAAAGAGCAAGATGAAATTAGAAAGATGTGGGAAACTATAGAAAATGATGTACCAGATGGCAGGAGATATGGAGGAGACAAGTTCTCTCACCTTCAGCGGTGAGATTACATGTGTCAACAAACCTCCAACACATATACTTTAAAAAAAAATGTAGCACTGTATATAGACTTTTGAATATGGGAAATAAAATTTCACTCTAATTAAGATGAGAAATAGTCATTACACATTTGGACTTGTTCCAGTTCTCACAAGGGCAAATTCCTAAACTGCCATTTTCTTTTCCCATTATAGATTCTGGCACCAGGACAAGATATTAGGATTTTAATACCTTAATATATTCTATGAAATATACTAGTGTACTTTACTATTTTGACCTTTTGGCATATCATATTTTGATTCGGATGGCCATTTCACTCTTTACTCTCAAGCTCAGGGAGGCCATAAAAGACCAAAATGAATGGATTGACTATAGCTAGTCATAATACAGAATACTGAAAAGGTCATTGTATCTCATCGACTCTGCTATTATTCATGGAATATACAGGATCTTAAATATTTGATACTGTAGTCTTGTGACAAAGAAATCCAGGAGAAAGTGGGACCAAAAATCACTTCTCATGGCAAAATTGCACCATAATTCAAGAATAAGAAATAGAAGCCTAGTACAAAGGGAAAATCAATCATTTGCACTTTTTTTCCTCTCTTCCTTTTTGGTAAAATGTATCTATGAGCACGTGCTATCAAAAAGAAGAGGAGGCATAAAGGTATCTGAAAATGTTAAAGGAATAGCTTGACATAAACAGAATTTAGGAATTCGGATTTCTGGTAGCATTTTCCAAGAGTTTCTAGGTCAGATTTGCTTCTATTCTGTAGAAGAGATTATGTGGCTATACATCTAAAAGAAATATAAGGAAATTTACCCAATTTAAGGTATTAGCATAGAATGCCTAAATAACATTTTCTGTACTAGAAATTTTAAAATGTTTTTTTCCACCCACTTATAATATTAAGTAGCCAGAGGAGTTCCAGGTTCCTCATCCACAGATAGAAAATAAGCTCCTAGGTGGTACCTTAACCGCCGTGTCTTACAGAGCTGTATTTGTTGCTGCTGCTATTTCATATTGAATGACTCAAATAAAATCAACCATAAAAATTAAAGGAATAGTGGGTCAAACTGACCAAACTTAAAGAGCCAATTAATCAAGAAGAAATACGTATCACCAAAGAAAAATTTTGACAAAAAGCTCAATCTCACTAGTAATTCTTTAAATGTAATTTAAGCATCAATTATATTCATTTTCAGCGACCTATAACAGAAGAGTAAAAAAGATGTAAAAACCCCACTGTTTGTGAGAGTTAGAAAAAATGATATTCTAATATTTCTTAGGAAAATATATTAATAAATCCTACTTGGAGGGCACTATTATTCAAATGAATTTAAAATGTGCATAGCTTTAATTCAGCAATCCAACTTCTGTATTTATCCTAAGGAATAAACTAGATGTGTGCAATGACTT
This sequence comes from Homo sapiens, assembly GCF_000001405.40. NCBI lineage: Eukaryota > Metazoa > Chordata > Mammalia > Primates > Hominidae > Homo > Homo sapiens. The sequence continues at coordinate 34,397,557 of NC_000008.11, forward strand.
ATCTTTAAGATAATTACAGTGATAATGATAGTGAAGCACAATGATATTAACACTTGTAAAATACTGAAGACAACAGGAGGTTAAATAAATTGCATTCTGTTTACATTATTTAACTTTAGGAAAAGCTTAAGGACTTAGAAAACGTTCATAATGTAAGTGAAAAAAAGTAAGTAGCAACTTAATATCTTGAATATGTTTCCAATTCGTAGAGTGTGTGTATGCGTATGCATGTAAGGTGTATTATTGTATTAAAATCTGTTGGTAATTTTAACAGTGATTGAATCTAGGTAATTATAAGATGATAAAAATGGGTAATTTTGTGTGAGTGTTTCTGTGTGTGTGCATATATATGGAAAAAAGTCTGGGAGAACAAACATAGAAATGTGAGTAGTAGTTAATTCTGAGACATAAAATTATAATTATGGGTAATTTTTGTATGTGATGTGTTTGTGTCTACTTTTCTGAATTTTCTCAATATTCTATAATCAACATGCATGACTGCTTTAAAAACTGAAGAAAATATCACTTAAAAAAAAAGAAAAGAAAAGCCAGGAGAAATGTATTCAAATGGTGATAAGAAATCAGAAAGCTCTGAATTACAGTAATACTTCAGAGAAACATTGGAAGATTCTGATATGAAACATTGGAAGATACAGTAATACTTCAGAGAAACTTTGGAGCAACCAATACATTTCTCCTTTGTAAATTGTCATGTCTTTACCTAGGACTAATTTCCTGAGGTGTGTGTGTGAGCAGTGAGGGAAGCTACAGATAAAAAAAACTAAAAAATTAAGAGAAAAAATTCACTAGTTGTTGCAAAACTCAGTTATTTAAAATGTTTAGCCCTTCTAAAGTTTCTACCAGAGACAGACTACGGAATATAACACAGACTGAATGTGAGGGTTTAGTGCTTACTAAGCCACTAGGTCACATGATTCATGACTAACAACATGTACTTCTCTTTCACAAATTGTATAAACATCATACACAGCAGACCTTTCTTTCAAAATCATTCTATACCTTGCCAAGAATCTCTTTAAGTTCTCAGAAAATTAGTCTGAGTCCCAGAACTATGGTTTAGATTCTACTGATGTCAGGAGAAAACTTAGCCACTGATTGCTTGATATACTTTAGTTTCTAGTGCCTTAACAAAGATTTGAATTCGGTTAGATTAGTTCAGTTGTGGGGCACTTACCAGCACGACATTTTTATTTATTTCCAAGATGTGAACTGATAGGATAAAAATTCTATTTCATATAACCCTCTTTGAATTATGAAAATAACAGTTCTTTGGGATATGTCACCCTATCTTGATTTTATTTTGTGGAATACAATGATACACTCCAAATATCAAGAAGAAATTCATGCTACTGATTTTGTTTTTCAGAATGTGATGCATTAATTTGTATTTTGTTCCTGTTATTTTTTTCCTCCTACCATTTTTTAAAAGGTAGCTTTCACAGAAGCTTCTCACAGATATCCTCTCATCAGCGTTTGAAATTATGTAGCAGGGAGCCCCAGAGACAGGTAAGTAATTTAAAAGGCAGCAAAAGAGAGAAGAGATTTCTTTCATTTTCAATGAAGTAGAGACATTTTTTTTTTTTTGAGATGGAGTCTTGCTCTGTTGCCCAGGCTGAAATGCAGTGGCACAATCTCGGCTCACTGCAGCCTCCACCTCCCGGGTTCAAGTGATTCCCCTGCCTCAGCCTCCCAAGTAGCTGGGACTACAGACACATGCCACCACACCTGGCTAATTTTTTTTTGTATTTTTGGTAGAAACAGGGTTTCACCATGTTGGCCAGGCTGGTCTTGAACTCCTGACCTCAAGTGATTCATCCGTGGCGGCCTCCCAATGAGAGGTTTATACAACCCTAGATCATACGATGTAGACAACCTACTTCCTGGCCATTCCCTGGAATCTGAGGGAGAATGACATTTAGGCACTGGGGCTCCCAGTCCTGGCAAATACCTTTCTGCTTTAGGGAGGCATAGAAACCACAGAACCATCAGACTTGAAAGAAATAATATGGACCTGGGTCTTTTTAGAATTCTCAATTTGGTTCGTTATCTCTCAAACCTTTGCCCATCACTTGGGGAAGAGGGCAGATAGTATAGGAATAAGGTTACTGAGTCATTTGCCAGTTTTGCGGAATGGAAAATTGAAGTCAAGTACGATTTTCTTTAAGGGGGAAAAATGTGATTTTTTAAAATGTATCTAAATTTTGGTTGCAAATTTATATTGGGTACAGAAGTCTGGGGAATATATACAATCTAATAAACTCCTAGATGAAAATCATAGGTTATTTTTGCATTACCATATACTCTTTTCAATACTCCAAAATGCTTTCCCATACCTTAATTCCTTTGTATTTTCTGCATTCCTCAACTTTCTTAAACTGTAATGAATATGAAGTTAGTCTTAGGAGCCACGTGAAACATACACTTCCTTTATGATATTTTCTTGCCCCTTCTGGACAGACCAATTTATTTCTGCCTCTGAGCACAATTCTGCTTGGTAGATCCAATTCATATAGATGGATGATAATATGCTAGAGTATTTCCACATTAGGCTGTGATATTTTTAGGTCAGGGTGGGCAATATCTTATAATCATCTAATTTTTTGAGCCCTTACTAGGTACCAGGGACATAAAGCAATAAAGATACTTTACATGGTTTAAAATGTTGCACAATCAATATGTATTAGAGTAAGATACGTCTAAAGATATCATCTAGTAAATCCTCTCTTTTTGTAGATGAGGAAACTGAGTCACAGAAAACTTCTATTGCTTAAAGCAATGTTCCTCAAATTTTAGATTAAGCCCAATATCTGGGGGGCTTGTAATAAAAAGAGTTCTGGATCCTACCCCTAGTTGCTGATGCTGTAGGTCTAGGGACTGAGAATTTGCATTTGATACTGCTGGCCAGGGACCACACATTTAGAAACACCGGGCTAATGCCACACTGGTCATTCAGTGGCAAGACTAGGATCCAAGTTTCCTGAGTTTACTACACTGAGGTTGCTTATGATAGTTATTCATGACAACATTCTTTATTCATGACAATTATGTGACCATATGTAAATAATAAAAATACCATGAGAATTAATTGCTGGTTTTTACAATTGCATTTAATAAATGAAAAATCCAAGGCAAAAATTGAGGTAAAAGTCTGCCCTCACCCCTTTTAGGGCTATTCTTTGGATCAGAAGCAGCTGACCAGTTTGCTTTTCTGGGAATTATGGACAGACCTTCTTCCACTTCTCTTGGCCATATCCTACTGATATTACTTCAGCATCTTTCTTCTTAGATTTTTCTCAAAGCCTTTGTAAAGCCCCCAAGTTTCTCTCTCCTGGCCTACTGTCTCAGAGATGGAGAGTGAGGCTTAGGCTCCTGACAGCCTTTTGTCCACCTTCCTCCCAAACCTCCTAAACCTTCCAGATTTAGGAAAGCTATTTGTTTACTTCCTCCTATCTGGTTCTCTGGGAAAGAACAGCCATCAGAAGCAAGCATGTTTCTAACATTTAAAGACAAACCAATACTAGTTTCATTTTCTGTGTGGATAAGGACTGAATGCTAACATATGATTATTCCCTGCCAGGGCATAGAGCACAAGCTGGTATTTGATGGATCCAGGAAGTCAAAAAGCAATAATGTTTTAACACTTACATAAAACCACCTTTTGTTTAATAGGAATAAATAATGTTCCAATCTTAGTAATGCCAACTCTCTGCACACAGAGCTGTAGCATCTAATGAGATGGGACCTTCGGACGTGAGGTGGGTACAATAGCATCAAGCATGCAACAGAGCAGCAGGAAAGACTTGTCCTAATCCCATGTACCACTAAGGAAAATCACCGAAGAAAACACCATAGAATTAATGCTTTATGATTCATAAATAAATACCCTGATCATGTACTGAAATTAGGGACAGGTGATATGAATTTTCAAAATAGAACTCCAATAGTCATTCAGAGCTCCTGAAAGTAAAACTTAACTAATTAGACCAAAATATAAGAAATAGCAGAGAAAAGAAAAAAAAGAAAACATTATAAAATCTTCCATCTCCATGTTTCTACAATTTTTCCACACTCCTCACATGTCTAGTTCTCTCCCAAATTATGGAGCCAAATGTGGTTATTGTTGGGGAGAGGGGGTCGGAGTCTTTTGTTTGTTTGTTTGTTTGAAACAGAGTCTGGCTCTGTCACCCAGGCTGGAGTACAGTGGCACGATCTTGGCTCACTACAACCTCCACCTCCTGGGTTCAAGCAATTTTCCTGCCTCAGCCTCCCAAGTAGCTGGGATTATAGGTGTCTCCCACCACACCCGGCTAATTTTTTTTTTTTTTTTTTTTTTTTTGTATTTTTAGTAGAGACAAGGTTTCACCATGCTGGTCAGCCTGGTCTCGAACTCCTGACCACAGGTGATCCACCTGCCTTGGCCTCCCAAAGTCCTGGGATTACAGGCGTGAGCCACCGCACCCAGGAGTCTTTTTATTTTTATCCTATTTATGTATTTATTTTAGAGATGGCATTGTCTTACTTTCCCCAGGCTGGCCTTGACCTCCTGGGCTCCAGTGATCCTTCCTGCCTCAACCTCAAATAGCCAGGACTACAGGCATGCACCACTGTGCCTGGCAAATGTGCCTATTTCTGACTCATGTTGGTTTTCTTTACAATTGCTTCCCTAGCACTAATGACTAAGTCTAGCAAATGATATTGTCTCAAAAAATATTTGTAACTGGGCACAGTGGCTCAGGCCTGTAATCCCAGCACTTTGGGAGGCCGAGACAGGCAGCTTACTTGAGGTTAGGAGTTTGAGACCAGCCTAGCCAACATGGCAAAACTCCACCTCTACTAAAAATACAAAAATTTGCCAGGCACGGTGGTACACGCCTGTAATCCCAGCTACTTGGGAGGCTGAGGCAGGAGAATCTCTTGAACCTGAAAAGTGGAGTTTACAGTGAGCCAAGATCGTGCCCCTGCACTTCAGCCTGGGAGACAGAGTAAGACTCTGTCTCAAAACAAAAACAAAACAAAACAAAACAAACAAACAAACAAAATATATCCGTAGGATTAATACTTTGAAGACTGGTCCTTTACCTGGAATTTTCTTATTGGGTGGCCTTCCTGGCTCTCTACTTTTCATGGGCTTTCCCTTCCAGTTTCTACTACTGCAGATATGTACCCCTTTGTACTGATTCTGGCTGCCCCCAGTCCTGTGCTGGATGTCTCACCTGGATGCATCCTATCAAAATAGCTGTGTGCCCCCTTCTTAACATACACTTCCCTGCCCTCACTGATTTTGCCCTATGTCCTAGCCAGCCTTGCTGTGCAAGAAATCACAGATCTCTTGAATCCTTCATGACTTTTTTATAGATGCATGCCCTGAAGGATTTCCCAAGTAATAAAAATCCTAAATAGATTCAAAGATGTAACTAGCAATAGGAGTTAAGATACTATATTCACCCAGAAGAGCATGAGCAAAGGCAATATTGAAATGAACGTGAGATGAATGACACCAGCATTGGCTGCTAATGCCACCTAAACAGTTATTTGGGTGACTCCTTTTCCTGGAAGTAAGTTCCACAGCTCATTCAGCAAGTTACATTCCTTTCAGTCATCTTCTTTTCCCTCAGATATATTCTTTTGGGGGAATTGTCTAAAATATCAGCCTGCCTCTTCCTTTAGATCTCTGCCTATATTTTTGTTTTATTTTATGTTATTTTTAGTTTTTGAGATGGAGTCTTGCTCTGTCACCCAGGCTGGAGTGCAATGGCATGATCTCCATTCACTGCGAACTCCACCTTCCGGGTTCAAGCAATTCTCCTGCCTCAGCCTCCCAAGTACCTGGGATTACAGGCGTGCACTGCCACGCCCAGCCAATTTTTGTATTTTTAGTAGAGACAAGGTATTACCGTGTTGGCCAGGCTGGTCTCGAACTCATCATCTGCCCACCTCAGCCTCCCAAAGTGCTGGGATTATAGGCTTGAGCCACCTTGCCCGGCCCTATATATGGTTTGTAATGAGATAACAAAAGGTCCACGCTCACCAGGTCTTTACTAGCCTTGGTGTTAAGAGTGGATGTTGCACCCTACCCAGGAGGGATCTGTCAGGAGACAGACATAAAGATAAAATGATATCAATAATAGAAGTATCATTTTAGGACATAGTGTGGATTATGGCTTCACAGTTTGCTCTGTGAGCTGGGAGAGCCATTTACCTTCATTTATGAGTGAGAAGAACCAAAGTTCAGGGAGGTTAGAACTCTCTCTGCATTCCTCAGAGATTTGGAAACTGAGATAAGAATATCTGAGCACTTAAAATTTTTAAAGAGGTGTAATTGATCATTGGTTAAAGTGGATGATTTTCTCTCCACAAAAAATGGAGGGAGGGTTCAGTGTTACTTTTCCAAATCATTGATCAATTATTTTGTTTGACCACACAGTGAATAGGCCATAGTTTAGTAATTGCTTGATTTGTTTAGATTTACAAAATACTCTGATTCTTAACTCTTCCCCAAATTGTAAAGTGGTCCAACTAGTTGAACCTTCAATTCAATATGAATTGAAGGAATATATTACTTATGCTGCTGTGAAGATAAAATAGTGATGACTATAAGAGTCATTCTTTTCAAGTTATGATTACCATTGGGAGTTTAGAACTCCATAAAGGGAGTTGGATGTATGTCCCAGGGAGGTTTTTCTTTACCTTGTAGATTAAGCTTGGTTCAAGTGCTGTTTAAGCTTGTTAAAAGGATGATGCTTGAACCTGAGGATTGTGCAAACTGTTATGGTCACAAAAGACCACCTGATTCCTGTCCCCTCATTAGCTTAGCCACTTGAGAAGGAGACATTCAGGCTGCTCTTTTCTGAAGCCCATTCTGCCTGCCATTTCTCATACACCTAACAGATCTTCTCACAATAATTCTCATCTCAGATTCACAGCCTGTTATTATCTCATTGTTTTAAACTAAAAATAAACACAGCCGCTAGCAAGGCTGTCTATACAATATGCTCTCCACTGCAAGCCTCCCACAGAGCAGATGAATGTTTATATGTGAGAGTTCACTTTTCCACGGGGTGGTATGAATGATATTATCTGAGGCTATCACTACTCCTGAATTTCTTCAGTTTAAACACTAATCCTTTTTTGTTCATGTTTATTTATTTCCATTTATTGAGATATAATTTCCTTATCATAAAATGCACAGATATGAATTGTTCAGTATGATGATTTTGACAACTCTATATGCCCATAAAATATACACCCATCAGATAACTACATTGACAAGATGTGGAATATTTTCATCCTCTGAGAAAACCCCTTTTTGCTCCCTTTTTAGTTAGTTTACCTAATATTTGTCCTTCCCTATCTCTCCTCCCAGCCAAGTCATTTGCCAGACACTTGTATTGCCAGCAATTTCTTCTGCGAGAGACAATCTCTCTCTGACTTCACCACAGTTTGGTTTGCCTGTTTGTGGTCATTATATAAATAGATTCATAAGGTATGTTTGTGTTTGGTTTCTCAACATGACATTCTCAGAGATTAATTCATGTTGTGTTTATAAGAAGTTATGTTCCATTTTATCACTTAGTTGTATTTCATTCTATGTTTATATAGCAATCTGTCAATCTGTTTCTTTATCAGTGGGCATTTCAATTGTTTACACTTGAAACTCAGGCTACTATGAATAAAGTTGCCATAAATATTCATATACAAGATGTTCATGTATAAAACATATGTTTTTATTTCTTGTATTTACCTAAGAGTTCAATTGCTGGGTCATATGGTATCTATTTGTGTATAAGAAGCTGCTGAACAATTTTCAAAAGTGATAGTGCAATATTTCACTCACACTAACAATGAGAGCTGATGAGATTTCCTGTTTATTTCACATTTTGGCCAAAATTTGGTATTGTCACTCTCTTTGATTGTTGCCATTCTAATGTCTGAAATTGTATTTTATTGTAGGTTTAATTTTTATGTCCCTGATGATTAATT